>NC_000015.10:28428389-28731419 GCF_000001405.40 Homo sapiens | reverse complement strand
ATGCCATAAAGAGAGGGTATCAAGTTTCTCAATGTCAGTTCTAGAGGAAAAAAAATTCTTTATAAAAATTTAACCTCATGTGTAACAGTTTCCATTCCCATAGCAATGACATTTGATATACATTGTATATATTAATCTGGGAATGATGTAAGATTCCAAGTATAATTTTATCAGTGAACTCAACTACTTGATTACTTTCACTTATTTAAATATCTAGTTCAATGTTGTCCAGTGGCATTGTGGATTTAGGTAATTTTACCAGGCAGCCGTTCAATTTCTGCACTTTCTGTTTGCCCATGCAGAACACAACACATTTTATAAGTCAAAGTATAGGCATCTGGTGGCATAATTTTAATTTGTTATCAAATAAAAGCCTCATCAAATTAGTCTAGAAAATAACTCATTATTTATTTTAGGACTGTATCACTATGTAATGAGATACAAATATATGTAAATGTAAGTGCCTAAGAGGCATGCAGAGAGCCTAAGATGTATGCAGTATGCCTAACAGGAATGCAGAGAGCTTCATTTCCATTGTCAGCTGCTCAGTTGTTTCTCAGGAAAGAAATGTGGCCAACGGACACCATTTAAGAGATATATAGCAACAAGTTCAGAAAATTCTCATAAATGGGAGTGGCTAATGCATAGACAATAGCATTGACCTTTGATCCATATATATATATATATATATATATATATATATATATATGTATATATATAGTACCTCAAATACATTTGGATCAATTTAATTGTGAGTGCTATAAACTACAAATGAAAGTAAAAAAGCAAATCTGTTGATATTTTAGAAGAATGAAAGATTATTAACTCATGGCCTGTATGTATTTGGAATGAGAAGGATGTACATAGCTTTCTTTGGATGGGTGGAATTGAAATTGTGATTTACAGTGACTAAAACCTGACTGCTTTCACAATTTTTTTCACTGTTGGGGGTGAAATTCTTGATTGATTTGTGCATTGGGAACTTTTTTTTTTTTTTTTGGAGACAGAGTCTCGCTTTGTAGCCAAGGCTAGAGTGCAGTGGCGGGATCTCGGCTCACTGCAAACTCCATCTTCTGGGTTCACACCATCCTCCTGCCTCAGCCTCCCAAGTAGCTGGGACTACAGGCGGGCGCCACCACGCCTGGCAAATTTTTTGTATTTTTAGTAGAGACGGGGTTTCACCGTGTTAGCCAGGATGGCCAGGATGGTCTCAACCTCCTGACCCTGTGATCCACCTGCCTTGGCCTTCCAAAGTGCTGGGATTACAGGCATGAGCTACCATGCCCCACCTTTTTTTTTCCTTTTCTTTTTTTTTTCTTTCTTTCTTTTTTTTTTTTTGTTAGTCCTTCCCTCCAGTGTCATGGAGATAATTGGAAAATGTTTTAGAGCAAAAAAGTTTATTTCTCCTTCTTGTTGTTAGCAAAGAAATTTATTTTTCCTTCTTGTTATTTATTGGCCTTGGAGACATACACCAAATAGCTCATTCTACTTCTGAAATTTTGTTTTGATTTCCCTGGCCCTCCCCATGAAGTATTTCAGATTAGCAGGGAGTCAAGCATTGTCTGTCTATCTGTGAATAAAATATTTCAGGCTGCTTTTGCATAATATACATGCTCTTGCCTTTACAAGTCACACTCACATCTGGTTTTGTAAAACACCAGGTAAAGAAGAAAACAATGTTTCTGAATTCTGCTTTATCAGCCCAGTAGAGAACTCCTCCCTTCCCTAAACTGAGGGCCACATCTAAGGGGTTGAAACAGGGCCAGTTACATTCTATGTTCCCAACATAATTGTCCGTGCACGGATCCAATCAAGTTAAATGAGAAATAGGATATTTATTCTAAAAACAAGTTATTGCTACAATAATAATAATAATACTATAGTAATATTATTATTCTAATAATGATATTAGAATAAAAACTGGTTATTAAAGTACTAAACAGTTGAAAATCTAAATGTCTCACAAGGTCAACTACAGCAAGTATGTAAGATTTAGTATTAGTCACACGTCAAAAATTATATCCATAAAAGTAATGACATATGAAAACAGTTTATTGATACAGATATAACAAATGTAACTAAACTGTGCTGAAATGTATTTTAAAATAAAATATGCCAAAATATTATTGATGATGACTTTGGATGATGGTATTACTACTAAGGTTTCAAATTTAATTTGCTTCTTACTTCTGAGTACTTTTATAAATTTTTAAATAATAAAATTAGTGTGTTAAAAATATCAAGTGATATCTAGAAATCAGAAAAAGGCATATTGCCAGAGGAGGACCGAGTTAGTAGATTTGAGGCTCCATTAAGTTTTGTTTATGATCAAAAACCAAACAAAAACCAGGCAACAGTGGCAAAAAATATCTCACTCCCTTCCTGGAAAAGTAAATGAAACTACAAAGAATTTCCAAACTTAAAAACTATACATTTCAAGTCTGTTCATAACTAGTGAAGTCACAGTTTCTGAAAACAATGATAAAATTTTAATTGATATTTAATTCATATTTTTTGTTTAAAAAACTATCAGTATTGGAAGATAAATTTCATGGGAAAAGCATTGAATCATTAAGTTTTGCAGTCACAAAGGTAAATATAATTTGCTTAATGCTGCCCTCAGCTTACAATGAGTCTTTAGTATTTTCTAAGCTATGAGTTCACCAAAATATAGGATTGTTTTGCTGCGTATAATTTGCTCAGTGATCAAACACAAAGGAGTTACCTATGTTAAGATGTGAATAATAAATTTATGGAAAATTTATGAAAGTGTACATTGGAAAGACAATAAAACTTTCCATTAAATTGGTGGAAAAGGAGCTCAAAACCTAGCTGGGTGATTCATTATTTTAATGACTTCCTGCTTTACTGCAAAACCTCTCTCTTCATTCGGTGTTGGTAGTTTGAGCCCCTGTTAAGGATATAGGCTCACAGTGAAGCTTCTATAAATTTCTGGACCTCTGTCATGCTGGCATGTATATCATTCTCCTTTAGGAATGATGAGGAGACTGGAAAGCGGTTGCTCCAAGGGAAGGGATAATTTTGCAAACCTGAGCTGTCTAAGCTCAGCATGAATTGGAGTGGGCTGCTGACTCAGGCTAGCAGAGGCAGCCAGGAAACATGCAAATCTGCAATCCGTTCTGCCAGGTCTGTCCCAGCAGGTGTCACTGAAGGCACCTCTGTGTGCTTGTCACTGTGGCAGCCTTGACAAGGAAGGTGGAAAGGAAAAAGAGACCCAGTGCTGAACTCCAAGCAGAGATGGGGCTTTTCTGTATGCATATTTTCCCTCCCCTCCCAGCCTGCATTTCCAATAACATATTGATTTATATTTGTATTATGAAACAAAAGTGGTTGTAATCAGATGTTCTTTCCTTTTACACACAATGTTAGCTCCTATTTACATTCCTAACTGAACAATGTCTAAAGAGGTACTTAAACTGATGTAAAACGCAGATAATCTCATGACCAAATGCTTAGCGCAAGAAAAAACTTCAATTTGCAAGAGAAGTCCCTCCAAATACAGAAAGGACCAGTATTGTAAGAGGTACCTTAACTAAAATGTGGCAATGGAAGGAGCAGAGCAGGAAGAACTTTTAAGTCTGAAACTTACAACAAGTCAATTTCATAGTCAGTTTCTCTGGTCCTTCCACAACAGCCTCCGGCACCTGTTTTCTCTACAATGGAGGTAACAATAGTAGCTATTTCAGAGCAGGAAAAGGCTTAGAGCAGTGCTAGAATATGGTCGTGGCTATATAAAGTTTAGCTATTTATATATTGTAAGAAACCTACAATGTGTTCTTTTATCGGTAGTCAGTAATGGATTTCTTGTGGGAAAGTAGCAGCCTCCTATGGGGGGAACACCTGCAGTTCCCACTAAGTGAACACTGGTGTCTGCTAACCTTTGCCTCTATTTGTCGCAATAATATACTGTCAAGCTGTTCCTTGAGTTAGCAATTTTATTTACATTCTTTTTCTTTTTTTTTCCTTTCCCTTTTCCTGCCACAGAGTCCCGCTCTGTCGCCCAGTCTGGAGTGCAGCAGCGCCATCATAGCTCACTGCCACCTAGAAGCTGGGGTGAAGCAATCCTCCTCCATCAGCCTTCAGAGTAGCTGGGACTACCTGCGCGGCCCACCACACCCGGCTAATCTTTGTGGTTTTTGTTTTGTTTTTCTGTTCTGGGTTTCCGCCGGGCGCAGTGGCTCAGGCCTGCAATCCCAGCACTTTGGAAGGCAGAGGTGGGCGGATCACCCGAGGTCGGAGACCAGCCTGACAAACATGAAGAAATCCCGTCTCTACTAAAAAAAAAAAAAAAAAAAAAAAAAAATCTACAAAATTAGCCGGATATGGTGTCTCATGCCTGTAATCCCAGCTACTAGGGAGGCCTATGCAGGAGAATCACCTAAATCCGGGAGGCCGAGGTTGCGGTGAGCAAAGATCACACCATTGCACTCCAGCCTGGACAACAAGAGTGAAACTCCGTCTCAAAACAGAGACCGGGTTTCACCATGTTGCCCAGGCGGTCTGGAACTCCTAGGCTCAAGCGATCTGCCGCACTCTGCCTTCCAAAGTCCTGGGATCACAAGGGGGAGGCACCACGCCAGGCCGATCTATTCCTTTCTGGTTACTAAATTGGACCGGGGGCGCGGTGGCTCATGCCTGCAATCCCAGCACCCAGGGAGGCGGAGGCGGGCGGATCACCCGAGGTCAGGAGCTCGAGATCAGCCCAACCAACACGGAGAAACCCCGTCTGTACCAAAAAAATAAAACCAAAATTAGCTGGCATGGTGGCTTATGCCTGCAATCCCAACCACTCAGGAGGCTGAGGCAGGAGAACCACCTAAACCCAGGAGGTGGAGGCCGCGGTGAGTCGAGACCACGCCACTGCACTCCAGCCTGGAAAACGAGCAAAACTCCACTAAAAAAAAAAAAAAAAAAAAAAAAAAAGACAGTGTTTCACCACGTTGCCCAGGCCGGTCTGGAAGTCCTAGGCTCAATCGATCGCTGCTCTCGGCCGTCCAAAGTACTGGGATCACAAGCATGAGCTACCACGCCAGGCCGATCTATTCCTTTCTGATTAATAAATTGGACTGGGTGTGGTGGCTCACGCCTGCAATCCCAGCACCCCGGGAGGCGAGGCGGGCGAATCACCTGAGGTCCACAGTTTGAGACCAGCCTGACCAAAAGTGAGAAACCCCGTCTCTTAAAAAAAAAAAAAAAAAAAGCCGGGCATGGTGGCTCACGCCTGCAATCCCAGCACCCAGGGAGGTGGAGGCAGGTGGATCACCCAAGGTCAGGTGCTTGAGATCAGCCCGACCAACACGGAGAAACCCCGTCTGTACAAAAAAAAAAAACACCAAAATTAGCTGGCATGGTGGCTCATGCCTGCAATCCCAGCCACTCAGGAGGCTTAGGCAGGAGAACCACCTAACCGGGAGGTGGAGGCCGCGGTGAGTCGAGACCGTGCCACTGCACTCCAGCCTGGAAAACAAGAGCGAAACTCCACTCAAAAAAAAAAAAAAAAAAAAAAAAAAAAGACCATGTTTCACCATGTTGTCCAGGCTGGTCTGGAACTCCTAGGCTCAAGTGATCCGCTGCGCTCGGCCGTCCAAAATCCTGGGATCACAAGGGTGAGCCACCACGCCAGGCCGATCTATTCCTTTCTGATTAATAAATTGCGCCGGGCACGGCGGCTGACGCCTGCAATCCCAGCACCCCCGGGAGGCTGAGGTGGGTGGATAACCTGAGGTCGGGAGTTTGAGACTAGCCTGACCAATATGGAGAAAACTGTCTCCACCAAAAAAAAAAAAAAAATTAGCCAGGCATGGTGGCTCACTCCTGCAATCCCAGCCACTTGGGAGGCTGAGGCGGGAGGATCACTTAAAACCGGGAGGTGGAGGTTGCGGTGAGCCGTCATTGCACTCCAGCCTGGGCACCAAGAGCGAAACTCTATCTGAAAAACAAACAAACAACAACAAAAAAACAGGTTTCACCATGTTGCCCAGGCAGGTCTGGAACTCCCAGTCTCAAGCGATCTGCCTCGCTCCTGGGATTACACTGTGAGGGTAAATTTTATGTGCCATCTTGACTGGGCCACAGGGTGCTCGGATTAAACATTGTTTCTGGGTGTGTTTGTGAGTGTTTCCAGGTGACTTTAGCTTTTGAGTCAGTGAATTCAGTAACGTAGATGGCCCCATGGAGATGGACATCATCCAACCTGGTGAGGGCTTGAGTAGAACAAAGGGAGGAAGGGGAAATTTGCCCCCTTTCTTTCTGCCTCTTTGCTTGTGCTGGGACATCTCATCTTCTGTCCTGGGACTGGGATGTACACCATCAGCTCTCCTGGTTCTCAGGCCTTCTGACTTGGACAGAATTAAATCACCAATTTTTCTGAGTGTTCCAGCTTCCAGATGGCACATTCTTTGCCTTCATAATAATGTAAGCCATGACCCCATAATAAATCTCTTTTTAAGAAAATGTGGGACATATATATCATGGAATACTATGAAGCTATAAAAAGGAACAAAATCATGTCCTTTTCAGCAACATGGATGCAGTTGGAGGCCATAATCCTCAGGAAACTAACACAGAGACAGAAAACCAAATACTGCATGTTCTCACTTATAAGTGGGAGCTAATAATTAAGTCCTAATTCCTAGAACCTGTAGATGTTACCTCATTTGGAAAAAGCATATTTTCAGGTATGATTAAGTTAAGGATCTTGAGGAGAGATTATCCTGGATTGTCTCCGTGGGCATTAAATCCTGGCACATATATCCTTATAAGAGGGAGATAAAGGAGATTTAACTTCAGACAGAAGAGAAGGAGGCCCTGTGACCAAGGAGGCAGAGCCTGGAGTGGTGGAGCTGCAAGACAATGAATGCCAGCAGCCATCAGAAGCTGCGAAAGTCAAAGGATGGATTTTCCCCTCAGCCTCTGAGAGCACTGGCTCTGCTGATACCTAGATTTCAGCCCAGTGATACTGATTTTGGACTCCTGATATCCAAAACTGTGAGAAAATAAATTTCTGTTGTTTTAAGTCACCAAATTTTTGGTAATTTGCTCTAACAGCCACAGGAAACTAACATACATGCCTACCTGGGTCCAGTTGTGTCCTGTGACTCCTGCTTTCCTGGGACAGGCAGGCTGCTCCATGCCTCCTGGCCATCCTACTGAGTGCTGGACGCTGTAGGCTGCTCCATGCATGCCGGTCATCCTCCTGGGTGCTGGATGCTGCAGGCTGCTCCATGCCTGTTGGCCATTCCCTTTGGTGCTGGACAGCACTCGCGTTGTGAAATCCACTGGCCCTGTGAAAAACACCTGGAAATGTTACCAGGAGAGGGGTTAGTTCTCTTTTTGGCAACCCATGTTATTGCTTATGGCTTAATATCTGTGCCTCCAAGATCCCTTCTCTCTGCCTTCATCGATGCCAGGAAAGCAGTCACCTTTTGCCTTTCTTTGCTTCTCAGCAAGTGGCATGTCTCCATGTCACTTTAAGCATCAAGCACACGGAGCCCAATAAGATGCTGAAAAGTGTCTGCCTACAAGGTTACAAGGTGGTGGAGACATTCTGAGCCGGTAACTGCAGGGCTCAGTAAAACCGCTACAGGAAATCTCAAGTTCAAAATGCTGAAGTGAAAAATGGGTGATCACAACGAAGGGAAACACAAACCCCTTCTTTTAAAAACATTATGGTGATAAGGCACAACATAAAATTTACCATATTAACCACTTGTAAGTATACAGTGCAGTAGTGTTAAAAATATACATGTTGAGTAACGAGTTTCTAGAACTTGCTTCTCTTGGAGAACTGAAACTATAGCCACTATACAACAACTCCCCATTTCTCTATCCCCTGGCTTATGGAAACAACCGCTCTATTTTCTGTTTCTATGAGTTTGACTAATTTCAAACCTAATGTAAGAGAAATCGTACAGCATTTGTCTTTGTGTGATGGGCTGATTTCAATTAGTGTAATGTTTTCAAGGTTCATCTATATTGCAGCATGTGACAGGGCTTCTTTCTTTTTTAAGGCTGATAATTTTATAGTATTCCGTTGCATGGATAGACCACATTTATTTATTTATTTATTTATTTATTTATTTATTGAGACAATCTCACTCTGTTGCCCAGGCTGGAGTGCGGTGGCATGATCATGGCTCACTGCAGTCTGAATCTCACATTCTCAAGCGATCCTGCCGCCTCAGCCTCCTGAGTAGCTGGGACTACAGGCACATGACACCATGCCTGGATATTCATCTTTCTGTGTAACTGGTTGAGAAACAGGGGAGTAACAGTGAAGAAACGGTCTTAGAATAAATCTGGTGACAGCAGAAGAGAATATGAGACAGATTGTGCTCACAGAGCCTTGAAGAGTGTGACAGTATTTGAGGGCCACGCTGTTGTCTTAGAGTGAAGTGAGGAGAACCTACACTGGTTTGGTAGTCATGGGAATGGAAGGAGGAAAGAAATGTGAAAGCTCATCGGTGGCAGAGTCAAAATGGCTTGGTCTTTGTAGTCAATGCTTAGGTGAGAAGGAGGAATTACTGGCTGACTTAGAAGAAGTAAAAAATGTGAAATACCGATAAAACACAAATCTCGCGATTTTAGTCAGCGTACAGACTAACCATTGTGTGATTCTAGATATATTATTAAGCAGTTTTGTTCCAGTATTTTATATCCCATATCTTCTAGCTATGACCCTATTTCTTTGTTTCTTGACATAGACAAACATTTTTTAAACTAAGAGCTTTATTGTGATACAGTTTTTGTATGATAAGCCTCACCCTTCAAGTGTACAGTTCAGTGGTTTTTAGTATATTCAGAGTTATGCAGCCATTACCACTCCCTAATTTCAGAACATTTTCATCTCCCCAAAAAGAACCCCGTACCCACTAGCAGTCACTCCCTGTACCTCTCTCCCCCACCATTGATCCTGGCAACCTCTGATCTAACTTCTATCTCTGTAGATTTGCCTATCCTGGGCATTTCATATAAATAGAATCATACAAAAGTGGCATTTTGTGACTGATTTTTCTTTACAGTGATTATAAATCAAATGCCTGAAGACGCTAAGCTTAGGATAGTGTTTGCTGTACAACTTTGATAACTGAACTTTTGTAAAGCTGAAAATGTGACTGTGTCTGTATATGTGGCATATTATCCTTAGATGATCCTTACTTCGATTATTAAGAATTTTTTCCCCTAGTAATCTTCAACTGTCTCAATATTCAGCAGGAACCCCTTGGAGACAAAGATCAGTATGAATTTGGAACACCTATTGACAAAATGAATGTAATTTAATTTAGTACAGTAGTAAAGTCAACCACTTTTAGGTGTTGATGCTGCTGAAAGTGTATATTAAGGAAAAGTTTACTTACCCTACTTTTTGTGGAGGTGCTAGAACTACTTCTGTCTTGTGTTTAGATTTCAACAGACCTTTGCATGGGCATTATGTGGTTGCACAAATGTACTTCGTTTTGACCTGAAAATGCAAAAACTTCCTTTCTTCCCACTTTCTGAGACTCTGCAACCTTAAAGGAAGAGTGGGGTTCTTTAAAGGAAAGGTGGTGGTGGTTGGGTCATGGGTAACAATGTCTACTGTGTACTTCCTTTCCCAAAACAAGTCCCTGTCTACCGTCAGCATTTCGAAAATTTGAAGATCAAGTGTGGTGTTAACTCATGAACTAATGACTAGACTTTGAGCGGTTGTGGCAGCAAAATCTCAGTGAGTGCCTGGATGTTCTAATTCTGTTAAGTCAGTGAGTGCATATTCTGTACAATACTCTCTTAGCCCAGTGGCAGGTTTAAGGAGTGGGAGAGAGATTTCTATGTTTCGGAAATCAAATACACAAAGAATAAAAATTTTTAATCCCATGATTCTTTGCCCGAGTTTAATTTTTTGGAGAGTTTTTCTTTTAGATTTTCTTTCCCTTCCATTAAACTTTTACTTAGAAAGGTCCCAGGGTTTGGGCAAAGCAAGTGGGAAAGATACTTGCTTGGATTCTCCAGGATAAGGGATTGAAGAGGACTTCTTTCCCTCATTTTATTATTGAATAATGTCACAATAACAATTATTAAGGTGAATAGTCTACAGTGGAAGTTTTTAGATGCCTTGTCTGCAAAATAATTTGGTTTAGTCAACCCAGGGATGCCTTTGGTTAGCTGGAATGGGAGATGTGCAGGTTAGAGTGGTCTTGGCAAGTCTTCCAGGGGGAAATACAGCATTTGGAAGGGTAGGAAGCAGAAGGAATCTCAGGCAAGGGAAAGGCGTGGGCAGAGCCCCGGAGGACAGAACAGGTTGTGGTGGACTTGGTGTCCACATAGACCTAATTAGTGGTCTTAGCTTTTGTGTTTTCAAAATTACCACAGTTTGTGTTCTAAAACTGTCATTCTCTTGATTTTATTTTAGACATACTATCTGTGTATTTTGAAATTTAAAATAACAGTAAAGGAGAAACGAATTTATTTTGTTTGAGAAAGAGTTAAAAGGTTAAAACATCTTGATCTTAATAATTTTCTAAAGGGAGATTTGGTACACCCCCAGAAGTTGTCTTTGGTTCAGAGAATAGTCTTCAGATCTAGAAAGGACTTGAGAAGTCCCAGAGAGGTGCTGCATGGTCTGAACCATTTGATTCTCACGACAGAATGGATAAAAACAATTTGAACCAGGAAACCATGCAGATGTTCATATTTTGGATAGGGTAAGGTCAGTGCCGTCGTCAGAGGAAAAACTCTCGGCCATCACAGGATGGGAGAGAAAGTTTGAGTTGTGAAGAATACTCAAATGCCGTTTAAGGAAACGGGTTCTTCTGCACCTATTCTTTGGAATATTTAGGGCTAAGTTCTTAGTTTTTGACATCATAAAAATGTCAAAGTATTCTGTTCTAAGAGCCATTTCAAACAACTGACTAGAATTTCAGAGCAATTACATGAGAGTAATACCATTAAAATGTTTAAATTACCCATAGTCCTATATCCCTAACAAGTATGTTCACGCTTGCATGTCCTCTTCTCATCTTTACTGTGTGCATACTTAGTAATGGCACGTAGACATTGTTTAAGCAGGAATAATTCTCGAGATAATTTTGTATGTTTCCTTTTTTCTTTTTAAGGTAGGTATTGGGTGGAGGAGCATTATATTTGCAACTTCTCGCAAAACACGTGATTATTTTCTTATAATATTCAATTTTCACCCTCAATACAGTGTTTTGATTATGTAATTTAGATAGAAAGTAGAAGGTTCTCTTAGAGAAATTTTAGTGTTTTTTTTTCATAGCTCCTACTTTCAAGAATGAAAAAGGTAAACCAGTAAAATGACACTGTACTTGGTGCTGAATCTATGCCGGGATAGGCATTAAGAGTGACCTTTATTTAAGGTTCTAATTTGCTCATGTTGGGCACTTAGAACGTCAGTTTGTTGCTTTTTGTGAGATTCTGGAAATGGTCCAATTTTACTTTTTCCCCTTGACTCCAGACTTTTTAACACTGATGTGCTGCTGTTGAGGCATATGCCGTTTTGTTAGGCCTCCTCAAGTGGGAGTCAGGAATGCTGCTGTGTTCCAGAGAGGTTTTGTTCTTCCTGTAGGGCTGAAGCAGTGCCTACTCAATAGAACCAGTCATCGTGCAAAGAAATGCCACCTGACTCAAAGGCAAAGCCAGAGTGCAGCTTGGAGCAAAGAAGGTATTTTATTAAGAATTTTACATAAACCATAAGATATATTTTATATTACTTTGCGAGCCTTCTTCCTGTCTTGACTTAATTCTTTTTGAGAGAATTCATTTCATTTTCATTTGGTTTGTTTTCTTCTTGTTACAAAGATGATGTATAGAAAATATAGAAGTATAAGAAAATTAAAGATACTAACTGATAATTGCTTAATGATTTAGTATCTGCTTGTTTAGTCTTTGTTATATTTACAGTAGGCAAACATGTCTACCGTTGTAAATTTATTACTGGTATGTATACCCTAGTAAGTTAAAAGTTATATGTACTTTGAAGTTTTGCAAAATTGAGTTCATATTATAGAATTAATTCCTGATGAACTTTTATGTGCTAGGCACTGGTCTTTTTATTTAATTATTTATTTTTACTTTTTTTTCCTCTGTGCCTATGCTTACCAAGTCTTTTTATTTTTTACTTTTTATTAACTCTTTTAATCCTCTGAATAAATTGAAAAGAGGGTATTATTAATATCTGCATTTTGTAGATGAGGTAACTGAAGGTAGGTAACTTGTCCAAGGTCACAGGTGGCAGAGCAAGGATTAAAACTAGACAGTCTGGCTGCCCAAGGCCCAACGAAGAGGAGCTGAGAGCAAGCCACCGGGCAGAAGGATGTTGGTCAGGCTGGTTTCCTGTTCAGTTAACATGAAACACAGGCTTAACCTTAATTCTAGGACGTTACCGAGAAAGCCTTCCAAAGCCATAGGTTTTTTACCATGACCATGACTTTTTTTTTTTTTTTTTGAGACAGAGTTTCACTGTGTAGCCCAGGCTGGAGTGCAGTGGCGCGATCTCGGTTCACTGCAGCCTACCTCTCTTGACAGTCCACTGGTTAAAGTGATTCTCCTGCCTCAGCCTCCCGAGTAGCTGAAATTACAGGCACTGGCCACCACGCCTGGCTAGCTTTTGTGTTTTTAGTAGAGACGGGGTTTCACCGTGTTGGCCAGGCTGGTCTTGAACTCCTGACCTCAAATGACCCACCTCTGCCTCCCAAAATGCTGGGATTCCAGGCGTGAGCCACCGTGCCAGGACCTAAGGCCCTTAAGTTTTAACGTCTCATTCTTCAGTCAGGTTTTCCTTGTTCCTGCGTGTTCAGCCATTTGTTTTTAAGTTTGTGTTGAAGGAGAAACTAACAATGAAAATGGACTTGTTGACGGAAGAAAAGTAGGAATGCAGCCTCTGGTGCTGTTTGAGTGATCCCTCTGCCCCAGGCCTGGCTGTGCGCTGCTGTGTTCTGGAAAGGCGCATTGTGCCCTCGCTGTGGCAGGTAAGAGTCCTGTACAGGTGCTCTGCCCACTTTACCTTTCAGGCTTCTGTATCAGCTGTTTTTCCCTTGTAGAATGTGCCCCTGACCTGTGCCCCTGACTTCCACCCCTTAACCCTGCCCAATACATCTTTAGATGTCTGACCATCAAGACTCTTCTGGGTCATATTCAGTTCATGCTGATATTTTCCCTTCCTCCCCTCTTTAGTCCTTACTATTTTTGCTTTGGTCATGTTATGCTATATTCTGTAAGCCTTTAAAAATTTTGTTGTATCATGGCAGGGGAGAATATTTTATAATTATGCTTTGTGCGTTTTATCTTCCACTTAATGAATGCTTGGTAAATATTTGTTTTATTGAGTATATGACCCTTTTCTAGCTATACTGTGAACAAAAATGTTAACTGTCTTGTAAGTTAACTGCTAAGAATTTGTCAAAAGTGCAGAGATGACATCCAGAACTTGTCAGAATATTACAAAAAGGTCTCTAGGGGCATGACGGAGGTCTGTAAATTGACTTCATGTGAAAGAGTGTAAGAAGCGAAAATGTGAAGCATGACTGGAGAGCCGGAGTGATAAAGCAAGGGTCCCTTTCTCCAGATCCTTTGTAACAGTGTCATGTGACCTCTTCTAGATCATTCTGAAAGACAATGCCAGCTCGGAACCTAGGAAAGCATCCAGTGGGTTTCTGCATGTTAGGTGGTTCAAATCCTCATTAGCACCTTTGTTTTCTCTGCCTCAGTTTGCTTACAGTGATGTTCTCAGTAGCTGTAATTGCTCTCTGTCTTTGAATATTTAAGCATTTTTTTTTAGATCACAGGGTGTATATGTCCATTTTTATTTTACCAAGTGTTAGAATTTTTACTCTGCCTTTGTGGGCTCTGGGTTAGCTGCTTGGTTGTTTCATCGTAAAATGATTAGCAGGAAAAACTGTGTGTGTGTGTGTGTGTGTGTGTGTGTGTATTTTAAGTTTCTTAATTGGGTTGGTACATGTAAACCATTTAGAACAGTGCCTGCTGCATATCACATCCCCATCGGTATTCACGTCTCTCATATTCTACCCTCACACTTGATTGATAGTTTGCTTGATTATGTATTTCTAGGTTGAGGATAATTTTACCTTAGAATTTCAAAGTCTGTGCTGTTGTCTTCTAACCAGTCGTGGTGGTGAAGCCTCATGCCATCATGAGTTTCACTTGTTTATGCATTACTTTCTCTCTGGAAGCTTTTAGGAGTTTGTCTTTTCCTTGGTGAGCTGAAATAGCACAACAGTGTACTTAGTGTGGGTCTTTTTTCATTCATTATGCTGGGTACACCAAATGAACAGGCCAATGGATAGGCTCTTTCAAAGTTGGAGTCTTGAATCTTGTCATATTTTGTTGTTAACTTTCTCTTTTCCATTTTATTTGTTCATTTTGAAGTGTCTGTTAATTGGATTTTAGACCTCTTGTCCTGAGTGTTGTATCTCACGTTATTTCTAAATTTTTTAAAATTTTAAGTTCTGGAATATTTTCTTATCTTTTGACTTTCAGGAAATTTTATTTGGACTGTCATAACTTTAAGTTTTGTTTTGGTTATTTATTGTTGCTTAACCAATTATCCCAAAACTTAATGGCGTAAAACTACACATATGTCTATCTGTCACTACTGTATTGATTAACTGGGGCTAGCTGGACAGTTTTTCTGCTGGTCTCATTTGGCAGCTCTCACTGTGTGGTTAAACAGTGTCAGGGACTGGTCATCTGGATGCTCAGCTGCAGTGGAATGTCTGAGACGGCTTCTTCACCCACAGGTCTGCTGCCTTGGTAATTCTTGGTGTGGCCTTTCTCTCTGCATAGCATCTCATCCTCTTGGATCTCTTCATGTGGCTTTTCTTTCTCCAAGAAGGTAGCCAATTCTTATTTTTGGCTTCCAGAAGCACAGAAATGGAGCTGCCAGGAGTTCTTAAGGCTTAGACCTGGAACAGGTCCAGTGTCATTTCTACCACATGCTATAGGTTAAAGTGAGTGTTGGGGCCAACCCAGATTGACTATGGGATGGGCCTGTCTAAGGACATGATGACAGGAGGTATGGCTCATTGGAGACCAACTCCCAGGATGAAGCATGAGTTCTAAGAACTTTTTGTTCTCTGATTATTTCTTATTCATATTGTTTTGTTTTATACATGTAATATATTCACAAGTGTCTTTATGAAGTGATTTTGATACTCTTTGTCTTCTCCCTGGCATCTCCTTGTTCTTTAATAATTTTTTTCTTAGTTTATTTTGGTCTTATTTTTCTTTTTAAAGCCTTTCCTTAAATATCTATTCTATGTTGCTTATCATTTGTTGTCTTTCTTTTTTTTTTGAGACCCAGTTTCGCTCTTGTTGCCTAGGCTGGAGTACAATGATGTGATCTCAGCTCACCACAACCTCTGCCTCCAAGGTTCAAGCAGTTCTCCTGCCTCAGCCTCCCAAGTACCTGGGATTACAGGCATGTGCTACCACACCCACCTAATTTGTGTATTTTTAGTAGAGATGGGATTTCTCCATGTTGGTCAGTCTGGTCTGGAACTCCCAACCTCAGGTGATCCACCCACCTCAGCCTCCCAAAGTGCAGGATTACAGACATGAGCCACCGTGCCTGACCTGTAGTCTTTTTTCCATTCCTTTATTTGCTCATTCATATTTGAGAGAGGTACTAAAAGACTGGGAGCCGGGGTGTGGTGGCTCACACCTATAATCTCAGTGCTTTGGGAGACCGAAGTGGGAGGATCACTTGAGCCCAGGAGCTCAAGACTAGTTTGGGCAACATAGTGAGACCCCATCTTTACAAAAAAAAGAAAAATAGCTAGGTGTGGTGACACCCATCTGCAGTCCCAGCTACTTGGGAGGCTGAGGCAGGAGGATTGCTTGAGCCCAGGAGGTTGAGGCTGCAGTGAGCTCTGATCATGCCACTGCATTCCTGCATTCCAGCCTGGGCGAAGGAGCAAGACCCTGTCTCAAAAAAAATAAATAAATAAAAATAAAAATAAATAAAAATTGATTGGGAGTTCTTTGTGGCCAAGACTTGTCAACTGATAGCTTTAAGGGGAATGTATGCTGATTCCTAATTGTTATCCTCCATCCCTCTATCTTATCTCCTGTTGCAATCTTAAATGATGGCTGGATGACTACTCCATTCCTCTGGATGTAAAATCTACATTCTCTTGCCTGAGGTAGATACGTTTGCTTGGGTTCTGTTCAAGGAGATGGGGCCAGCAGTGTGTTTCAGGGCCTGTGAAATGTGTTCTCTATCCGGGCTTTTGCTTAATCTCTGTTTTCAGTCTTGCCTATCAGTCCCACTGTCGGGGGTACCTCGTGTCTGGGTCTAGAACCTTTCCAGGTTGCTGTGGGACAGATTAGCCTCCTTGTTCTCAGTATCCCCCTGACCTCCACCTTTGTTGCTTTGCTCCATGAATTAACCATTTTCCATGTACTGTCATTGTCTAATGAAGATGAATTCTCTTCTGTTGGTAACCCCATTCCTTTTTTGTAATTGTGTGCTTATACAATGTTTATTCTTCACTGTATTTCTATTGGAGCCTCAGGACAAAGAGCAGATGGTGAGAATCTTTGTTCAGTGTTAAGTTTTCCTTCTGTAAGACATGTGCAACTTGTGTTTTTCACTGAATAGATCATCAACTTAATGCATATAGAGCTACTTTGTTTTTCATGATTGTGCCTTCAATTATATGTAGAAATATAATTTGTGAATTGCCTGATGAAATTTTCCTAATTTTGAATTATCTTTGCATTCCTATAGTAAACACTGTTAGAATGGCTATGGTAATATTTTATTTTTGTATTTTTACTTCTGTATTAAATAAGATTATAGTTTTGTTTGTTTCCTTTAAGGCTGTTATTTCATTTCAGTATCAAGGGTATGCAGGGCTGAGTTGGGAAGCTTTACATCTTTTTTCTAAGATCTAGGATGTAGATCTGGTTTACACAGTAATTTTCACCTGCAGGAGTATTTTGCCTCCTATGGGACGTTTGGAAATATCTGGAGACATTTTTGTGGTCACCACTGGTCATGGTCGGGAGGTCTTATTGGCATTCTGTGGGTAGACGGAATGTTACTAAATGCCCGACAACACACCAGGAGAACCCTCCACAAAGAATTATCTGGCCCAATATATCAATATTGCTGAGGCTGACAAATTCTGGTTTAAATAAATACCCAATTTGGGGGATGAGTCTTTGTCTTTTTCCTTCTTCTGCATATTGGTCTCCAGATTTCCCACTTCTTCAGTTAGTTTTCGTAACTGTAGGTTCTTAAAAAAAAATGAACACTTTGGCCGGGTGCGATGGCTCATGCCTGTAATCCCAGCACTTTGGGAGGCCGAGGCGGGTGGATCACGAGGTCAGGAGATCGAGACCATCCTGGCTAACATGGTGAAACCCCGTCTCTACTAAGCCAAAATACAAAAAATTAGCCAGGCGTGGTGGCGGGCGCCTGTAGTCACAGCTACTCGGGAGGTTGAGGCAGGAGAATGTTGTGAACCCGGGAGGTGGAGCTTGCAAGTGAGCCAAGATCACGCCACTGCACTCCAGCGTGGGTGACAGAGCAAGACTCCGTCTCAAAAAAAAAAAAAAAAAAAAAGAACATGTCATCCATACTTCTAAGGTGTTGTAAAGATGTGTAAAGTTTTCACTTTTTGCATCATATTCACATGTGGCTATATGCCCTTTTCTCTTCAAAGTTTTCTTTATCTTGATTACTTATCAGAGGCTTGACTGTTTTATTATCTCAGTCTTTTGAAAGAATCCTCCTTCAGTTTTGTTTTTTAAATCTAGTGGTTTTTCTTTTTCCTTTTTCCTGACGTCTTAATTATTTCTCCCTTTTTGTTTGCTTTGCTTTTCCTAGTTTAGTGGATCAATGTAATTTAAATTGCTTTTTAAACAAACATGTAAGGGTATACATTTTCGTTGGGTGCTGTTTGACTTTGTTGCACAAGTTTTAAAATCTATTTTTTAATAGCTTGTATTTTCTAAATTATTTTATTGCATCTTTTGTTCACATTGCTCTTACTATTAATTTTTTATTTTTATTAATAAATAAATAAATTAATTAATTAATTGAGATGGAGTCTTGCTCTGTAGCCCAGGCTGGAGTACAGCGGCATGATCTTGGCTCACTGCAAGCTCCACCTCGGGGGTTCATGTCATTCTCCTGCCTCAGCCTCCCAAGTAGCTGAGACTACAGCTGCCTGCCACCACATCCGGCCTTTTTTGTATTTTTAGTAGAGATGGGGTTTCACCGTGTTAGCCAGGATGGTCTCGATCTCCTGACCTCATGATCCACCCACCTTGGGCTCTCAAAGTCCTGGAATTACAGGCATGAGCCACTGCACCCGGCCCAAAAGCTTTGTGTTTTTACAGATATTAGACATGTTTCTTGTTTAAGAAAAAAAATCTTAACGAAAACATAGGAGAATAAGAGAAACATTTTTCCAAAAAAGAGAAATCATTGTGATTATTTTATCTTATTAGAATGTTGGATAATATAGTCTGCTTCATTAATCATCAAGCATGCTATGCATTTTCCATTTTTATAGGATCTGTATCTCAGTTAAGATAATACTGGTAATTTTTGTACTGTAATCAAAGATGAAAAATGTAGGCCAAAATCATAGACCTTGCATAGAAGCTGGATAATGAAGACAGCTATGGAGAAAAACATAGATACGCACACACGGACACACATATATATAAAGTATACACACATATATTTTTTAAAGTTTTAAAGCTGTTAAAGCAAAAGCTGGCCCCTCTTCTCTTCCAGAGTGGGAGGCCTCTCCCCTCTCTTAGAGTGGGTGCGGAGAGCGGTCGCATGGGCAGCTTTCCTTGTGAGCCACAGGGCCCTCTGGACACGCTGCTGTCTGGCCACGCCCCCTTTCCCTTTCATCTTTCTCATTGACCAATGGGCTTGGAGCATTAAGGCCACACCCCTATTCCGCATTCTACTGGGGCCCTGGTTACGCCTCCTCTGGCTCAGTCACACAGCTGCCTGGAAGGTGACTGGAGGCCTTGATCGGTTCTCATTGCGATTTTGCTGCTGTGGCCCCAACCCTGCCTCCCTCCCCACCCTGCGATGGCAGAAGAAACTCAACACAACAAATTGGCTGCAGCCAAGAAAAAGGTAAAAACGCACTAGGTCATAGCCCCTCAACCCAGCCACAGATCCCCTCTGATGACAAGACCCCTGCCAGAGTCTATACGACTCCTGAGGCACACTGGACTGGTCCCCCCAACCCCGGTGCCTTGGGCTACCCCCATCAAAGTTTTGTCAGTCAGCCCCACCCCTTCAGAAAGCAGCCCAGTCCTTGCCCTCGCCAATCACCCCAGGGTGACTTTGGGTGGGTGACTCCTGGGGCTTCCCGCTCCGTTACTGGGCCCTCATCTCCTGCCGCCCCAAGCTTGATCTCCCTGGGCTCTTTGGGCTCTCATCTCTGAGGAGCCAGGCCCCACCCTCGCCAATCATCCCTGGGTGACTTTGGGCTGGTGACTCCTGGGGCTCCCTGCTGCAGACTCTGCCCTCCCCTCCTGCTGCCTCAAGGTCGACCTCCCTGGGTTCTTTGTGCTGGCGTCTCCAAGGAGCTGGGTCCCAACCCTGTGCTTCCCTCCCCCATCGTGGAGCAGCGACTTAGACATGGTGCTGACATGGTCCCTCCCCCCGACCAGGAGGAGTGGAATGTTGTGATGTCACAGCCCACCTAGTAACTGCCGTTACTGCAAGACTGGCCTTTGATCTTATGACCCAGTCCCCTAAGCGTTCTCACCTCGTTTCTGGTTCCTCTGGTCACAGGACAAATTTCCAGCTGGAAGGGGAATGGAGACTATGGGACCTAGGAGCAAGAGGTTCCAGGCTGCCTCACTCCCTTACAGATGTTGACGGTGGGAAAAGCCTACACTTCCCCCATGAACTCAAAACATTGACGGTATCTCTGGGTGGCAATGAGAGAATGGGTTTGGTTTGGTTTTCTCCCAGGCTTCTACTTTCCAGAGAGATTTTAACATTTTTTTCTGAGTTCTCCACCTCATATTCTAATTCTCCATGGTTCTGGGACCAGACTCTCCTTCAGTCAGTGGTCTCTGAAGTGACATTTGCTCATCTTCTGTGGAATAGATCTTGGGAAACTGAACTTGACACCTTGAATCTTCCTCATATTATCTCAACTTTGGGTACTTTGAGTGCCACAGGATAAATGTGGGACATCTTTCTGAAGCATCAGTTTCCCTTGATTCTCTTGAGATCAAGAGAAAAAACATGAATATACTTAGGGATGACAGTCACATAGGTTTCTAAGAGTATACCAGCCCTCTCTCTGAAATGAGGCTTGGGTTGTCCTCTTTCTGATGAATTCTGATTTAAGAGAAAGGCTGCCTTCTGCCGTGAGGACACATTGATATAAAAGTTTGAGAGGTACTGGTGCACTTCTTCACACTAACAGACGTGTGAGGATGTATGACTCTAAACCACATGGCATACAGTTCCTGCCTACTTAATGTTTACTTTTCTACCTCTGCCTCTGGTTTTGGTCCCTGGCAGCTGCTGATTCTTGGCAAAACCTCAGAGCTTGGAGTCAGAAGACTGAGTTTCAAAGTTCCAGTATTGCCTTTTTCTTTTTTTTTTTCTAGCCATGATATCAATCCTTCTCAGTCACTAAATGAGTGTGACAACACCTTGTACAGTTGTTGGTGTCATTAAATCAGATGGTGTGTAAGTGTATTTTGTAAAAACTGTAAAGGAGGATGTGGCTGTAGGGGCTGACGGTTCTCATGAGTATTACTGCTCTTCTTTCCAACAGTTAAAAGAATATTGGCAGAAAAACAGCCCTAGAGTTCCAGCAGGAGCGAACAGGAACAGGAAAACAAATGGCAGTATCCCTCAGACAGCCACTTCTGGTGGTTGCCAGCCACCTGGGGATGTGAGTCTTGGCTGACCAGGCTTCTGGGGACAGGGGGCCCAAGGGGCAATAGAGGGTAATTGTTAAGATTGTGGATGGACTGCTGGGTACGGGTTAAGAATTCTGGCTTTAGCCGGGTGTGGTGGCCCACGCCTGTAATCCTAGCACTTTGGGAGGCCAAGGCAGGCGGATCATGACGTCAGGAGATAGAGACCATCCTGGTTAACACGGTGAAACCCTGTCTCTACTAAAAATACAAAAACATTAGCCAAGCGTGGTGGCGTGTGCCTGTAGTCCCAGCTACTCAGAAGGCTGAGGCAAGAGAATGGTGTGAACCTGGGAGGTGGAGCTTGCAGTAGCCAAGATTATGCCACCGCACTCCAGCCTGGTGACAGAGCAAGACTCTGTCTCAAAGAAAAAAAAAGGAATTCTGGGTTTGAATCCTGCCTCTCCATCTGCTCTGCTAGGGATATGATTTAGGGCAAGTTGCTAGACCTCATCGGGCCTCTCTTTTCACATCTGTATAATAGAGGTGATATTGTTTCACTTCCATTTGTGAAATTTTCATGAGATTTGTTATTGTTGTTTTTATGTTAATCCCTAGTACATGGCCTGCTGTAAACACTCAGGACACCCAGGATATGGTCTTTGCTGTTTGATTTTCCTCATCCCCAGTCTCAAGGGGAAGCCAGGACAATGAGAACAGCCACTTGCCATCAGGAGTCACTGAAGGGGCCCCAGGATGGGATGGTGGGGAGATAAGAACCATGAGAGAAGTTGGCACAAAGGAGTTATGGGACAAAGGGTCCAAGATAGGCAGAAAAGAAAATGTTGCCAGTTGATGGGGAAGAAAGGAAGTCAGAGGGCTCAGACACTGTGGGGGACAGAACATCTCCATGTGCACTCTCATCTCTTGTAGTCAGCAACAGGTTTTCACAGGGAAGGCCCTACATCATCTGCTACCCTGAAAGATCTGGAGGTAAGAGGCTCTGGGCAGAGGTGCAGTGACCCTTCGGGTCAGCCCTCCAACCTCCTCCTCCAGGAGGGACTGGGTGCCCCTCTGCCAGCTGAGACAGCCCACACACCCCAGCCCTAATGATTGTTCTCTCTACCTCTCCCCCGACTCCTGCTCCACCTCCTCCTCTCTGCATGCACCTCAGAGCCCGTGCCAAGAACGAGCAGTAGTCCTGGATTCAAGGTCCGTAGAAATCAGTCAACTGAAGAACACCATCAAATCTTTGGTAAGAGTCCGGTGGGGTCCCCTGATTCCACGCTGCCAATCCTGGGCTCCAGTTTCCCCTTGGGGCCCTGAAGAAAGGGGCTGGGGGTCCCTGGTGCCCGGGACAAATAGGGAGCTTGGGTGCCCAGGCCTCACCTGGAGGGACCCCAGAGCATGCAGCATGGCTCTTCTTTTGCTGCCCTCTTTGCCGACTCTCTCCTCTCCAGACACCCCTGCTCGAGTCCTTGCTACACACGCCCTGGGGTTGTTGCCTCTTGGGGAAGTGCTAGCCTGACTGGTTGTCAAGGTCCCCGTATTTCTGCCATGACTCAGTCCCTAATTTGCTCTTTGATTCTGGACAAGCCACCTCTCCTTTTTGGGCTCGTGTTTCCAGAGGAGGTAGTGAGTATCAAAGGTCTCTGTTAGCTCTCGAGTCTGAGATTTAAAGGCCCCCGAGAATGGAAACCTCAGGGCTAAGGGCTCCTGTCTGTCCTTTTCCATCCTATATCTGCTGTAAAGAACCGTACCTGGTCCATACATGCTCAGTAAATGTTTATTGAATGAACCCACTTTTCTAAATCACAAGCTGCCAGAAGGAGGGGCCTTTCTGAAACTCCATCTCTAGAGGTTTATGTTGCTGTCCTCTCAAGAGATTCCAGATTCAGACTTTGAGTTCTGTGGCTGTGGGCAAAAGCCCACAAAGACCCAAATCCTCTGTCCTTGGGAGCTTGAGGAGAGTTTACCAGTTCGTGTTCCCATTATGTCTGAGAACTTTGCCTTTAAAATCCATTCCTGGCCCCTGCCTACCGCTTCCTGGTCTGGGGAATAGAGTTGAGGGGGCCACCCTCCATCACCTTATTTGACTCTCCCCACAGAAACAACAGAAGAAACAAGTGGAACATCAGCTGGAAGAAGTAACGTGATTTCGTTTCCTTGCAACATGACTGCTGGAAGAAGGCTCACCCTTCAGATTCCACCCCATCCCCACAGGGCCCCGATAACCTGGTCCCATGGGTGGGCCTGTCCTGGGGCATTGGTGGCATTCTGGGGGCATGTCTCTTGCTGTGCCATCTCTGCCTCCCCCTGGTAAGAGCTCTGTCTTCCTCTTCCTACAGGAAAAGAAAGCAAACAACAAGAAACAGAAAGCCAAAAGGGTGCTAGAGGTGAGTGGAGGGTGTGCAGTTTCCTCCTGTCCTCCGGAGAATGTTTCTTTCCTTCTCTTTCAGCACTTGCTTGGCTTTTCTCCCAAAGGTTCAACTCCAGACATTGAACATACAGAAAGAGGAACTAAATACGGACCTGTACCACATGAAACGTTCTCTCAGATACTTTGAAGGTGGGAATCTGGGCACCCTGTCATCCTTCAACCTGGCACTTTGACAGGTCTTCAGGGGGAGTCCTTTGGGCCCCATCTCAACTCTCTCACTACAGAAAAGTCCAAGGATCTGGCTGTCCGCCTGCAACATTCATTGCAGCGTAAAGGAGAGTTAGAGAGTGTTCTCTCTGATGTCATGGCCACACAGAAGAAGAAGGCAAACCAGGTGAGTCCAACCACCTGCCCCATCCCCTGGGAGTCTGGCTTTGCAGATGGAGGAGTGAGCCTAAAGGTCCCTTCTGCAGGATGGCGTGTCCTGCCCAGAAGGCAGCATGGCCATTTCTTGCTACTTTTTTGTATGGTTTTTAGTGGCAGCCTGGGGCTGAGTCAGCTGCTGTGGGTGAGTTGGGGGTCACTGTGTGGAGTGAGCACTGGACGCAGAGCTTGGAGGCCAAGTGCCTGCCCCGCCCTTACCTGGCTGTGGTCTTGGGCAAGTCCTAGGTGGGGTATTGGGTACTTGTACTGTGAAGGTACAGAAGAGTACCTTTAGTATGTTACCATTTCTGTAGAAAGAGGAAACGTGTGCATGTGTGTGTGTGTGTGTGTGTGTGTGTACATACTATGATAATATACATAAAACATGTCTGCAAGGGTTCATAAAAAATTCAGGAGAGAGCAACAAGATGGCCGGGAGATACTTCCCTTCTGTACCTTCTGAGTTTTGGACTATGCAAATGTATCATCCTTTCAAAAAGTGAACAAAAGATTAATTTTCCCCTTCCTATCTGTGCCCCCATCCCCAGCAAGAAAAACGGGCTTAGAGAATTGGATAGACCTGGGTGTTTATATCCCAGCTCTGCCTAAGTGAACTTAGGCAAGCACTTAACCTCAAATACTCCATGTTTTTTATCTCCACAATAGAGGGAATCATAGTAACTGTCTCCTATGGTGGTTGCGAGGATTAAATGGGATTGTTAGCATGGTATCTGGTGAAGCATTCCACAAAGGTTCAAACAGTGGTAATAATAACAGTAATAACAATAGCAATATTATCTGATCTCTCTGGGCCTCTGTTAGCCAGCTATAAACTCAATCTCATTCCCTGTCCGTTCCAACTTTACTGTGTTCTTTTAAAAACCAGACCACGGGCTTGGAAATGCCTTGATCTTTACTGACCGAGTTGTATATTGGGCCTAGCCCGAGCCCTGTTAAGGGGCACTGTGTGGAAATGCCCAGGCTCTCCAGATTGAAACTTCTCACTCTTTGCCATCCAGTTGTCCAGCCCCAGTAAAGCAGGTACGGAGTGGAAGTTAGAGCAGTCCATGCGGGAGGAGGCACTACTGAAAGTGCAGCTGACACAGGTGAGGTTTTCTGAGGGAGTTATGTGGAAGGAAGATGACCCCAGGTGGCCAGGAGCAGGTGAGGACCAGTGACAGCCCTTCCTAAGTTCTGTGCCCATTCTTGCAGTTGAAGGAGTCATTTCAACAAGTCCAATTAGAAAGAGATGAGTATTCTGAACATCTAAAAGGAGAGAGGGCCCGGTGGCAGCAGAGGATGAGAAAAATGTCGCAGGAGGTGAGATCTGACCCTTCAGCCCCCCCACATTAGATAGGTCACTGGATCTTTCTGGTCATCTGTAAAATGGGAATAGTAGAGCCAGAGGTGGTCATGGGTCTGGGCTTTGTGGAGGTGGGGGCAGAGAGGGAGAGGGCAGCCTGTCCAGCCTCCAGCCCCTCTCTCCAGGGCCCTTTCCCCTTGTGCTTTGGGCAGATTTGCACATTAAAGAAAGAGAAGCAGCAAGATATGCGTCGGGTAGAGAAGCTGGAGAGGAGCTTGTCCAAACTCAAAAACCAGATGGGTAAGATGGGGCTGGCATGACCTGGGAGCAGGACTGGCATCAGAGGGCTGTGAGGGTGGCTTAGAGTGCCCCAGGGAGGTGGGTGGATGGAAGGGCTTTGAGGCAGAGGGAAAGAGATCTGTGCCAGGAGACGGCGAGTCTTGTCATCTCAATGAGTCTCAGTGTCTCAGTGTCCCCATCAGCAAAGAGGGCCCGTTGTCAGCCACCCGCAGTGCTCTTTCTCTGAAAGTGCTTTGGAAGACTGGCTACCATCTGGGTGCGAGGAATCATTAGCAGTGAGGCCAAGTTTGAGGAGCCTGAGAGGAGCTGTGCGCCAAGAGGAGGGTTTTTCTTTTCCGAGAATCCAGAGGCCCTTATTGTCTGCTTCCTTTCTCAGCTGAACCCTTGCCCCCGGAGCCCCCAGCAGTGCCCTCTGAGGTGGAGCTGCAGCACCTGAGGAAGGAACTAGAGAGAGTGGCAGGAGAGCTCCAGGCCCAGGTCAAAAACAATCAGCGCATAAGTCTCCTGAACCAGCGACAAGAAGAGAGGATTCGGGAGCAGGAAGAGAGGCTTCGGAAGCAGGAGGAGAGGATTCAGGAGCAGCACAAGAGCCTTCAGCAGCTGGCCAAGCCACAGAGCGTCTTCGAGGAGCCGGTGCGTTGCCCAAACTGGGGAGCTTGCCCTCCTCCCTAGCCCTCCGGGCCTTTGTTTCCCCACCTCTAAAATGGGGCAGTGTAGCCCTCACATGAAATGTTACTTCTAAAGGCACCTGTGAGCCAGGTGGCTGTGGGAGAGAGGGGGTGATTTTTCTAACCTGCCTCCAGCCTTCCCAGTGCCATGGGAGGCAGACACCAAGTTCTGGGGTCTCCAGCTGCAGTGGGTGGCTGCTGATTGCTTCTCTCTGTCCAGAACAATGAGAACAAGAGCACACTGCAGTTGGAGCAGCAAGTAAAGGAGCTACAGGAGAAGCTTGGCGAGGTGAAGGAGTCGGAAACCTCCACCCCATCCAAGAAGGGCTGGGAGGCGGGCAGCAGCCTCTGGGGAGGGGAGGTACCAGGCCAGAGGCAGCTTCCAGCCTGGGGGCTGGTGACCACAGCACCCCCCAGGGCAGTCCTGTTTCTTGCTTCCTGCCTCTGACTTTTAAAGGTGGGTAGCCCTGGGCTCCTCTCAGGTCTGGACATCATCATCCTAGCTAGAGGCATGGAGCCCCCAATCACAGGGGAAGAGACAGTGCTATAACAGGCTCCTTATGCCAGGTGCAGTGGCTCATGCCTATAATCCCAGCACTTTGGGAGGCTGAGGCAGGAGAATCACTTGAGGTCGGGAGTTTGAGATCAGCCTGGCCAATGTGGTAAAACCTCATCTCTACTAAAATTACAAAAAAAAAAAAAATTAGCAGGACATTGTGGTGCATGCCTGTAATTCCACCTACTCGGGAGGCTGAGGCATGAGAATTGCTTCAACCCAGGAGGTGGAGGTTGCAGTGAGCTGAGATTGCACCACTGCACTCCAGCCTGGGCCACAGAGTGACACTCTTGTCTGAAAACAAAACAAAAAGACTCCTTAGATTAAAACTGGATTCCAGCCTCGGTTCCACTGGTCACCGTTCAAGTACTTTGCATCTCTAAGTCTCTGTTTCTTTAACTTCAAAGGGAAGTTAGCATTTTCCTTACAGAGGTGCTGCGGATTAAATGAGAAGAGGGTATGAGATTTGAGGCTGGGGAAGGAGGCATGGGGTTCTAGGAAAGGGAGGCAGTCACTTAGGCCTGGAGTAAGGGGACAGGGGCCTGGGCAGCTGACAGAGCCCCACAGTGCCCTCGCTACCCTATTAATGGGCCCAGAATCTGGAAACCAGCCACCACGTGCCCTCACACCCAGGGTCTTCCTGCAGGTGGAGCTGAAGAGCCAAGAGGCTCAGAGTCTGCAGCAGCAGCCAGACCATTACCTGGGTCACCTGCAGCAGTCCGTGGCCACCTATCAGCAGCAGGTGGCCGCCTATCAGCAGTTGACCTGTGAGAAGGAGGCGCTGTACAGGCAGTGACTGCAGCAGACCCAGCTAATGAACCAGCTGCAGTAGCAGGAAGCTTGAGGCAAAGCGGTGGCCGATATGGCCTGCCAAAAGTTGCAGGAGACCCAGGGGAGGGAGCTGCGGAGGATGGGGCTGTGAGGGGGACGACCTGGCAAACTCCATCCCTTCTCACTCTTTCCTGGCCCCTTAGGAGCACCTGGAAGCTGCCAGCCAGCAGAACCAGCAGCTAACGGCCCAGCTGAGCCTCATGGCTCTCCCTGGGGAAGGTACGGGAGACCGCTCAGAGGAAGAGGAGAGAGCCCCAGGAGGAAGGGGGGACTGCTAGCAGCATAGGATTGAGGAGTTGGAAGAGACCTTTAGAACAGCTGGTCATTATGCCGACTGGGTGCCTGCACTAAGTTCGGCATCAGTGTGGTGACCTCCTGTGAGCGGGGGGTCACCAAGTTGCCTAAGGATGGCTGAACTGGCCAAGGTCAGAAAGGGAGCAGGTCAGAACTCCCACATCGACCAGTAGTGGGAGTGTGCCTGGGCGGAATAGCAAGATCTTGATTCTTAAAAGTAAAAATAAAGAACAACAGCTCATTCCTCTCTGGGGAGGGGCTGGCTCAGGGTTACACAGTGAGGGTGGAGGTAGAGGTGGGCCCACAGTACCTCCCTTGTTGGGTTGTCTGAAGACCCCTCTGGCCACCCCCCACAGGACACGGAGGAGAACATCTGGACAGTGAGGGGGAGGAGGCACCTCAGCCCATGCCGAGTGTCCCAGAGGACCCGGAGAGCAGGGAGGCCATGGTGAGCCTGACTCCCCCTGCACCCATTTTGCCACCTTTCTCTGTGGTCCCTCCAAGACCCCTTTATGCTCTTCGTTTCCCTGCCTTCTGATTTCTCTGGACCCTCACCCCTTCTGAGAGCCAGTGGTCAGACACCATTTCACCTGTGGCCAACATGTGCAGTCTCTGGGGGCCCAAGGGAAGGGGCTGCGCTCCACCTCTCTGCCCCATTTGTTCTGTGTATGCCCCTAGAAGAATGCTCACATCTTGCCCTCAGGTGGCATTTCTCAAGTCCGCTGGAGCTAGTGCCCAGGAGAAGCAGGCACAGTTACAAGAGCAGGTGAAAGAGCAGAGGGTGGCTGCCAGCGCCTGGCTCACCCGGTGGCCTCGGCCCAGAAGGAGCCAGAGGCAGCCAGAGGCCCTGCAGCCCCAGGGCCTGGGGGCGAGTCTGTGAGTGGGGAGACCCACTGGGCCCTGCAGGAAGTCACGGAGAAGCTGGCCCATGCCAGGACTCACCTCCACCTTCTCCATGACTTGAAAATGCCACCTGAGGGCAGGTCGCTGCCGAGATGTGACTGCAATATTTTGGCTCCAGAGCAGCTTTATGGACCACCTGGAGGAGAAGGCAGACCTGAGTGAGCTTGTGAAGAAACAAGAACTTCGCTTCATTCAATACTGGCAAGAGAGATGCCATCAGTGAGTGGGAGGCCAGGGCACGGCAGGGGGAGCTGCAGGACCGTCGGAGGGGCCCCAGCGTCTGAGCCCCGTCCTCCCGCAGGAAAATCCATCACCTTTTATCAGAACCAGGGGGCCGTGCCAAAGATGCGGCACTGGGAGGAGGACACCATCAGGCTGGAGCTCAGGGAGGAGATGAAGGTAGGGTGTGCAACATCTCTGTGGGGGTGGGGGTGGGGGTGGGTGTGAGGGTGGGCGCAGGCAGCGGCATGGCAGCTGAGCACCCCTCCCTCCAGGTGAAGCTGCTGGAGCTGCAGCAGATGGTATTGCGGCTTACAGCAACTACAACAATGGGCACAGAAAATTCCTGGCCGCTGCCCACAACTCTGCTGATGAGCCCGGTCCAGGAGCCCCAGCTCCCCAGGAGCTTGGGGCTGCAGACAAGCATGGTGGTGAGTACAGCCCTCAGGTGGTGTGGGCAGGCAGGAAGAGGGGGCTCCCACTGTGCTCAGATCCCTGCCTCCCTCTCTCCAAAGATCTTTGTGAGGTGAGCCTCACCTCCTCTGCCCAAGGAGAGGCCAGGGAGGATCCTCTCCTTGACAAGCCTACTGCACAGCCGATCGTGCAGGACCACCAGGAGCACCCAGGCTTGGGCAGCAACTGCTGTGTGCCATTCTTTTGCTGGGCTTGGCTGCCAAGAAGAAGGAGATAAACATCACCATCCTCAAAGAGCTGCTCAAGAAATTTTTAAATAAGAAACCAAGTTATGGGGTTAATCTCCTACACAATTCATTTACTTCCTTTGAATGTTAGAGTCACTCATGATTATTTGTGTTTCTAATTTATAGTTTTAAGTTTATTTGTAAAAAGTTAAAAGAGAGTGGGTGTCTGTGGCTCTCACTGATGTTCACTCTGGCATCCTTTAGCATTTTTCTTTTTTAATTTCATAATTGTAGGTCATTAGCATGCATATCGAGTTTGCCCTTACGTGGTGGAAGTTCAAACACACAAAGACCCACTCTTTGCCCAAAACTGTTCTCGCTGGTTTGGAATAGGCTGCCATGCTTTTTTAATGTTATTGCAGCATGTATATTCACTACAGAATTCAGACAAAATTTGCCTATGTTCTGCTGTTGTTTGATCTAATCTTAATCACAGTGAGCTCTTCGTTAGCTCAATATGTAGTTTGCCCCCAAGTGTGCACTGTTTATTACTTTGTAATATGCCACTATGAGTACTGACATTTAGAGTTGTTTAAAGGCCAAGAACTGGAAACAGCCTTTCCTCCATTTTCTGTGTATTGGTGATGGGAGTGAAACCTTTTGGGGGAGCTTTTTAAATCTCACAGAAGAGGAAAGTGGCTTCCTCTGGCAGGTATGTGCAGGATAGAGTGTGTTTCATCTGTTCCGGTGCCAGGAATTAGCGGTGTATTATGGTGGTGCCCTTAGGATTTGTATGTGCTCTGGGCTCATGAAGATACTGCATCATGAGCTGCAGCAGTTGTACTCTTTTTCGATGACCTAAAAAGGGCTTATTTCTGAGGAATGAAAGGTTCCCATCGTTGACTGTGGATGTGGAAAACCTTTCCTAGCTTAGAGCATTTGTATCTACAATACATTTTAAAGTCAGAGTTCATGTTACCTGTTTTAATCGCATGACTACATGTCCCAGTACACAAAAGGACACTGGTTGGCATTCTTCTTAATGTATTTAGTGAAGATCATAAGAAATCCTTTATGAGTTCAAACGTCCCTGGAACAGGCATACAGGCTCTAGTCAAGAATGAATTAGAGTGAAGGAAAGCTGTGTGACACCTGGCATTCCTCTCTGTTCACGTATTCTTTGAGGCTTGAAGATTGATTTTACCATCTAGACCTCTTTGGCTAATACCTATTCTTCAACCACCTTGGTTACTCTGACATAGGAATTTACTTCTTTTTCCTTGAATGGAAAACACTTTAAAAAATAATAGAAACATTATTATAAACTAATATATGTGAGATACTTAGTTGAAACAAAAAGGAGTTTTAGTAGACGGTATTATACTATCTTTGAAAATCAAGGAGAAGTTTATGAAACTTAAAATGTGTACAAACTGCAGTGCAATCTACTGTTCGTGAATGTCAATGTATTATCAGGAAACGTGTCTATACAATCACAGAGTTATATTTTCTCACAGACTTCTTTACAAAGTGAAATATGTTTTTGTACCTCTGGGTTTCTGTTCGGGACATATTTTGTGCAATATTTATGTGATTGTGCCTATGCATGATGAATGAATGCATTTCAGTTATATATTGCCTAAATCGTAACTTGATGATGCTTGGGAAAGACTCAACAGTTAAAACTTCATGAAGTTCTAATGTCTGTGTTCCAAAACACATCACATTGTTAGGATGCAGGGAGATAGGTGTGTGTGCTCCCTGCGGTGGGGATTTCTAGTTACTAGATCATCTCCATTTTTAGCATTTGGCATCCTCATGATACTTCTATAAATATGACATTAACAGGAGAGCAACAGTACGATTTTACCGATGGAATAACAGATTTGCTGGCATTCACTGAAAGAGTGCAAATATTCGGTCCTTGTGACTTCCACTGACTCTTCCAAATTTTATGAATGTATCAATGTATTAGATAAACCCAGTTTCAGAATGATAAAGAAAAAATCTTAGACCAAATAATGCGGCTAATTAACAGTGGTACGATTTGTAGCCCGTGGGTTTAAAATGCACTTAAAGTCCTGTTCTCGCCTTTTATTTTCTGAACTTGCCGCTTTTGCATTCTTTGAGTTCAGTTTAAAGACAGTTACTTTAAGAGCATTTTAAACCCTCGGGCTAGAAATCGGACCACTGTTAATCAGCCACATTATTTGGTCTAACGTTTTTTCTTTTATCATTCTGAAACTGGGTTTATCTAATACATTGATAAATTATTGCAAAGGTACTTTTATCGTTGAAATCACTTCACTTTTACCCTGATAAATATCAGTGACTAGGAATGACCTTCGGATAGCGTTTAGCATCTGTAACCAATCTGACAATAATGTGTTCATGAGGTGCCTATGGATTAAATCACACACTGGCATATTTAAGCTGAAGGTCAGTCTGGAAAATAAATTTACTATATTGACTGAAATACCACTCTTTGTATAGGTATTTGTCATATATTTAAGAAAAAGCTAAAAAGAATGGAAATTGTATGACAATAACTCAAGTCTTTCTCCAAAGTGCATGCAGTCTTTTGCGATACCTCATTCAGCCGAGTATTTGTGCTCTTCCTCATTCTGTATAAGGCAGCTTTCAGTTTGCTTAGAAGGCAACATTGGAATGTTAGAGTTCATCAGAAACACAGAATTTTAAACTGTGAGTTCCACTGAATACATTTTAATTTCTGTAGGAAGAATCAAAATACCTATTTAAAGATGGCAATATATAATAATCATTTTAAAAGTATTTGATTCAACCTGATAATTTTCCAGAAATGAAAAAAAAAATCAGCTCTAAAACCAAAGCTGATTTTAGAAAATTTGAAAATGTAAATCAGCCCTATCCATAATATAGTTTCTCTAAAACTTTAAAGAGTTGTTTTAAAATAATATAACTATTAAAATATGTAACTGCTATCTTAATGTTCTGAAATAATTTAAAACATTTTAAAATATGAATACTGTAGTATAAAAGAAAGAAACAGTGGGAACGAAAAGCAGAGAAAGAAATGCCAATTCCAGTCCAAAGTTTTATTTGCCAAGTTTTCTTAGAATGAATTTTACCAGTTTATGAATTATTATAAACAGAATGTGTAATGGAAATACTGAAAGATTTTTCCCTAGAGTGGCCTTATTGACTGCTGGTGTGATGCCACTGTAATGTAATAAATTATTAAGTTGTTTGAATGTGTTGTTTTTGCCTTAAAATTTTATTTTGCGTTTCTTGAAAACTATAGTATTAAAGGTATTGATACTGTGCAAATGCTGGGCATGCTTGGCATGAGATAATGTGTTTCATTTTTACAAAGTTGTAATATAACTATGCAAGTGTTTATTAAAAACCAAAATAAAAAAGTTATGGGTTAATTAAAAAACTTTTATTAAAGTTTTATAAAAAGTTATTTTATTAAATAACTTTATTTAAAAAAGTTATGGGGTGAAAAAGTTATGGGATAAAAAATGTAAAAACGTTGTGGCAAAAAAACTTGTGGGAACAAAGTAGAAAACAGTATTATGAAAAGTTACAAAAAAAGTTATGAAAAAGAAGTTACGGGATTCTTTTTTAAAAAGTCATGGAATAAAAATAAAAATTAAAAGCAGGCCCCTGTCAGCAAAGCCTGGAGAAGTGGGGCCGGAGTCTCCACCGCCACCATGTCCCTACCACCCCTTCCCAGGCACCCCTTTACAATTAGGGTAGCAGGACAAGACCTCTGTCTAATGGGGAAAGACAAACAGACCCTTTGCCACCCTGACCAGGGCTGAGTCCCTAAATTTCTGGATGATGATGATTGTTATTTAAGAGCCAGAGGCTGGTGGAGTTGGTTTGTTTGGAGGAGGCCTGATGTCCCCCTTACTCTCACCATAGCAACTTTTCCCTCAGGGGGGCTCCCATCTTCTTATTCAGAGAGGTAGCTGAGGCCAGAAAGTGGGGCTAACTGTGGACCAGCGAGGGCATGGGCTGCTGGGGTGGCCCACCTTCCCCGGTGTACATACTGTGTCTGTGTAACATTTTGTATATTCCAGAGGGTAGGGCTGCCCCTGTATCATACCTAGCAGAGGTTGGAGCTGTCACATGGGGAGGAGGTTCTAATAATTATTTGTGGCTGGGAAACTTATTTATTGCTAGCGTAGGACAGAGGAAGGAGGCGGGGATGGGGTCGTGGCTCTCTGGTGGTATGATCACAGCTTACTGCAACCTCCAACTCTTAGGCTCAAGTGATCCTCCCACCTCAGCCTCCCAGGTAGCTGGGAGTATAAGCATGCACTACTATGCCTGGCTAATTTTTAAATTTTTTTGTAGAGAAAAGGTCTTACTATGTTGCCAATGCTAGTCTTGAACTCCTGGCCTCAAGCAATTCTCCCATCTTGGCCTCCGAAAGCACTGGGATTACAGGCACGAGACATTGCTCCTGTCCATTAGGTTTTCTCTTTATTACTGTTTTGTTGTTGTGGTTGTTGTTTTGTTTTGTTTTGTTTTGTTTTTTGACAGAGTCTTGGTCTGTTGCCCAGGCTGGAGTGCCGTGGTGTGATCTCGGCTCACGGCAACCTCTGCCTCCTGGTTCAAGCAATTCTCATGCCTCAGTCTCTCGAGTGTCTGGGGTTACAGGCATGAGCCACTGCGCCCCTGGCTAATTTTTGAATTTTTAGTTGAGACAGAGTTTTGCCGTGTTGGCCAGATTGGTCTTGAACTCCTGCCTCAAACAATCCGCCCTCCTCAGCCTCCCAAAGTGCTGGGATTACAGGGGTGAGCCACTGCTCCTGGCTAAGATCCCATCTCTATTTAAATAAAAAAAGAAAATTCAGAGCATGTGGAATACAGAACACCAAAGTCCAAAGTTATTTACCTCTCTGAGGTAATCTGTGTAAACAATTTGAAATATATCTTTTCAAGTTCATGCTTGCTATGCATATACATACATATACACACATACGTTGACATAGTCCCCCTTCCCTGCTGTCATGCTATTAGAGTCTTCTTTTTTTTGTAGAAATTGGACCAACTCTATGTTCTTTGCTGGCCCATATTTCTCCTATTCAGTGATGTGTTACAAATGTGTGTTTAAGTCAATGTATGCAACTCTTCAATATCATTTTAAAAGGTTAAATATACGATCATATGAAGGCATTAGAATTTATTCCAACAGTTCCATTTTGCACATTTAATAATTTCCATTGGTTTGCCAGGGAGAACATTCTCGTGTCATGGCTAAATCCTTTTGTATGGCCATCCTTAATTATTCCCCTAAGATAAACTTTTAAATAAAGTTGCTAGATGAGTCTCATTTCTTAAAAAGTTCTTTTTTGGTAGTTTATATGTAACACTGTAGTTTTATATGTACTTGCAAATAGCTATAGTGCCAGTAAAAAATGTGATAAAATTAAACTCTTTCACGTATGCCAAATATATTTTGATTTAGTGCTTCATTAAGTGCATGATTACAGTCTCTATATCTTTTGATTTACCTTTCTATCTTTACAATTTTCAGCCCAGATACTTAGAGGTCACATAGTAAATTAAGGTTTTCTTTTTATAATAATCCCCATCTTTCTAAATTTGGTGAGTCACAGTAAGTTATTTTTTGGTTGTTGAAAGCTGTGGCTCTGTTCTAAATTTGAGCCCAGAAATCATGCCACTTACAAAATATGCTTTGTCTTCCAACATCAGAGTGTGTGGTAGAAGGTGACTGTTCTTGGAATTTAAAAAATCTAAACAGGACAAGACAAGAATATGGAAAATATTTCTGTTTCTGATAATATGGCTGAGTAGGTACTCTGCAAAGCCTCTGTCATAAAATAGACATTCTGGATGGTCCTTGCAAAGACATATTTGATCTTGCCAAAAAAAAAAAAAAATCCAGAATCTCTAAGAATGAAGATGAAGTGAAAATCAGAAGGGCTACTATGAGAATAATGGGGAAGCAGCCCCAGTTATCAAGGGATGTTTGCATGTGTTCAATAAAAAGTTTCAAACCTAAAAAAAGTTAAGAAAAATAATATAACTGCCCTACATACATACATCATCAACAATTTTTCATTCATGGCATGGCCAGTTTTTGTTTTGTTTTTTTTTTTAAAGGTGGGCTTTTGCTGTGGTTGCCCAGGCTGGAGTGCAGTGGCATGATCTTGACTTACTGAAACTTCTGCCTCCCAGGTTCAAGCAATTCTCCTGCCTCAGCCTCCTGAGTAGCTGGGATTACAGGCACCCGTCACAACATCCGGCTAATTTTTGTATTTTTAGTAGAGATGGGGTGTCACCACGTTGGCCAGGCTGGTCTTGAACTCCTGACATCAGGTGATTTGCCTGCCTCGGCCTCCCAAAGTGCTGGGATTACAGGCGTGAGCCACCGCACCTGGCCACATCCTGTTTTGTTCCATTTGTATTCCCACTTCATTTATATACATTCCTTCTTCCTCTGAATTATTTTTAAGTAAAACCTATATATCATATCATTTTTAAAATTACCTTATATGTATCTGTAGAAGACAAGGAATTTTTAAAAATAAATATACTCATAACGCCATTAAATATCAAAAAATTAATACATTCTGAAAATAGCCACAAATCCAGAGTTCACATTTTCTTGACTTTCTCATAAGTGATTTTTTCTAGGTTATCTATTTCAATCAGATACCTGTTTGCTCATATTTACATTCCTAACTGAACAATGTCTGAAGAGGTACTTAAACCTGACATAAAACGCAAATGAGCTTATGACCAAATGCTTAGTGCAAGAAAAAACTTCACACTGCAAGATGAGTCCCTCCAAATACAGAAAGGACCAGTATTTTAAGAGGTATGTTAACTACAATGTTGCAGTGTATGGAGCAGAGCAGGAAGAACCTTTAAGTCTGAAAAGTACAAGTAAATTTCAGTTTCCCTGGTCCTTCCACAACAACCTCTGGCATCTGTTTTTTCTACAATGGAGGTAACAGTAGCTCTTTCAGAGCAGGAAAAGGCTTAGAGCAGTGCTAGAAGAGGGTGGTGGCTATATAAAGTGTAGCTATTTGTATATTGTAACAAACCAACTTTTTTTTTTTTTTTTAAGTCAATAGTAGATTTCTTTTGGAAAAATAGCAGCCTCCTGTCTGGGGACACCTGCAGTTCCACTAAGTGAACATTGGTGTCTGCTCACCTTTGCCTCTATTTCTCTCAATAATATACTCTTAAGCTGTTCCCTGATTTAGCAATTTTATATACTTTCTTTTTCTTTATTTTTTTTTCCTTTCCCTTTTCCTGAGACACTGTCCCGCTCTGTCGCCCAGTCTGGACTGCAGCAGCGCCAACATGGCTCACTGCCACCTCCACCCCCTGGCTCAAGCAATCCTCCTACATCAGCCTTCAGAGTAGCTGGGACTGCCCGCCGGGCCCACCAGGCCAGGCTAATCTTTATGGTTTTTGTTTTGTTTTTCTGTTAAGAGACCTGGTGTCAGGTCAGGCGCAGTGACTCACGCCTGCAATCCCAGCACCCCAGAAGGTGGAGTCCGGCAGATCACCTGAGGTGAGGAGCTGGAGACCAGCCTGACCAACATGGAGAAACCCAGTCTCTACCAAAAAAATAAAAAAATAAAAAACTAACTTGGCATGGTGGCTCACGCCTGCAATCCCAGCCACTCAGGAGGCTAAGGCAGGAGGACCACCCAAACCCGGGAGGTGGAGGCCACGGGGAGCTGAGACCGGGCCACTGCACTCCAGCCTGGGCAACAAGAGCGAAACTCTGCCTCAAAAAAAAAAAAAAAAGACCGGTTTCACCACGTTGCCCAGGCCGGTCTGGATCTCCTAGGCTCAATCGATCCTCAGTGCTCGGCCGTCCAAAGTCCCAGCTGGGATCACCAGCGTGAGCCACCACGCCAGGCCAATCTGTTCCTTTCTGATTAATAAATTGGGCCGGTCACAGTGGCTTATGCCTGGAATCGCACCACCCCGAGAGGCCGAGGCGGGTGGATAACCTGCAGTCGGGAGTTTGAGACCAGCCTGACCAATGTGGAGAATACTCGTCTATACTAAAAAAAAAAAAACAAAAAATACAAAGTTAGCAGGCATGGTGGTTCACACCTGCAATTCCAGCCACTCGGGAGGCTGAGGCAGGAGAACCACCCAAACCCAGGAGGCGGAGGCCCAGTGAGCTGAGTCCACGCCACTGCACTCCAGCCTGGGCAACAAGAGCGTAACTCCACCTCAAAAAAAAAAAAACAAAACAAAAACAAAAAACAAAGCGACCGGGTTTCACCGTGTTGCCCAGGCTGGTCTGGAACTCCTAGGCTCAAGCGATCTGCCGCTCTCGGCCGTCCAAATTCCTGGGATCACAAGCATGAGCCACCACTCCAGGCCAATCTATTCCTTTCTAATTAATAAATTGGGCCAGGAACGGTGACTCAAGCCTGCAATCCCAGCACCCAGGGAGGCCGAGGCGGGCGGATCACCTGAGGTCGGGAGTCTGAGATCAGCCTGACAAACATGAAGAAACCCCGTCTCTACCAAAAAAAAAAAAAAAAAAAAGCCGGGCATAGTGGCTCACACCTGCAATCCCAGCCACTTGGGAAGCTGAGGCAGGAGAACCAACCAAACCCGGAGAGGGAGGCCACAGGCAGCCGAGACCACGCCACTGCACTCCAGCCAGTCAGCAAGAGCGAAATTCTGTCTCAAAAAAAAAAAAAAAAAAAAAAAAAGAGAACAAGTTTCATCATGTTGCCCAGGCCAGTCTGGAACTCCTAGTCTCAAGTGATCCCCCGCGCTCAGCCCTACAAAGTCCTGGGATCAATCGTGAGCCACCACGCCAGGCCGATCAGTTCCTTTATGATTAATAAATTGGGACTTGCGCAGTGGCTCACGCCTGAAATCCCAGCACCCCTAGAGGCCGAGGCGGGCAGATAACCTGAGGTCGGGAGTTTGAGACCAGCCTGACCAACATGGAGAAACCCCATCTCCACCAAAAAAAAAAAAAAAAAAAAAAAAAAAAAAGAGCCGAGCATGATGGCTCACGCCTGCAATCCCAGCCACTAGGGAGGCTGTGGCAGGAGAACCACCCAAACCGGGGAGGCAGAGGCCCGGCGAGCTGAGTCCACACCACTGCACTCCAGCCTGGGCAACAAGAGCGGAACTCCGCCTCAAAAAAAAACAAAAACAAAAAACAAAAAAAGTGACCCGGTTTCACCATGTTGCCCAGGCTGGTCTGGAACTCCTAGGCTCAAGGGATCCAACACGCTCGGCTGTCCAAATTCTTGGGATCACAAGCGTGAGCCACCACACCAGGCCGATCTATTCTTTTCTGATTAAGAAATTGGGCTGGGTGCGGTGGCTCACACCTGCAATCCCAGCACCCTGGTGGCTCATGCTTACAATCCTGAAGCAGGATTTTTAAGGAATTAGAGAGACTGATGGGGTTTAGGAGGTTATTAATTAATTATTTACGTGCATTGACCCAGTCGGATTAACATTTAAAGCACTGAGTTCTGAACAAGACTTACCTTTTAAGCATTTTATGGGGTGGGGGTAGATCTGTGCAGGGTGAAGCATATGATAGAAGTGAGAAACAAAGATAATTGTTCAATTGAATCATGCATTATATTATTTTTTCCTTTTTTAGGAAAAATATGTTTTGTAACTTGAGTTTGTTTAGTGACCTTGCAGTTGTACAGTTAGGGAATTAGGGTTTTTATAATGCCCGGGAAGGGAGGAGAGATAAGGCTCACTGCCATAGAAAAACAGGAGGTAGTAGTTTTTTTTGAAGGACTCTAGCTCTTCTCTTTCTCAGGGGGAATTGGGTTTTTTTACATACAACTGAGTTTTTGTTTACACATTTTTAAATTTCTTTTAATTCCTGTTCCCATCCCAGCACCCTGAGAGGACGAGGCAGGCAGATAACCTGAGGTCGGGAGTTTGAGACCAGCCCCACGAACATGAAGCCCCATCTCCACCAAAAAAAATAAATAAATAAATTAGCCGGGCATGGTGGCTCAGCCTGCAATCCCAGCCACTCGGGAGGCTGAGGCAGGAATATTTTCTCCCTCCCTTAGATAAAAGATAGCATATACCATTGTGCACTTTGTTTTTTGACCTGGGGTGGGGTCTCACTCTGTCACTGAGGCTGGAGTACAGTGGGGTGATCTTGGCTCACTGAAACCTCTGCCTCCTAGACTCAAGCTGTCTTCCCACCCCAGCCTCCAGGGTAGCTGGAACCACAGGTGTGTGCCACCACACCCGGCTATTTTTTTTGTATTTTTGGTAGTGACTGGGTTTTGCCATGCTGCCCAGGCTGATATCGGGCTCAGGCGATCCACCTGCCTCAGCCTCCCAGAGTGTTTTCAAAGTGCTGGGAATTACAGGTGTGAGCCACTGCATCCGGCCCATTTTGCACCTTTTTAAACTTCTCTTAGAGATCACTTCATATCTGTTTATAGAAATGTTCTTCATCTTTTTTAAAATTAGTACTTTGTAGTGTGGATGTACCACTTTTTTATTCAGTTAGGTTTTTTTTTGACATTTGAGTGTTAGGTCTTTTTTTCTGACATTATAAGACTAAAATATGAAAAGAAAAACTAGAAAAAATTTCAAAGAAAATTTACCTGTCTTTGTGATCTTGTTGTAGGGAAACTTTTTGTAATGGTTAGTATCCAGGATATGAAAAATAGCCTAATAATGAAAAGAAAAACTTAAGACAAAATGGGCATAGGATGTGAAGAGTTACTTTATAGAGGAAGAAACTGGAATGGTCAGTAAACATGGGAAAAGATACTTGAACTAGAAACTCATGGATAAATTGAAAGTTAAAATGACTATTCTGTCATCTTCAGATTGGCGAAAATGTAAGTCTGACAGAATTGCTGGCAGAGATATGGGCCAGTGGAAACTCAGCTAGGTAAAGTGGAGTGCAATTTTATAATCTCTAATGAAGTTGAAGATGCACATACCTGAGCAAAAAAACACATGTGTACAAAGAAATTTGGAAAACCTGTTTATCACGGTAGTATTTGCAGTAACATAAGATGATGCAGAATGTAAGTTAACCAACAAGAGATTGGATAAACTCATATCCATGTGGTGGAATATTATACAGCAATTAAACATGAACATACTAGATTGAAAAGAATTAACATGGGTAAATCTCATGAAGAAAACTTTGGGTGAAAAAGGCAAGCTGCAGAAGGATATGGGCAATATAATAACATATGTGAGTAGTTCATTTCCATATTTATGTTGTTTCAAAGGAGTTATCGGCCAGGCACGAAGGCTCACACCTGTAATCCTGGCACTTTGGGAGGCTGAGGTGTATCGGGCAAAATTCACCCCCGATATTTCACATAGTTTCTTTTCTATTTTCCCTAAGTGTTGGCCGGTCTGAGAAATAAAGGAACAGAGTACAAAAGAGAAATTTTAAAGCTGGGTGTCTGGGGGAGACGTCACATGTTGGCAGGTTCCGTGATGCCCCCTGAGCCATAAAACCAGCAAGTTTTTATTAGCAATTTTCAAAAGGGGAGGGAGTGTACGAATAGGGTGTGGGTCACAGAGATCACATGCTTCACAAGGTAATAGAATATCACAAGGCAAGTGGAGGCAGGGCGAGATCACAAGACCACAGGACCGGGGCAAAATTAAAATTGCTAATGAAGTTTCAGACACGCATTGTCATTGATAACATCTTATCAGGAAACAGGGTTTGAGAGCAGACAACTGGTCTGACCAAAATTTATTAGGCAGGAATTTCCTCGTCCTAATAAGACTGGGAGCGCTATGGGAGACCGGGGCTTATTTCATCCCTCTGCTGTGACTGTAAAAGACAGCCGTCCCCAAAGTGGCCATTTCAGAGGCCTCCCCTCAGGGATACATTCTCTTTCTCAGGGATGTTCCTTGCTGAGAAAAAGAACTCAACGATATTTCTCCCATTTGCTTTTCAAAGAAGAGAAATATGGCTCTGTTCCGCCCGGCTCACCGGCAGTCAGAGTTTAAGATTATCTCTCTTGTTCCCTGAACATTGCTGTTATCCTGTTGTTTTTTCAAGGTGCCCAGATTTCATATTGTTCAAACACACATGTTCTACAAACAATTTGTGCAGTTAACGCAATCATCACAGGGTCCTGAGGCGACATACATCCTACTCAGCTTATGAAGATGACGGGATTAAGAGATTAAAGACAGGCATAGGAAATCACAAGGGTATTGATTGGGGAAGTGATAAGTGTCCATGAAATCTTCACAATTTATGTTCAGAGACTGCAGTAAAGACAGGCGTAAGAAATTATAAAAGTATTAATTTGGGGAACTAATGAATCTCCATGAAATCTTCACAATTTATGTTCTTCTGCCATGGCTTCAGCTGGTCCCTCCGTTTGGGGTCCCTGACTTCCTGCAACAGAGGTGGGTGGATCACCTGAGGTCAGGAGTTTGAGACCAGCCTGGCCAACATGGTGAAACCTCATTTTGGGGTGTGGTGGTGCATGCCTGTAATCCCAGCTACTCGGTAGGCTGAGGCAGGATAATCACTCGAACCGGGGAGGCGGAGGTTGCAGTGAGCCCAGATTGCAACACTATACTCCAGCCTGGGTGACAGAGCAAGACTCCATTACCAAAAAAAAAAAAAAAAAAAAAAAAAAAAAAAATCTCTTAGTTTCTGATGGTTTTCCTGACCATATATGTGATGCCAAAGTTGCTTTTTTGTTGTCACATCTATTGGCATCAAGTGCTGAACTTTTCATGGAGTGGCAATTTTTTGGTAATAAAGCAACTTTCAAAATGAGTCTAAGTTTATCTCTGGAAAAGTTTGAAAGAATCAGTGAAGGTTCTTTTAGACAGTACCCATGTTCTACAGATCAGCCATTCTCTGTCTCTCAAATTTTCAGTAAACCTTTCCACATAGGATGTCAGCACGATTTTAATACATTAAATATATGTAAAATAAGGCAAATTAAGACACAACTCCATCAACTCTCATCTGCTCTGGGCTTATTTCTCTTCATAGTACATAACACCATCTACGTCATATGCTTATTGTCTGTTTCTATTAGAGCAGGGTATTTTTGTTAGTGCTGTTAGTGTGCTCAGCATATACAGCAACACTTGGCAGACAGTAGGTGCTGAATGAAAGAATGAAGAAGAACAGAACTTATTTTACTAAAGACATTTTGATATCACTTTTGGGATAGGATACTATACATTAAAGATGATACACTGTTTATTCCAGAATGGTCTTAGCTACAGTGTTCACAGCACAGTATTTGTAGACTTAATGCTGTTATCCATTCTACCTTCCTTTGAGGTTGGCATGAGAGTTGCCCGTCAGCGTATGTGTGCTCTTAGAAATCAGGGACAATACTATCATTTTAAGCTTCTTGGCAGTGACGTGTACTTAACTAGATGGTGAACTCATAGGTGGATGGGGAGTATCTAATGCTTTTGTATTCTGCTTTTCAGCAAATAAATATTACCGTACTGTGTGTGTAACATGAGCTATATAAGTGTGTGATGATTAAATTAGAAGATAGGGTTCTCTGCAATCCAGTTTTCCAAGATAAATTTTTGCCTTGTTTTTCTTAGGTAATAAAGGTACCATATTGACTGTTGATATATGCCTACTTAGTCATGCTTCTCTTGCAGTAATCTTATCAAATTACCAGCTTTTTACTTTTTTAGAGAGACAGTCCTAGAATTGAGAATCCTCCTTTGCCTACATTCAAAATGAGACTATATTATGTGGGTAGGAAATTTCTGGTGACCTACTTTTAATTTTTAAATTTAAAAAAATATTAGCATAGTTTTATATTTAGAAAACAGTTGCAAAGGTGGTATAGAGAGTTTCTGTGTACCACACAGGCACCCAGTTTCCCTTGTTGCTAACATCTTACATGATTATGGTATATTTGTCACAACTAACAAATCAGTATTGATATATTATAACTAAACTGCATACTTTTAGGGGTAGTGACCCAGTTTTAAAGCTTATTTCCCACAATTTGTTAAAAATGACAATCAGTATTGAGTGCCCATGGGTGGTGGCTTCCTGATTCTTCAAAGAAACTGAGTAATTTTGTAACCATTGGGACTTATCAGGAAATAAGGAACTCATAATAATGTGCGCTTAAATTTCCAGTGGAGGAATTGTACAGCTTAACATACGGTTTTGTAAGTTGGGTATTAACACATAAAGAGGCTGGGTGGGGTTTGATCACTATTAAAACTGATTTGTTTTGTTCCCTGGAAAATATGTTACTACCACATGGTCTACCCTTCATAGATAATCGAACCTAAGATCACTGGGCAGAAAAGGGTTGCCCTGTAGTAGGAAATGTGTCCTCCTGGGACTGAGTTGAGATTTAGTTTAGCACACAGAATAAGTAGCCAATGGCTGCTATGAGTCTGACTTCTATAATTCAAATTGGTATAAATTAAATCTAATTCTTTTCCCCAGGACTGCCCAATTTAAGATTAAGTTTTATACTGGCGCTTATTAGAGATATGGCCATTTTGCCATTTCAGTGGAACCTTTTAATCAGCTTTAATGCTGTCTTAGGTAAAGTAAAAACTTAATCTAAGGGCTTTTCTAGTTTGCCATCCTCAAAGCAGAAAAAGCAGCAATGAAGCAGCACTGCCTCATATAGACTCTGCTTTTATTAAATTTGCTTCAATAATCCTCTTCCAGTCATCTTTTGTGCTGCATATTTGAACCATAAAATAAGCAAAAATTGTACCCAAATGAAAATTTCAAGTTATTTTAATGAAGCTCTGGAAACATCCCACAGCTCAGAAGATGTTTTTTCCTAGTTTATTTTTTAAATTCTGGAAAGTAGGTCAGTAGACATACCCTGCTTTAATTGGTTTAATTAGAAGTGAAAAATTATAGGACTAACTCAATTTGAAGTATAGATTTCAATAAGAATTATACTGGGATGAATATTATTTAAGGTTTTGAATTTAAGATGCATTTAATCAATGCTTATAATTTCCTCTTGAAAAGATTTATATTGCAAAAAGGAACACTAAGTGTTGGAATATGTCAATATATAGGGAAAAACTTTGCCATGAAATAGAATATTTGATAAAATCATTTTAGAATTGTATCTCTAAATGGTATGCCTAAGAATATTGTTCTATAGGACCTTAATAGATATGCCTCGGGGGAAAAAAGTATTGTGTGCTCAAGTGAGTTTGAGATATACTGCATTAAATATAAGAAGTTGCCTGCAGGACTTCTCAGAGTCTTTAACACTTTCTGAATTTCTGAGACAAGATATATAGAGGGTACAGTACTTTGCAAACCTATTTATCCCTATACCACCTAGTAACATTTTTCAGGAAAATGTTTTGAGAACACGAATTTGACCTGTTTTAGGAATTTATACCTTTGACAATGTTGAGGACCTTGTCTTTTCCTATTATAATGATGATGTGATATTCACATATATTACTTTTTCCCAATTCTTTAAGATATTTTTCCAATGTATTATATTCAACCCTCTGCTCAGTGCCTTCCTTCTGCTAACTAAAGTGATGGTTTCCGTCTGTTGCTACACATCAGACATACTTGGCCCTGACCCTGGAGATTCTGTATGAACAGAAATGCCAGAATACCTGCTCAGGATTCTGTATTTATTACAAACACCCAGGTGATTCTGATGCAGCCAACACTGGTCCTCCAACTGATGCTTTGGAATTGTTGAACTAAAAGCATGCCTTTTTTTCTAGATGGATGAGTAGATTGGGGCATAGTTTGTGGTCCTAGAACACATGGGTTAACCATCCCTCCTAGTGAGAATGATAGCACAGGCCTCTGATGACCCCACGAGGTGCTGTGCTGGCTATAACCTAACATGAAACGATCATTATTCCTTAAGAAAAGCAGAATATGTCTAAATGGGCTTTTAGTCACCTTCCTAATAATGAAGTACCATATATATGACTACCATTTGTTTTAATTTCAAGTAATTCCCTTGTAGATGATGTTTTATTTATTCTTTTTTTTTTTTGAGACAGAGTCTCGCTCTTTCGCCCAGGCTGGAGTGCAGTGGCGCGATCTCGGCTCACTGCAAGCTCCACCTCCTGGGTTCACGCCGTTCTCCTGCCTCAGCCTCCTGAGTAGCTGGGACTACAGGCGCCCGCCACCGCGCCCAGCTAATTTTTTGTATTTTTAGTAGAGACGGGGTTTCACCGTGTTAGCCAGGATGGTCTCGATCTCCTGACCTCGTGATCCGCCCGCCTTGGCCTCCCAAAGTGCTGGGATTACAGGTGTGAGCCACCGTGCCCGGCCTATTCTTTAAAAAGAATATTAGATTATATTTTCTAAATGTGCCAAGTATCTAAGAATATATTCTTTCACCTCCTGCTGATAAGAGTTATACATTTAACCTTAAGCAAATCTGCCAAGATTCTATGTCATTTATGCTTTGATTTATGTGAGTATTAATGTAGTTTCTGTGACTATTGTATGGTTATATATACCCTCCACCTAGTAAAACAGTTCCATATTCCTGGAAATGGTCTTTTACATCCTACAAGTGTAGCTGGAAAGGAATAATATAAATACTAATGGTTTGAGAGACAACTAGTCTTGACATGTCTTGGTTGAATAGTGTTCTATAAGCAACAATATATGAAATACTAGACATACCCATTAAAAGTAGAAAATACCCACTACTGTTTTAAAATTATTCTGCAAGATCTCATCAATGCAATGAGACATAAAACAGAAATAATGGGTGTAATTATTGAAAATTGGAGATAAAATTTTTATTACTTGTAAACAAAATTCTGTCAAAAACCTGACAAATTAAACAATACAATTAATATGTTTAATAGAACTAATTACATATGAGAGGCATCCAAAATCCATTTTTTCTATACAAACATGGTTTGATATACAGTCATTTTATCTGTATATTAATTGGTTTATGAAATAACAAATAGAAAAATCAAGTATGCATTATCAAGTTAAAGAAGCAGGAGAGATGGAGCTATAAAAACAGAGAAAAGAATGTTGTAAGGAGGGCTTAACGACCAGGATAAATGTTGTAGAGAGATCAATTAAAGTGATGGCCTAGAGATCACGGGCTTCCTTTGGCAGAGCCATGTTGGTGAAGTGAAGGAAGTGGAAGCCAGACCACAATGGTTGAAGAATGAATGTAATGTAAGAGCCAAGACATTTATTTGAGTCTGATAGTAATGAAAAAGGACGAGAATTTTCTTCTTGCTGTTGTTTTTGTCATTTCATGTTCAAAACCCTTTATCTCCCATGTGGGACTGAAAACTCCAAGATGGGATCTCTGTTTCTGTGAGGCCTGTAGTGCTTAGTACATCCTTGAATGTGTGAGGCTCTCATTGGTATAAGTTTAATTCCTGACTGTGGATGAAATCTTTAAAACTTTGCGGGCAAAATACAGAATGAATTTCAGTGAGTTCCCATGTATTAAACAAGGTGGCACTGGCTGGAGACATGCTGTCCCTGTGCCCACAGGAGTAGCAGTGCTGTGCTCATCTTCCTGACCCGCTCTTCACAGTCTTCACCGCCTTTCTTCAGGAGTCTCCCCTTTGGCTTTTCCACAGCTATGAAACCCACGTAGTCGGACACCCTAATGCTTCTCCTGCAGGGCGTGTGATGAGGAGGTGAGCTTGGCTTTGGAGTGCTGGGAACCTGAGGAATTGCCAAGGACCCAGAGCCCAGCCCTGACCACCCAGGGAGCCCAAAACACAATGAACAAATTGAATTTCCACAACAACAGAGTCATGCAAGACCACCGCAGCGTGTGCCTTTTCCTTCCCAATGAGAATCTCTGAACATCATCATAAATGTGAGTAGATCTCAATATAATTCTGATAGCTGGAGGATAGTGTATTTTCAGGTTTGCTGCAGGAAAAAAACTGGACTTTAAATAATTAAGACAAAATGATTGTATTAATTGACTTCTATTCTTAATCACTAATTTCATTTTTTATATTTCCCTTGACTTTTGGGGGAGAAATAGTCTTTGTCTCAAAAGTGGGCTTCAGTGACCTATGGGTTTGATAAAGCAACCAGAGATAATGAGACAAGGATATTTAATGGCAACATGCCAGCAATTATTATTAGTTAATTGAAAGCGTTTATGATTTTGGCCTGGGGCCAATGCTTTCCCCTTCTGCTGGACTAACATGTGGGTAAGGGAGAGGAAAAGCTTTGTTTCACTTTTTAAATAAAAGTATTACGTAACTTTGAAATTTGTATAAAATTAAAAGATAGTAAAAACAACTATTCTAACAGAATTCAAAACCTGTTATGCTTCAGTGGAGAGATTATTCAAGATAAGTCCGTGGGAAATTGGGAGTACATTTCTACTGGCAAAGTTAGTGATAACTATGCACTTCTGACAAAATGTGAAATGAGGGGTATGGGCGTGCCATATCATCATGGTGCAGATACGTGGATGTGTGCTTCCAAACAATGGCAACCTAACTGACTGCTGGAACCATACAAAATACCTGAAACTACTCAGAAAGAAGGTGAAAATTGCATGCAAAAATTATTTGAAAAATATTGAGCTAACACATGAATTTTGAATTATAAGTGAGGTATTGTAACTCACCTACAGATGTGTTTTTTGTAATCAATATTCATGGACTCAGACTACACAGTAAAAGCTTACATAGAAATCATTCTATCTAAACTTTCTGGATACGAAAGTAACCTAGTATGCGTTTTGCTACTATATCTTTATATGAATTTAAATCACATTTCCAAGTGGCTTACAGTAATCAAGGTTGTCACAAGGAAGATGCAAATTAAAACCACATTGCAATATCACTGCACACCCACTAGTACGGTTTAAAAGAAAAAAAAAACAGAAAATATCAAGTATTGGTGACAATGTGGAGCAAACAGAACTCTTTTTCAATAATGGCAGGTATGTAAAGTGGCACAAACACTTTGGAAACCTGTTTGGCATTATACTGTACTAAACCTGAACACACGCATTGTTTATGACCCAGGAATGCCCCTCCTGGGAACCAACAACAACGCATATATGTGTTGCATATGTTCACCAAAAGACATTTACAAGAATGTTCATAGCAGCACTATTTGAAATCACCCCCAAGTAGAAAATGCACAAATATTTAACAGTAGTTGGATAAAGTGTGGTACGTTTATGCAATATAATACCATATAGAAATGAGAGTGAGGGATCTGCAAACTAATATGCAACTGTACAAATGAATCCCACAAATATAATGTTGGGTGGCAGAAGCCAGATGCAAATGAATACATGCTGTAGATTTCATTCTTTTACATTAAAAAAGCTAGTCACACAAAGTTATGCTGTTAGAAGAGAGTGATTTGGTCGGGCGCAGGGGTAGTTACAGGAAGGGAGTACACGGAGATTTCTGGTTGTTAGTTATGTTCAGTGTCAATCTAGGTGCTAAACAGGTACAATAAAGATTTTAGAATTCATCAATTTGCACACTTATGATAGATGCACTTTCCTGTATGTATATTTCAATAAAATCTTTTAAAAAGTAAAATGACAAAAAGACACTATTAACAAAAATGACATATTATATTAACTGTTATACTAAGGAAAATATAAAAATGAGTTCTATAACAGGGGCTCTGCAGGTCATGTGGTCATGCCAAGGACCATATGTGCTCAAGATTCTCATGACATTTTGGAAGGAGGTTGGGCTTTCTTTATCTTTCCTTTCTTCTCTCCCTTCCCTTCCCTTCCCTTCCCTTCCCTATTTTTAAACCTAGGTTTGGTATTTTCCTGGGGTGATGGTGACTTTGGAAAATTGGGCCGGGGCGGAAGTGAAGGCTGCAACATTCCCCAGAACATTGAGAGACTAAATGGACAGGGGGTGTGCCAGATTGAGTGTGGAGCTCAGTTCCTACTGGCGCTCACCAAGTCTGGAGTGGTGTGGACATGGTACGTAAACGTCCTCCCCGTCACAGTGTGTGTGCTTGTGCCGGCGCGTGCAGGGAACTTGGGCCTCGCCCCAGGACCACCCCGGCGTGATTGTGACCTGTCATATTTTTACTTATGCATGCATCTTTGTCCTTTAAAGGATATTGAGTCGGGATTAGTGACAATAGTACAAGAAGAAATTTCCTATTGTAACTGGGTCATTTTGAAAATACTAGAAAAATTTTAGGCCACTTACCTTTCCTGTTTGGGCGAGATTTATAGGAAGTGTTTCTTCTGCTGAAGCCTAAGGATAAAATGAGAGCAAAATAGCCTTCTGAATCCTTTGATCCTGAGAAAGTTAACATGTATTTCTTGTAAAAGCTTATTATATTAATGTGCAAATGAGCAGGTGCCCAGACTGGCCTTGGATGCTGTGTCAGGCCTTGCTGCCTCTGGTCATAACATTGGCACTATTTATTTATTTATTTATTTATTTATTTATTTATTTATTTATTTATTTGAGATGGAGTCTCGCTCTGTCGCCCAGGCTGGAATGCAGTGGCACAATCTCAGCTCACTGCAAGCTCCGTCTCCCGGGTTCACGCCATTCTCCTGCCTCAGCCTCCCGAGTAGCTGGGACTACAGGCGTCTGCCACCATGCCCGGCTAATTTTTTTGTGTTTTTAGTAGAGATAGGGTTTCACCATGTTAGCCAGGATGGTCTCGATCTCCTGACCTTGTGATCCACCCGCCTCGGCCTCCCAAAGTGCTGGGATTACAGGCGTGAACCACTGCTACTGGCCGACATTGGCACTCTGAGAAAGATGTATACCAGATAGGACTTTGGATAGGTGTTTGCAGTAATGTGTCTTATTTTCAGTCTATATGAAAACCTACAACAGTAACTTAAATATTGTAGAACATGTATTAAGGTATTAAGGTTTTTCCCAGCTGACTTAATAAGTTAATTTGAATTAATGGTGTATGATTTTGAATACAAGTTCGAAGACCTTGGGTGCTGTGTGTGATGTCATTGAGCTGGCTGTGAAAGATGTGAGACAATGAGTGTCTTCTTGTATAGCATTGTCAGACCACAACTATATTGTAACACTCCACCACGGGCCTCCTTCTCAGGGGAAAGGGGGATTACTTCAGGTTGCGCCAGGGCTCTGACGTGCACGTGTGGAAACTGTAGGTGGTGGAAGGGCTGAGAGGGAAGAAGATCGTGCATGTGGCTGTCGGGGCCCTGCACTGCCTGGCGGTCACGGACTCGGGGCAGGTAAGGCTGCAGGTGGCCTGGGGGTGGCGTGCCATCCTGACTTGGGGGACGTGGGGGTCACGACATGGCCCTCGTCCTGTTGAAATCACAGCTGTTGATGAACTCAGCCGAGTCTTACTGCTTGAAGAACCATGAGGCCGGGACCCATCCGTTTTGCCCGCTGGTGTATCTGCCTGCTCAGCAGCAGGGGTTGGGGGTGGGGTCCTCAGAAAAGAGGCGTTCCCACTCTGAAGTCCACGTGAAAAGTGTGTGGAAAGATTGTTATCCTTTTTTTTTTTTTTTGAGACAGAGTCTCGCTCTGTCGCCCAGGCTGGAGTGCAGTGGCGCAATCTCGGCTCACTGCAAGTTCTGCCTCCTGGGTTCATGCCATTCTCCTGCCTCAGCCTCCCGAGTAGCTGGGACTACAGGCGCCCGCCACTACGCCCGGCTAATTTTTTGTATTTTTAGTAGAGACGGGGTTTCACCGTGGTCTCGATCTCCTGACCTCGTGATCCACCTGCCTCGGCCTCCCAAAGTGCTGGGATTACAGGCGTGAGCCACCGCACCCGGCCAAAAGATTGTTATTCTTGAAGATGCTCCTACTGCAAGGTATTAACAAGACTTTGCTTTAGGAAATTGCTAACTGGTGAGGAGGCACCCATGCCTCATTTTAGAGACAGAGCTAGTGCCTGACAAGTGTTACACTCTCTTCTGCTTGGAGAAGCATATGCTATGACCGGCTTGTGGATATTCAATTTAAAATTTTATTTATGAAAACAAAATTACCATTACTGTTTTTTAGTCAAAATGAATTATACTTTATAATTCTATAAGGCCAAGGAGCTACTTACTTGAAAAATGAGCATATTGTTTTTGGTCATTTTTCTTTGCAAAGTAAAAGGGAAAAAATTATTGCACTTAGTTGAAGAGAGGACCTTCTGTGTGACTTGCAACAAAGCAGAATTAATTTGATTAATATTAAGAAAATACTCCTTTTATGGTTATTGGCATTTTCATGGTTAGATTTTCTTCAGAATTATAGTACACCGATGCCATTTTGTAAGATTGTGAAATGGTTTGCTTTTACTTTTAAGAACTCAATTCTTTCAAATACCATGGCATACACGTTAAGCATTTTGAAGTAAAAATTACATTAAAGAAAATGTCCTGAAATGTTGAAAAATTATAAGCTTTTTTCTCCTCGTAAACAGGTGTATGCTTGGGGTGACAATGACCACGGCCAGCAGGGCAATGGCACGACCACGGTTAACAGGAAGCCCACGCTCGTGCAAGGCTTAGAAGGCCAGAAGATCATGTGTGTGGCTTGTGGGTCGTCCCACAGTGTGGCGTGGACAACTGTGGATGTGGCCACGCCCTCTGTCCACGAGCCCGTCCTCTTCCAGACTGCAAGAGACCCTTTAGGTGCTTCCTATTTAGGTAACACAGATTTGTATCCTGAGATTTTTCTGTAGGTTACAGCAACTTTACATTTATTTAATTGTGCCAACACATTAGAGGTTGTAGTGCTGCGTTAACTACATTATGAATCTAAAGACACAGAAGAATTATGGTGTGCTCTCATGCGATTTATGCTGCTGGAATGAAAGTTTTAGAAGAAAGTATGTTGCTGATTCTTGTGTTTATGATCAGGTAAACTCACAGCGCTGTCCTTGTGTGTGAACAGGACTCCTAATAACTGCCTGAGAGCTACAGGCACTGTACTGGGCTCTTTTGTATTTTTTAACAGCTTTATTCAGTTATAATTGACATATAATAAACTGCACCTATTTAAAGTATGCATTTTGATCGACTTTGGAATACGTATGATCCATGAAAGCATCAGCACAATCAAAGATAATGAACTCATACACTACCCCAGCGTTCCTCTCTGGCCCTCTGTACCCCTCCCTTTTGCTTTTACCTCCCTCCTTCCTGCCGTATGCACCAATTTAATTTCTGTCACTAGAGATCAGTTTGCATGTCTGCTTTTTGTTGTTGTTGTTTCGTGGGTGTTTTATTTGTTTGTTTTCTTTTTTTTTGTAGACCGGGTCTCACTCTGTTGCCCAGGCTGGAGTGCAGTGGCACGATCTTGGCTCACTGCAGCTTCCACCTCCTGGGCTCAAGTGATCCTCCCACCTTAGCCTCCCAAATAGCTGGGACTACAGGCACATGTCACCATGCCTGGCTAATTTTTGTTTGTTTGGTGGAGACATGGTTTTGCCATGTTGCTCAGGTTGGTCTGGAACTCCTGAGCTCAAGTGATCCTCCCACCTCGGCCTCCCAAAGTGCTGGGATTATGGGCAGGAGCCACTGTGGCAGGCCAGTTTGCATGTTTTACAGCTTACTATAAGTAGAATCATACAGCATATACTCTTTTTAAAAATCTTACTTTTTCCACTCAGCATAATAATTTTGAGATTCACTTACGTTGCATGTATCAATAGTTTATTCTTTTAAATTGTTGAATAGTATCTTAAGATAAACAAATGCAATTTGTTCATCCATTTTTCTGTTGATGAATGTTTGGGCTGTTTCCAGTTTTTGACTATGCAAGTGAAATTGCTAATGGACATTTCCATACAAGTTTGTGTATGGACATCCACTTGAAATTCTCTTGGGTAAACTTCTAAGAGAGGAGTGGTTGGATCATATGGTAGGTGTATGTCTAGCTTCTTAAGATCGCTACATACTGTTTTGCAAAGTGGATGTTCCAGAGGTCCACATCCTCCACATTTTTGTCAACCCTTGATACATTCAGTCTTTAATTTTAGTTATACTGACAGATGTATAGTGGTATCTCGTTGTGGTTTTAATCTGCATTTCCCTAATAACTAATGATCTCAAGCATCTTGCTTATTTACAAATCACATACCTTTTTTGGTGAATGTCTGTTCAAGTCTTTTCCCATATTTAAATAGGTTGTTTTCTTACTGGTTTGAGAGTTCCTTATATATTCTGAGTTACAAGTCCTTTGCCTAATATAGAATTTGCTAGTATTTTCTGTCAGTGTGGCTTGTCATTTTATTCTCTTCACAGGTGAATCTTAAAGATTAGAAGTTTTTAATTTTGATGAAGCCTAGTTTATTCATTTTATTCTTTTGTAGAGTGTACTTTTGATGTTGTGACTACAAAACCTTTGCCTCAAGATTATAAAGTTTGTCTTTCTATGTTCTGTTATAGAAGTTTTATAGTTTTAGACAGGTATATCTATGACCAGTTGATTAAATTTTATATATAGTGGGAGGTTCAGATTGAAAGGCTTTTTTGGGCATGATTGTCCAGTTGTTTCAGTTGTATTTGTTGAAAAACTACGCTTTTCCTACTGAATTGCCTTTTGCCTTTGTCAGAAATCAGTTGTCTATGGATGTATGGATCTATTTCTGGACTCCCAGTACTGTTTCATTGATTTATTTGTGTATTTTGGTGGCAATGCCACATTGTCTTGATTACTACAGCTTTATAAAAGGCCTGAACTCAGGTTGCAACAGTTTTTTAGCTTTGTTCTTTTTCAAATATATTTTGGCTGTTGCAGGCCCTTTGCATTTCCATATGACTTAAAATGAGCTTGTCAGTTTTTATAAAACCGCTTGCTTGGGATTTTGATGTGGATTGCATTAATTCTGTAAGTCAATGTGCAAGGATGGATTCACAGTATTCAGTCTTCTAACCCATGAACATAGTGTTTCTCTTTATTTGTTAGGTGTCCAGTACATAATGACACATGAAGAGGCAAAAAAAGTGACTAAAAATGACCAGAAATGATAGGAGAGAAACAGACCCACAAGGGCTCCATATATTGGAGTCAGAAGACACAGACTTTAGTATAATAAATATGCTTACTGTGTTCAAAAAGATAATATTTCAGCAGAGAACCAAAAACTACTGAAAATAAAATAGAAAGACTAGAACTGATAAATCCAATATTTAAAATTAAGAACTTAATGAGTAAGTTTAGAACACACTGAACTCAGCTGAAGAGAAAGTAAAAATATCTGGAATGAAGAACTGAGGAGCAAAAGTTTAGAAAACATAACAAGAAGGTAAAAGATCTGCAGGACAGAGGTTAGGCCTAACACAAGTGGAAGAAGAGTCCCCCCAAAAAGATAGAAAAGAGAATAGAGCAGAGGCAAAATGTGAAGAAATACTGAAAGACAGAATTTTCCAAAACAGACAACAGATATCATGCCCCAGAAGCCCTACCAACCCCAAGAAAGATAAACATCTCCATGCACATGTAAAACCTGTGCAAGATGAAAACAAAAAGACTCTCTGAAAAGCAGACGAAGGAAAAATAAAATGAACCACAATTAGACTTCCATCCAACTTCAGGAGAAATAATATAAACCAAATTGCAATGGAATACTATTTTTAAAGTGCTGAAAGAAAACACCTAGCAAAAAGACTTTTCAAAAATAAAGGAGAAATAAAGACATTTTCAGACATACAAAAATAGATAATTTGTAACCAACAAAGACACATTTTTAAAAATATTAAGGGGATTTTCAGGCAGGAGAAAAACAGTACAGATGGAAAATTAAAGAGGAAGAAAAAAGTGGAGAGAAATTACAAAGTATGCAGAAAAATCTAAATGAATATTGACTACATAAAATCGTCATATGCCCTGCATGTATTGTTTGATCCTTTGACTTGTTTTTTTGCTTTTTTTGTTTTTTGAGACGTAGTCTTGTTCTGTCGCCCAGGCTGGAGTGCAGTGGCACGATCTCGGCTCACTGCAAGCTCCGCCTCCTGGGTTCACGCCATTCTCCCGCCTCAGCCTCCCAAGTAGTTGGGACTACAGGTGCCCGCCAACACACCGGCTAATTTTTTGTACTTTTAGTAGAGACAGGGTTTCACCGCGTTAGCCAGGATGGTCTCGATCTCCTGAACTCCTGATTCACCTGCCTCGGCCTCCCAAAGTGCTGGGATTACAGGCATGGATCATGAGGTCAGGAGATCGAGACCATCTTGGCTAACACGGTGAAGCCCCATCTCTATTAAAAATACGAAAAATTAGCTTGGCATGGTGGCATGCGTCTGTAGTCCCAGCTACTCGGGAGGCTGAGGCGGGAGGAATGGCGAGAACCCAGGAGGCGGAGCTTGCAGTGAGCTGAGATCACGTGCCACTGCACTCCAGCCTGGGTGACAGAGCGAGACTCTGTCTCAAAAAACAAAAACAAAAACAAAAACAAAAACAGGCATGAGTCACTGCGCCTGGCTGATCCTTTGACTTTTTTTGAAATTTTGTTTGAGCATATGACCCACTTAGCATATGACTGGATTTTATGAACATTTTCTATGTGCATAAAAGAATGTCTTCGATAGTTCTGTTAGATATATATTTGTATAAAATGTATAAAATTTTGGCTGGACGTGGTGGCTCATGCACATAACCCCAGCACTTTGGGAGACTGAGGTGGGTGGATCGCCTGAGGTCAGGAGTTCAAGAGCAGCCTGGCCAGCATGGTGAAATCTCACCTCCACTAAAAATACAAAAATTAGCCAGGCGTGGTGGCAGGAGCCTATAATCCCAGCTACTCAGGAGGCTGATGCAGGAGAATCGCTTGAGCCCGGGAGGTGTCAGTTGCAGTGAGCCAGGATCGCGCCACTGCACTCCAGCCGGGGCGACAGAGTGAGACTCCGTCTCAAAAAAAAAAAAATTAAAAATTAAAATATGTTAAGAACATATAAATCAGAATGAAGATAAATGATGTTAAAGAGAACTAAGGTCTTTGCATTGTTTAGGAGGAGACTTTACTAAATAATAATAGATTTAAATCAGTCAAAAATAGATGTTATAATTAATATCTTCAGTAACTACTAAAACTAAAAATGTATATAACACATACACTCCTTATAGACAGAGTGAGACTCTGTCTCAAAAAAATAATAATTAAAAAAAAAAAGTAGAAAAGTTAGCTGAGCATGGTGGCACCGGCCTGTAATCCCAGCTGCTCAGCAGGCTGAGACAGGAGAACTGCTTGAACCCAGGAGGCGGAGGTTGCAGTGAGCCAAGATTGCGCCACTGCACTCCAGCCTGGGCAACAGAGTGAGACTCTATCTCACAAAGAAGAAAAGTGATATATGCATACAGTGGAATATTATTCAGCCATTAAAAAGGATGACGTTCTGACACATGCTACAATACGGATGAAGCTTGAAGACATTATGCTAAACACAAAAGGATAAATCTTACATGGTTCCATCTAGATGAGATGTCTGGAGTGGTCATATTCGTAGAGACCAAAGTTAGATTCAAGGTTACCAGGGTTGGGGTAAGGGGAAGTAGGGCAGTTAAATTGCTTAATGGGTACAGAGTTTCTGATCGGAGTGGTGAAAAGTTTTGGTAAGAGAAAGTTGTGATGGTTGTGCAACACTGTACTTAAGGTACTTAATACCCTGAATTATAAACTTAGAAAATGACTAAGTGGCTAATTTTAAGTTAAATATATTTTGCCACAATGAAAAATATAATAAAAGGTATACAAATTAAAACACTCACTCTCCATCTAACCAATTCCACATGCCACGCAACTAAACACTTACTAGTTTCTTGAGATTCTTTTAATGTTTCTTTATGGAAAAACAAGCAAACAAGCCTAGTTATTCTAATTCTTCCCCGATACCCCATCCTGATTTTTTTAAAAAGCCAGCCAGTCATCAGCGGGTAGGACCGTCACTTCCGTCTCACTGTACTCACTCTACAGAATTACCATATGCAAAGGAACCTTAAAATAACAAATTCCAGTACACTGTGGTCCACAATAAGTATTTCATTAATATTTGGTGGAAGAGAGAATATAAACATTCTGCCATACCTGGTTCATTTATTCTGCCAAATGTATGCCTGGTATTGTGTTTTTTGGTCTTGAAACACGTTTCACAAAAATCAAAGTCATCACAGTTTCTGCATTTGAATCTGGATCCATTGATAGGAAACATCTGACATCCATCACACCTATTTGTAAAATAGCAACTGAGTTAAGAAAGGTCATTTATTAAACTTAATTCAACAGAAAACCATTCGTCCCAAAGCAAATCTAGCAATCATAAAAATAACTCACGTAACCCCAGGATGAATACTGGGCACCAACTCCATTTCTGATAGCAACCCAGTCCAGTGAGACTGCTGGGGAAAGTCAACAATGATATCTTTTCCATTGGCACTGAAAGCCAGGACACAACAAAAATCACCTGATCCATCTTCCTCTTCACCAATAAAAACCTGAACTTAAAACTGCACCTAGCCATGTCATACTACATTGTAGTTATTTGTTTTTTACAAAGAGTCTATTTTTTAGAGATAGGTACTAAAATGCTTATGGATGAACTAATACATGATGTCAGCGCCTGGTTTCAAAATAATCACAAGAAGGGAGCATGAATAATTTTGGCCATGAGGCGACAATCGTTAAAGCCAGGTAATGAGCACATGGAGGTTCATTGTAAACTACATTCCTTACTTTTGCATTAGGTTTAAAATAGGACATTTTGGTTTCTAATTACACCAAGTCAACAATTCCATACAATACCTTTGGTATCTCAGGGAATAAAAACCACATTAATAACATGAAGACTTCTTTCATCCTTTGATAAGAGCAACGTGTCACTCAAAACAAAGAAACCAAATTCTTATTTTTAAAATTTGTCTTGTTTTGATTTGCAAATATTTTAACAATCTCTTAAGCAAAGAAAAATGTTTAAAGTAAAATATTAAATAATCCACTTGTTCTTATGTAACATGAGAAGCTCTAGGAACCTCTCACCACTGGGGAACCACCAACTGTGGCCATTTTCTAAGCGATCTGATGAAAAGAGAGGCTTCCACAAGGTTCAAACGAACAAACAAATAATCTCTTTATGCATCAAGAGTTTATAAAACTATACACATACTTATTTCTCATGCAACTGTTAAAACGGACATAGTGTGCCTTTCAAAGTGTGCCACGGATTTGATTTGGAATCTCAACAGTATCATATTAAATATAATCTGAGAATTGTTTCCAGTTCCTAATTTCCATCATTAGCACATTTCCATTTCTTAAATTCAGTCCTAAATTTTTATACAGCATGAAAAAGAGCCAGGCATGGTGGCTCACGCCTGTAATCCCAACACTTTGGGAGGCCGAGGTGGGCGGATCAATAGGTAAGGAGTTCGAGACCAGCCTGGCCAACATGGGGAAACGCCATCTCTATGAAAAATACAAAAATTAGCCAGGCACGGTGGTGGGCACCTGTAATCCCAGCTACTCTGGAGGCTGAGACTGGAGAACTGCTTAAACCCGGGGGCGGAGGTTGCAGTGAGCCAAGATGGCGCCACTGCACTCCAGCCTGAGGATCAGGGGAGGAGAAAGAAAAAGCAGTCCTGACAGTCAGGAGCTGGCCTGTTAATGTCAATGTTAGGCCATTTCACAGAACAAATGACAGGACAAGTTTACAGAACACGAACATCAGATAAGGCCACTCTGTGACTGATGAATCAAGGCACAACCAAAACCCCTCCTTAACCATGTGTGATTAAAGTTGAGTCTAATCCAAACCACAAACAACCACACAGTCCCCTATCCTGGTGATATGAATGACTGCTTCCTTACCAATCATGACGTTAGCATGGCTCCATTCTTTCTGCCTGCTAGGTAAATTTATTAAGACATCCTGTTTTAGGATTACCCCTGCTTTCTCGACCCCTCCCCCAAATACCCAACATAAACTTCATTAGTCCTCGCTCACTCCCTCTGATGGAGACACCCATTCCCCAAGGTGTGTGTTCTCCTGTACTGCAATGAGTTAATATTAATAAATCTGATTGTTTCACTGCAGGTGAGTTCCTTTGTGGCCTTTGGCAGAAGGCACTGACAAGCAAAGGAACACTCTATCTCTTTCTTCACACTTGTTTTCTGTTTTGTGTGCTTGAACAAAAAGAAATACTAAGTACATATGCATTAATGAAAAGTTAACATCAGGAATTTAATTACCCAGATGATATTACCTTTCACAACCCCCACACTCTGATGAGTCACAGATCCCCATTTGTATTTTGGTGTGGTGACAGAGGCTTTGACCCGCACTTTATCACCAATCTTGATGTGAGAAGAACTTCTTGGTGGAGGATAGCCTACAGATTTCAATAACAAATCATTATAATCAGTATTCATTTATGGGAATTCTGTCTCTAAGAAAAAGTAAAAGCACTAAACAAAGAATGTGCTCACCTATAAGTTCCACATGAATGTACCTAAACCAGTAGATGCCCCCTTTCTGCTGCCAGTCACACTGCACATTGAGATCATGCAATCCATCTCTGTCCAGCTTGATGACTTTGCCAACATCACATCACCTTCGCACACTTCTTCGTATGTTCGGCAGCATCTAACCATCATTCCCACCTAGAATTAAAATGAAATTGGAGATCCAGTCCATCATGTACACAGGTGAAATGAGCCATGATAAGTAGTATTACTCTACTCTTAATAAAGAATTTCAACTGGGCACGGTGGCTCACATCTGTAATCCTAGCACTTTGGGAGGCTGAGGTGGGAGGATCACTTGAGCTCAGGTGTTTGAGACAAACCTGGGCAACATGGCGAAACCCACCTCTACCAAAAATACAAAAATTAGCCAGATGTGATGGCACATGCCTGTGGTCCCAGCTACTTGGGAGACTTGAGTTGAGAGGATTGCTTGAGCCTGGAAGGTGGAGGTTACAATGAGCCAAGATCATACCACTGCACTCCAGCCTGAGTGACAAAGTAAGACCCTATCTCAAAAAAAAAAAAAAAAAAAAAAAAAAAAAAAAAAAAAAAGAATTTCATCTAGCACCCAGAGTGCATTCTAAGTATTATTTAATGATAAAGGGAAGAGAAACTCTTTAGAACACTGTCTGGCTTTGTGTCTCAGGCAGGAAATATACAGGAAGAGGCTGGATCAACTTGTATCATAAAGGAAGGGAGCTTTCAAAGATTACTCAAAAGGATTCCCTGATCATCAAAAATATAACAGTGGAGACATCACACCCTAAAAGCCAATGGATTGGTCATCATGATAATAAGGAAAACAAAGCTTCCTGGTCATCTTTATACATATCAGAACACCAATGCATCATTGTGAAAACTGGTGAAGTCTCCCTGTATTATCAAGAGCAACCAAGATTAATAACAAAGCTTTTTTTCACAGAAGAGAATTCCAGCTAATGAACTCAGAGAAGATGAAGTTAGAAAATCACTATGGTGCAGCCCCTAATGATAGGTCTAGGTGATGACACTAATGCCTGCTGGAGCTATGAGATGGACAATTAATACAGAATGTCATCAAGGAAGGAGCAGGCTGACAAGACCTAACCCACCCAAACCTGCTTGCCTGTTGAGATGGGGCCGGAGGGAGTACATGCCTATGAAGCTTCCTGCCTGAGATTCAGCCTGGTCCAATCACCCTCCAACCCTAACTCCTACTGCATTGGAGAAACAGGGAGAGAGGAAGATGTTAGCCACAAGGAAGCCACCTCCAAATGCAGACTGTAAGACATTTGGAGGACATGGTTTCAGCCACAAATAAATAGCATGAAAGGAGAGGAAGGGAGAAGGAGGGTTACTATGAAATGAATGTTTGTATCCCCCCCGCAAAATTCATGAAGTCCCGACTCCTAATGTGGCAGTATTAGGAGATGGGGCCTCTAAGGAAGTCATTAAGGTAAAATCAGGTCATAAGAGTGGGGCTCTGACACAACAGGATTAGGGTCTTTATAAGAAGAGACTCCAGGATGGGCATGGTGGCTCACGCCTATAATCCCAGCACTTTGGGAGGCCAAGGCAGGTGGATCACCTGAGGTCAAGAGTTCGAGACCAGCCTGACCAACATGAATAAACCCTGTCTCTACTAAAAATATAAAATTAACCAGGCATGTGGTGCATGTCTGTAATCCCAGATACTTGGGAGGCTGAGACAGGAGAATCGCTTGAACCCGGGAGGCAGAGGTTGTGGTGAGCCAAGATCGTGCCACTGCGTTCCAGCCTAGGCAACAAGAGCGAAACACCGTCTCAAAAAAAAAAAAAAAAAAAAAAAAAGACACCAGTGCTCCCCTGCTAGCTCCAGCTCCCCCCATCCCCAGCCCCACGTCCACAGGAGGACACAGCAAGAAGGCAGCCACCTGGCCGGGCACGGTGGCTCATGCCTATAATTCCAACACTTTGGGAGGCCAAGGCGGGCAGATCACGAGGTCAGGAGATCGAGACCATCCTGGCTAACATGGTGAAACCCCGTCTCTACTAAAAATACAAAAAAATTAGCTGAGCATGGTGGCGGGCACCTGTAGTCCCAGCTACTCAGGAGGCTGAGGCAGGAGAATGGCAGGAACCCGGGAGGCGGAGCTTGTAGTGAGCTGAGATCACGCCACTGCACTCCAGCCTGGGTGACAGAGCGAGACTCTGTCTCAAAAAAAAAAAAAAAAAAAAAAAAGGTAGCCACCTACAAGCCAGGAAGAGGGCCATCACCAGAATCCAGCCAAGCTGGTACCTTGATCTTGGATTTCCAGCCTCCAGAACCATGAGAAATAAATGTCTGTTGTTGAAGCTGCCAGTCTATGGTACTGTGTTATAGCCAACTGAGCTAAGACAAGGGGGAACCACTCTAGCTTGGAATAGACTTCAAAGATCCATCAACCAAATGTAGATAAGGCATACAATCTTGGTTTATCCAAGTTCAAAAACTAACCATTAAAGCCATTTCTGAGAAAACTGGAAAACTACAAGCAAGCGTTAGATATGAGATGATATTAAGGAATTATTATTTATTTTGTTAGGTAATGCTGGTAAACAGAAATGTCATTATGTTAAGATTCTTTATTAGTGATACTCACTGACATATATACAGGTGAAATGAGATGATTTGGGGGATTTTCTCTAAAATATACTAAAACAAGAGAATTAGGACAAGAAATGATTTAAAGTAGATAAAGGACTATATAAAACATAATTAGATTTTTAAAGTTTGATGGCAATGAGAATTACATAAGAAAAACAAGGAAAGGTATGTAGGAAGTGTCACAAGTGGGGCTAGTAGAAAACAGCCATCTCTGCGCCATGTCCACCGTGGACAGGCCACTTGTGCTCTCCGGCTGCCCCTGAGCCCATCTGCCCCTCTGTCCTCTGGCTACACCGGGGCAGCCACAGCAGCCTCTGTCTGGGTGCCCATCCTGCTCAGCCACCCTTCACACCCTGTAGGCTTTGCACCCATGTCACCTTCTCATTGCAGATCCCGATCCCTGGACTGTGCCCTCACTCCTACCCCTTTACTGTAGTCTGCTCTCTCTCATTCCAGGGTACACAGCACCTTCTAGTGTACCATGAGCTCACTGGTCAGGTATGTCTTCCAGCACCAGAAGGCAGGCTCCCTGAGGGCAGGGGCCTCTGTCCACTGATGTTTGGCATATAGGACATACCCAGATATTTGCTGAGTGAAAAACGGATCGAGGCTCCAGCTTAAGACAATTACTCACCTGAATATTCTCTCTCACATATACAGCATAATCATCATTACCCAAGAAACCAGCTCGGTTTTTGTACGTCTGGCTCTCCGTCACAACAGCACCAGTAGACTACAAGAAATAAATACATTCAAAGAAAAAAAAAAAGGAGAACTCAATAAATCTACTCAAAAAGAAATGTCTGTGAAATCTATAATATTAAAAAGTAAAGGATGAAATCCTTTATTTTCTCTATAAAAATCTTCATTTAAAAAAGACTAATAGCAGTAGCATAGTAGGCAGAAATGAATCTCAAAAGCTACAAGTATACAAAATTTCCAAGGCACTTCCAAATTAATCCTATGAACAATTTACTCAGGTCAGAAACTGATGTGTCAAAACATGGTATTTTAATAAAATATCCTCTAATGGCTAGCGAAGATCATGAGATGTTTGAACAAGGGTCTGTTCTGAAGCTAAAAGTAATTATGATATAGAAACCCAATCATCCCTTCAGTAGTGAAACACAGCTTTGTTCTGTGCCCGGCAACACCATAGGTTGGTTTTATGAAACAGTCCACAGTAGATATAGTTAATTCTTTCAAGGGACAGAGAAAGCCAAGGTGTAAGACTGTTAGAGCGCTAGACGGACAGCGGCCCAGGTGCGGGCGGTCACATGGGAGGCACTGACCATGGAGTAGGCGGCATCATCCACGTCCTCCACCACCTCCTCGTCAGAATACTCGTCGGACACCGTGTCTGCATCTGAGAGCTCCGTGACCTGTATGTCGGAGTGGTCCAGCAGCCACCCGACCAAGGCTTCCACACCTAAGAGAGGCACACACAGCACACCAGCCACTGTGAGTCAACAGCCCTGAAGCGGGAACCCACACACGTACAAGCAGAGGCCAGGAAAACGAAGTACCAGGCAAGCCGGACGCATTCCCGGAAGCACCAGTGAGAGACTTCAGGGCAAACTCGATGTTCCTTCTGGAAAATCCCATCTCCATGAGCTGCACCACGATCGGCAGAGCGGGAACGGGCGACTGCTTGCGCCTCTTCACTCTGGCAGGGCGGATGTGCTGCACGGCGACAGGCGTGGTGGCCTCACTGGAGCTGCAGTCTTCAAATCCTGGGCTCGAAGGGTGAGTGGACTCCACAGCCAAGCACTGGCAAACGGCCAGTGCAGCAGCCTGGGCAGACAAGAGGGTCCTGGGAGATTTGGGAAGTGCCCTCAGCTAGCTTACACAGTCTAGGAACACAGGGGTGATGGCCTTCTACTGTGAACTGCAGTATGCAAGTCTAGAAAGCCCGCATTCACATGTGTGTTTTTCAATGAGTTCCTAAAACATGTTAGAAAATGACAAAGCCAAGTTTCACGGTTTAATGCAGAGAAAATACGTGGGGGTAAAATAACTTGCCTGTTTCAGCAGACAGAGAGCCTACTAAATTAGCCAAGTATCAATGTCCATTAAGGAAAACTTCATTACAGCCCCAAGCGAACAGTCACAGGGGCTTGAAGGAGCAGGGAGAAAGGCATTCCCCCTGCCTTAACCAGGCACTGTGGTGGCGGCCACAGGCACCTGTGTTTTAGACAGGCCAGAAATGACACAGGACTCTCATGTACCATTAAAACAACCCTCAACTATTCAAGGGTTAAATAACCACAGTGAGGTTAAACAAGGTATTAAAAAGTAAGAGAAATAAAAGAGTATTAGTTGGGAAACACACTGCAATGAATCAGTGAACATCTAAACTGCCAGTCTCTGCAGCTGGGAACTCCCCACCTACAGCACAAATAGCACTTCCCTGATCTGTCTGTAACTCCCTGGTCCTCCTCCCCAGCTGCTCTCATAGCACTGACTTGCTATTTTGTTAAACGGAGCATGTGAGGAAGGAATCAGGAAGAAACCGAGGACACTGTGGAGCCCCCCGGTGCTCAGGAAGTATCAAAGCCTAGGGTTTTGCAGCGAAGTCTGGGTAACTTGGAAGTGACAGGTTTCATCCTAAAAGTTTAAAATTCAGAGCCAGATTGAGCCAAGAGTTCTGGTTCTGATAATGGGGAGTTAGGGTGCATTGGACTAACCCTTGGCTGATAATAATCATGAACTCTGGATAAAATATTTTTTAAAACTGCTTGAGGGCACTGGAGAACAGCTGACGCAATCAGCAATAAAACAAGCACAACCCCTGACACCGAGAAGCCTGCAGGTAAGACGCGCATTTAACCACAGACGGCGCACCTTCCTGCACTGCAGGGGCTGGGGTCCCGGCCTGCCAGAGCAACCAGAATGTGAGGGAAAGCCCGCCTGAGAAAGAAACCACAGAGGGAAAACCACGAAATATGCGGACGGACTACCCGCAAATCTACAGCTGAATCTAAACTGAAGCACCACTGAAGAGCCTGCGCTCGGCACAAAGGGACCGCTGGAAGGCTGCAGGGGCTCCCCAGCTGCCCAGGGCCAGGACAGCATCTGAGGCTCAAGCTCAACCAACTAGAGGTGGGGAGGAGAATGTCAAGGCTTCCAGTGACGCCCAGAAGAGATTCTAAATCCTTGAGAATTAAGGATCCACAACCAGGGCTAAGGGCAAATAAAAAATCATTAGAAAGCCTGGCACCAAGCCACCTCAGGATCAAGGAGGACTGCCAGGTACTGAACTGCCTGTGAGAAGAAAACTCCCCATTCTCCAGAGGAGGCAGAACCCAGAGCCAATACAATGTAGCGTCCAAAGAATCCAGAATGAAATAAAAATTCTCATATGTGAAGGACAACAACCAATAACTGACTATAATCAAGGGAAAAAAACTGCAAAGAGCAGCAGACCAACAGGTGGGCAGATGTTAGAATTAGCAAACAAGAAATTCAACATAACTATCAGAAATATGTTTTAAAATGTACAGCAAAAGATAGATTTGGCCAGGCACGGTGGCTCACACCTGTAATCCCAGCACTTTGGGAGGCTGAGGCGGGCAGATCATGAGGTCAGGAGTTCGAGACCAGCCTGGCCAACATGGTAAAACCCCATCTCTACTAAATATACAAAAATTAGCCAGGCATGGTGGCAGGCACCTGTAGTCCTAGCTACTCGGGAGGCTGAGGCAGGAGAATCACCTGAACCCAGGAGTCAGAGGTTGCAGTGAGCTGAGATCACGCCACTGCACTCCAGCCTGGTGACAGAGCAAGACTCCATCCAAAAAAAAAAAAAAAAAAAAAAAAAAAAAAAAGATAGACTTAAAGGATGAAGAAAGGAACTGTCAGAAGAGATATAAAACTATTAAATGAGAGCCAAATGGAAATAAGAGATGTGAGAAATATAAAATAAAGTATGTCTTGGATGGATATAACAACAGATTAGGCCCAACAAAGCAAAGCATCTTGACCTTTCAAACAGATCAAGACAAACTAACCAAGCTACTAACAAGGAGAAGAAAGACTTTCTATTAAAGTCATAAAAGGAAACTCACTAACAGTGTAACAGATGTATAATAGTATTTCCAGAAAAGAACAAAAAGAGCAAGGCAGGGGGAAAAAACAGCAGTCAAAAGTTTCCAAATTTGGTAGGGGAACAAAAATCAAGCCAAAGATGCAAGCAGCTTAAATAAATTTCAAGGAGGACGGTGGGGTGGGCGGGGTGTGCCACCATTGTATACATGAGCCCAGCTTAGGGAAACTGCAGAAAACCAAAGATAACACAAAATACGAAAAGCAACCAGAGAAAACAGACATTTCATACAAAAGAAGAGATAAGAACAACGACTCTCCATCGGAATCCATGGAGACAAAACAGCGGAAGGTCTTTTTTTGTACAACAGTCCTTCTCAGTTCCTGAAGAACAACTCTACACGGCCTTCTAGGTGTTCACACTCGGCATCTCCCAGCATGACTGCAGGGAGCACGTGCACCGCCCCACGTGCTCTCAAGTTGCTCAGCGTCTTTTGATCTCTGCCAGGGAGACTGGAAACACAACCAGGCCCTTTAAAATGAACCTTCACCTCGGAGGTTCCCAGACCTGAGAAGAAGCTGGAGTTCAGAAGAGCTCATGGCCAACCTCCTCCCTTCCTGCCCACACCCGTTTCTTGCTTTCTCCCTTTGCACCCCCACCATCTTTCCAGCTCGTTCTAGGACTGGGGGAGGCCTCCCACCTGTCCAAGGCAGTGGCTGCCTCATCTGGACCCTTGCTCCCAGAAGGGCCCTGCTATCTGAGGGTTTCTGTTAGGGTAATTTCTGATTGCCAAACTGAGTACTGATAGTTTTATTTTTGTCTCTGATATTTTGTCCAGATTTTTAATGTATTACACAGCAAGAAAGATTTTGGAATGAACATCTCTAATCCTCTATGTTGCCAGCCATGAAAGCTCCCATCCCTCTTACACTCAATCACGTCGCCTCCTCTATGCGAACGTCCCGTAGCCCTGACCCTGTGCCTCGCTGCTGCCCTCACCTGCTCCACAGCATGGAGAGAGCGGAGAGGCTGGCGGCACCAGAGCACCCCCAAGAGGCTCCTGAGTGAATGAAACAGACAAACGGCTGCCAGAGTCCTGACGAGCCTCTTTGAATAATTCTACTTCCTGGAAAAAGATCCCTTCATGAAGATGTGAGCGTTTAACCCATGCTGCATCTAGTTAATATTTTTTCACAATTTACACAAACCCAAAATAAGGTTAAACTTCAACCCTCTCAGTCTTTAGTATTATAATGTTCTGCAGACTATGCACAAACATGGTTAAACCCCAATGAATCATTAGAATTATTTGCGTACTATCATTTAACATTCAGAATAGATCCTTAAGAAAATATACATCTAGAAAAAAAGTGTTCACAATTTAGTGCTGTGGATTAAAAACTGTCAAGGCTGCATGGCTGTACCTCAAGTTCCTGTTTATCAAATATGGCCTTCACAGGAGACGGCTGGGTGGCCGAGGCCAGCAGCTGCTGCAAGAGGATCATGGGGGGCTGCGGCCCTTCAGGAGACATGTCCCCAAGGTCAGGTGATACCACTGCTCCATCATCTGAATTTAAAAACAAAATATGTGTAAGATTCTATTTTCAACTGCGAACACCACTTTACTATTAAAGAAAATGCATTAAGCATGTTAAATCAGGTATGACTTCTGCCTCATTATGTGATAGAAAACCAAAATCTTCAAGGTTCAGACATCGAACAAAAACTAGACTCTAGGTTGGGTGCGGTGGCTCACGCGTGTAATCCCTGCACTTTGGGAGGCCAAGGCGGGTGGATCACGAGGTCAGGAGATCGAGACCATCCTGGCTAACACAGTGAAACCTCATCTTTATTAAAAACACAAAAAAATTAGCCGGGCATGGTGGTGGGCACCTGTAGTCCCAGCTACTTGGGAGGCTGACACAGAAGAATGGCATGAACCTGGGAGGCGTAGCTTGCAGTGAGCCGAGATCACGCCACTGCACTCCAGCCTGGGCGACAGACCAAGACTCGGTCTCAAAAAAAAAAAAAAAAAAAAAAATTAGCTGGGCATGGTGGTGCGTGCCTGTAATCCCAGCTACTCGCAAGGCTAAGGCAGGAGAATTGCTTGAACCAGGGAGTTGGAGGTTGCAGTGAGCCAAGATCACGCCACTGCACTCCAGCCTGGCAACAGAGCGAGACTCCATCTCAAAAAAAAAAAAAAAAGGAACTAGACTCTAAACCACTTTCACTGCCTGCTTTTGGTCTCTGTCCTTCATTAGTGCATCTGTCTCTTAGAGCCAGCAAATGCTCCTTCCCAGATTTCTGCACTTGGTCTGATTCTTTCTCTTTTTCTTGAGATGGAGTCTCACTCTGTTGCCCAGGCTGGAGTGCAGTGGCACAATCTTGGCAAACTGCAACCTCTGCCTCCTGGCTCAAGCGATTCTCCTGCATCAGCCTTCCCTGTAGCTGGGACTACAGGCACATGCTACCACGCCTAGCTAATTTTTGTATTTTTAGTATAGATGGGGCCAGGCTGTTGATTAGATTTCACCATGTTGGCCAGGCTGGTCTCCAACTCCTGATCCACCCGCCTCGGCATCCCAAAGTGTTGGGATTACAGGCGTAAGCCACCATGCCTGACCTACACACTCTCTTTCATGTTCACTCACGGCTTCAGTAACCCCTGACACAGACACATCCCATGTGCATATTTCTAGCTGTAGCTTTTCCAGCTAAGCCTTGTTGAGATCATTAAGTGACCCCAATTCCAAATGTGTCATGTGCTCAGGGTGATGGCTTTTTGTCTGTTATGAGTAGCTTTAGGTGCAGCCTTTAGGACTCTGTTTGACACAGCCCCAGGGAGATCCACTGCGCTCAAGCCCACTTCACACATCTAGGTACTCATCCAGGTACTCACAGCATTTGCATGTGCTGGTTTTCTTCAGTGACAATTTCAACTAACTAGACCAGGAGCTGGAAATCTTTCTCTTAAAGGGCCAGAGAGTAAATAGTTTAGGCTGATGGGCTGTACAGTCTCTGTCCCAACTACTCAGCTCTGCCATTGCAGAGCAAAAGCATCCAGAGACGATCTGTAAACAAGTGGTGTGCCTGTGTTCCCATAAAAACTTACAAAAACAGGTGCACGGCAGTTTTGTCAATCTAGCTCTGTTCGGAGTCCCTGCTCGGCCCAAAGCACAGACTTGATCATCCTGATTCAGGTCTGCTGTAATTGCTCATCGGGCTGAGTGCAGAACAGAACAGCCAATCCAATTCCCAGGCTCCAATCTCCCAATCTCTACAACTGGGAAATCTTCATGTTCCCTACGACCTCTACTATTAATTGATTCTATACTTTCAATTGATTTCTTTCATCCTCAGCAGGTTTAAAATTAATTTCATAGCATCCTCTCCTCTTAAGAAGCAAACGCACACACTCCACATTCTACTGGACTTATTTGTTTCAAACACACTACTCAATATTCCTCCCTCAACTCAAGCTTGAAACAGCAGTCACCTTCCACTTTTTGCTGGTTCCCCATAAAGTTATCATCTACAAGACTACACCATCACAGTGGATGGCACCTTCCTTCCACCAGAACCTTCTTTCCCTTTTCATGCCTTCCCCCTCATCACCTGACGCAGGAGCAATTCTCCATCTCTGTCATCTCCTGTTTCAGATACTCCTATACCTTCCTAGCAGGTGTATCACCCGAAGGTCAATGCTTACCATGTGGCCCCTACCACAGCTTTCCAAGTGGGCCTCAAGTTTCACCCTGGTCTCCCAGGTACTCTGTAACAGGATGTCAGCTGCCCATCTAGCTTCAGCCCCACCACTCATCGAAAAACCCTGAGCTCCAAGAAGAGGAGAGCTGCTCAACGTGCTTCCAAAGACTCACCACGTTCACTCCTCTCCTCCTGCCTCCACCACCAGCAGAGTGCTTGTCTGCTGGCATCTGTCTGCCACAGCCTTCAAAGGCTGCCCGTCCAGTGCTCAGCTGCCACTGGCTCCAGACGCCTGTGGAACCACTCACATGCCTCACCGCCCCCTGGCCCCAGAGAACAAAGAGAGCCATCTGCATTCACTTCCTCTCCTCATCCAAACCCTAGAGAGCAATGATCATAGAAAAGGACTTCTCCGCAAAAGACTTAGCATAATGTCTTTCAATAGTTGGAGATCAAAAAATGTTTTTTTCTATTAAAAGTAACACAAGCTCATTCTAGAAAACTAAATATAGAGAAATATAAAGAAAATAAAGACAGCCAAAATTCCACCAAAGATTACTGGGTCACTGTTTTGCTAAACAGATAACTATGGCATATCTATAAACGGATATACATAGCAGTGTGCTTTTCTGTTCACTTATTGTTTTCATGTTTCCACAGCAATAAACATATACAGCTAGCCCTCCGTATCCATGGGTTCTGCATCCAAAGATTCAACAAACCACACATCAAAAATATTCAGAATAAAACAATTTTTTAAAATATAATTTTAAAAAGAATAGCAATAACAACTATTTACATATCATTTATTTTATTTTATTTTTATTTATTTATTTATTTTTTTGAGACAGAGTCTCGCTCTGTCACCCAGGCTGGAGTGCAGTGGCATGATCTCGGCTCACTGCAAGCTCCGCCTCCTGGGTTCATGCCATTCTCCTGCCTCAGCCTCCCAAGTAGCTGGGACTACTGGCACCCGTCACCACGCCCAGCTAATTTTTTGTATTTTTAGTAGAGATGGAGTTTCACCGTGTTAGCCAGGATGGTCTCAATCTCCTGACCTCGTGATCTGCCCACCTCAGCCTCCCAAAGTGCTGGGATTACAGGCGTGAGCCACCGCACCCAGCCTATATATCATTTATATTTTTAAAGTATTTCGGAGGATGTGCATAGGTTATATGCAAATACTACACCATTTTATAGAAGGGCCTTAAGCATTAGTGAATTCTGGTATAACTGGGGGTCTTGGAACTCATCCCCATGGATATTGAGGGAAGACTATACATGTACCATCATTTTGAATGGCACCATGATATCACACTGTACGGATACACAACATAAGAATGGGTATTTTGGTGTCTACAGTTTTTCAATACAAAAACAATACCAAAAAGGAGGCCATAACGACACTGTTGAATACATTATTTTTATTTATTATTTTTTTTGAGACGAAGTCTCACTCTGTCACCCAGGCTGGAGTGCAGTGGCACAATCTGCACCCTGCAATCCGCACACACGGCAACCTCCGCAACCCCCGGTTCAAGTGATTCTCCTGCCTCAGCCTCCCAAGTAGCTGGCATTACATGCAGCCACCACTATGCCCCGCCAATTTTTTTTTTTTTTTTTTTTGAGACAGAGTCTTGCTCTGTTGCCCAGGCTGGAGTGCAGTGGCGCCATCTCGGCTCACTGCAAGCTCCGCCTCACAGATTCATGCCATTCTCCTGCCTCACCCTCCCGAGTAGCTAGAACTGCAGGCGTCTGCCACCTTGCCCAGCTAATGTTTTGTATTTTTAGCAGAGATGGGGTTTCACCGTGTTAGCCAGGATGGTCTCTATCTCCTGACCTCGTGATCCGCCCGCCTCGGCCTCCCAAAGTGCTGGGATTACAGGCATGAGCCACTGTGCCCAGGTGGTGAATACATTATCTTTACATGCCTTTTCGTGTGATAAAGTCCCACAGAATGACTTGCTGGGCCAAAGTATATAAATACATACATACATCTATGCATTTCAAAGTCCAACTCATTTCCTCAGATGCCCATTAGATGGCTACACCAACTGAAATTCCCAGCAGCAGCGTGTTCATGGAGTGCGGCTTTACGCGCATTTGAAGAACCAGCTTAGGTTCATCTTGTTACAATACAGGCTCTATTTCTTTGGTCTGGGGTGCGGCCTGGGAGTCTGCATTTCTAACACATACCTGTGTGCCACCAGTCTTGCTGACCCATGCAGCACACTTTAAATGGAAAGGCATGAAAATACCTTTTTCCCTCCCCACCCACCAGATGCCCTCAGTCTTGTCTTATAAGATGACGATGACAATTTTATTCACAGTTGGTGGTTGCTGGGCAGGCCACGTGTCTGTTTTGTACATTTATAAGCCACCTATGTCCATTTTTATGAACTGATTATTCACTTCCTTTGTCTACTTTCTACTGCCCTTCTTATAAAGATTTAAGAACTTTTTAAAAAGACACCTGTGTGAACACTTCCAGTCTCCTGAACAGCTGGCTGAGACAGGATCTGCCGCAGTTTATCCTGGTGGGAGAACAGCGCCCGACCTGCTTTCAGGATGTATAGCTTCAACTGCTGGCACCGCAGCAGGTCCAGGTCCACTTGTCCTGCGGAAGGAAAGACTCAGTGAGAAGGGCGTGCCCTGCTCAGACTCCCTCCTCGCCAGCAGCAAGCCTCCGCCACATGGCGACGAGTAACGCTCTGCCCTTCAGGAATCTGCCGACCGCACACACTGTCCGTGACGAAGGGCTTGCCTTTCCCAGAGTTACACTCGGTGCTTCTGGGTAAGCATCTTCTGCCTCCTGGGTCTTCCTTCCCTGCTCTCCAGGCACCTAACTTGATAGGACGCAGGATTCAATGGGTTTAACACGGTTAGAACCATGTTAGCTACTATTAATATGATCAAATGTTCCCCAAGTTGCTGAAGTTTCAGCCGCTTCCACTCTTCTTCTAAGACTCCTCTGAGAGAATCTGTCAGCCCCACTAGCTCTTTAACTGATGAAGATCGCAGCAATGCCCAAGGCTTATCTGATAGCAGAGGCCGCAGAAGCAGCACAGAGAGCATGGGGTGGGAAGGAAGGAGGGCCGCAGGTGCCGCTCGGACACTGGCTCAACTAACTGGCAGACAGGTTTATTCACCACGATGGGAAACGGCAGCTACTAGAGAAAGCCAGCTGAATTTCGGACATGTGGTGATTTGCATGCACTGCACCTCCAACCAGAGATGTGAATGGGAGATCCAGAGTTGAAAGTGCTTACATCATATATGCTGAAGCAGCAATCGTAGGTCTGTGGGAGCAAGAGGGGAGAAAACTCAAGAAGACTGGGCAGAATATGCCATAGTTATGGGTGAAGCCACACAGACTTCCAGGACATAAAGAATGAGCAGAGAGAAGAGCTCCCTAGAAACATGGAAACAAACTCAGGAGAGCCGCATTCTAGACCCGAAGGAAGGCAAAGCCAAGCCAGGCTACAGTCACAGTCTTAGCCATCCTGAATGTCACAGGCAAGCCAGGCGCTTCCGGGACAGAGGCCCCTGGATCCGGCAGAGAACAGGCTGTGAGCCATGGTCCAACAGGGTGACGGGGCCACAGGGCCCTGGGATGGAGGGGAGGAGGGAAGAGGTGAACAGACTTCTCTTCCGGGATAAAGGGTGACACGGAGAAGAGGGTGTGAGCCATGGGGTTCTTCAAGTGTGGCTCCGAACATGGCGACAAAGGCTGACTCGAAAATACTCATTACCACGAACACAGGGTTACATTCCCAACCGCAACTCAACAAATGGTGAGCCCACGTGAACCCCAGGACTTTGGTATGTCCGTGAATTCACTCATAAAAGAACACTGTACAAACGACACGAGTTTAAGATGGCAGCTATTTCATCAAGAAGCGCCATGTACTGACCTGCAAAGGCCTGTTTAGTCGATTTCTTTATTTTGTGCTTTTCTAACTTGCTTCCAGCGAGGTTCACCAACTGAGCCCAGACAGACAGCATGGGCTCTGTGAAGGGCAGGTTGTTCACATTAAAGGCCACGGCAGGGAGCTGGAGAGGACACAGAAGCTGTCAGAGTGTGGCCAATATGACTAACAAATGAAACGTTCTGAAAGTCATCAAAACCATGGGCTTAATCCTGAAATGCCACACATACCCGTAAGCCTTTTTATAGCTGAGAATAATCATTTTTTAAAATGACATTAAAGGCAGGATAGAGATTTACACATATAATAAGTATAATCTATATTAATTTTTCTTTACAAACCTGTCAACAATAATTACATCAGTGTGGTGGTTACTATCTTCTCAGATATTTTCTATATACTTCAAGTTTTCTACAACATGTATATATTCCTATAATAATAAAAAAGAGTGCTTTATAGAAAATATAGTCAGGCCGGGCACGGTGGCTCATGCCTGTAATCCCAGCACTTTGGGAGGCCGAGGCGGGCGGATCACCTGAGGTCAGGAGTTTGAGACCAGCCCGGCCAACATAGTGAAACCCCCATCTCTACTAAAAATACAAAATTAGCCAGGCGTGGTGGCACACACCGTAATCCCAGCCACTCAGGAGGCTGAGGCAGGAGAATCGCTTGAACCCGGGAGGCAAAGGTTGCAGAGGGCCGACAACATTGTGCCATTGCACTCCAGCCTGGGTGACAAGAGCAAGACTCCATCTCAAAACAAAAAAGAAAAAGAATATATAGTAAGATTGCACTTGGGTTACATCAGAATAATGTAAATGGCTCCTTCTCCCTGTGCATCCTTGATTCACAGATTAAGATGACAGTAGCTGCTACATTAAGTCACGTCACTCAAAACTACTAAGCATTTTCTACATGAAGAAAGGCTGTTTTTTTAAAGGTGTTTAAACATGTTTGTTTTTTTAAAACTTGAGTTGTTGAATAAAAAGTAAACTTCATAAATTCACATTTTAAAATAATTAGAACTACCTCATAGATGCACGGTACCTTCTAGGTTGCTAAAGCCCTCTTCGTGTCTCTGAGGCTGAAATACACACGAACCACTGCTTTAAGTGCCCTGTGAGACAGGCCCTGCTTACCACAGAAGCACAAGCTCACACAGCTTCCTGGAAGGCAAACTTCAAGTACCAGAATCAAGTTCTTTCAAGTGCTGATGTTGGTGCTCGGTTCTAGTGTAAAGTCAATTTCCCTTATCATGCAGTAACTAAGCACAAGTTCACCTACTGGTTTCAGCTGATTCAATGGGCAAACGCGACACGTCCGCATGTCAGAGAACTGCACGGTGATTTTGCCCTTCAGGGTGATGCGAGTCATGGTGACTTCTCCAAAGTCATCGTGCACAACTTGGCCACCCAGGCGCAGGCGACCATCGATGCCTCCAACCACAGCCAGGACCGCCATGAGGCCCCCCACTTCAGGGTTCTCGGAGTCGGGGAAGTAGTCCTCTAACTGGGCCTAGTGCAGACCAAACAGCGAGCTCGACCGGGGACACTCACGGAGCTGCCCAATCCCTACAGGTTTACTGTTCAACTAAATTAATTCTGAGAACACAAACCCACCCCTTCGGAAGGCCTTCCCGCAAAGCTGTGGGTGATGGAGCGGAGCTGGGAGTTGATGTACTTGTTGATGAGCCCATTCCACTGAGTCAGGGAGTGCAGCGTGTGCAGCAGTGCCACCACCTCCTCCACCAGTGTGCTGCTGTGGGTGGCAGTCAGCGAGGCCTGCGGGCACACCCTGCGCCACCTCAGCATGGACTCTGAGGAGGAAACCAGGGGAGAAGCTGCTGCACCGCTCTTCACCAGGGCACAGGGAAAGGAGACGGCCACTCACCTCTGAGTAACGGCACGTCAGAGGAGCACATAGTGAGCAAGCTCCCCAAGAAGTCAAACAGCTTCTCCACGAGGCATTTCATGTCCCTCGCCCTTTCGGTCTTGTCCCATGACGGAAGGACTGCTTGCAACAAATGCACAGCTAAGATCTGATAAAAGAAAATTTACAATGACAAGCATTAAAAAAAATCTGATGAGGAAACTACAGATTGTTATTTTCTTTTTTTTTTTTTTTTTGAGACAGAGTCTCGCACTGTCGCCCAGGCTGGAGTGCAGTGGCACGGTCTTGGCTCACTACAACCACCACCTCCCAGGTTCAAGCGATTCTCCTTGCTTCAGCTTCCTGAGTAGCTGGGATTATAGGCACTCACCACCAAGCCCGGCTCATTTTTTTTGGATTTTCAGTAGAGACAGGATTTCACTATGTTGGCCAGGCTGGTCTCAAACTCCTGACCTCATGATACACCTGCCTCTGCCTCCCAAAGTGCTGGGATTACAGGCATGAGCCACTGCGCCCAGCCTCTCTTTATTTTCTGTTCTCATAATGCAAGTAATCATGTGAAAATTTTGAGATTCATTATTTTACAGCCAGGTAATTACACTCAAGTTGATTAGTGATTAGGATTGTCAGGGACTTTAGAAAAAAGCAACATTACAGATGCATGTGTTTAATTAAAAAAGAATTATTTTTAGTTTAATTCTTAAGACAATTACACTACAAATTCTGTGAAGCAGATGAGTAAGTAGTTGCAGGATTTACCACTTAAGAGAAAAGCAGGTAAACTGAAGGTTAGCAACTTACCAATTATCAAGGACCTCTGCCCCTTGCCTCCAGAAAATCTACCCTGTCACTTCTAGACCCTTTCTGCACTCGTTACTGAATAAAGGCCCCTGACTCTGAGGGCAGGGAACTTCAGTACATGGAGGCCTCTCTCAGGGAACTGGTTTTGCCTGGCAGCACATTACCTGCCTCTGCAGCGAGGTGGCAGTGAAGGGTGCGTGCCCTTCCACGACCTTCATGAGCAGCGTGATCCACTGCAGGGAGCTGAGGGCGCCGCACACCTGCAGCGTGAGAGCGATGCTCTGCACAAACCCCAGCGTGCACCAGCTCCGGTGTTGCTCCCTGTACACCAGCCTGTTTGGAGAAGCTGCAGGAGGGAAAATAGACATGCTTGGTAACAAGTCCCTAAAGACAAATCCCTAAAGATATATCCTTATTTTTTTATCAACTTATTTTCTACAATAAGCTCCTTTAAAATATATTGCAGTTTGTAAATTAATTCAAACTAATTCAAAGTGAGAAGTGGAAGGCGGCTTTTAAGTTAGTTCAAGAAACATTTCCGAAGTTTTCTTTTTTTTTTGTTTTTTTTAGAGATGGGCCCTCACTGTGTTTCCCAGGCTGGTCTAAAACTCCTGGGCTCAAGTGATTCTCCTGCCTTGCCCTGCCGAATAGCTGGGACTACAGGCATTTTTAAAACCTTCTAAATATGTGTCGTAAAAGTAGTTAGGGAATTTTAGCTATGTATTGTTTCTAGGCAATAGGAAAATGATCTATAATTCAAATAGTAATTTGCAACAGTGCATCTATTATATTTTTAATTTCGTGTTTTAAATATCTCCACAATCTTGCTTATATTTAATCTGCACCACTTAAATACTCTTTTTGTAATTTTAGTAGAGACAGTTTCCAATCCAAGTTTAATGCATCTGCATTAACAAAATGAGTTTTTCACTAGGTTTACACCACTGGATTCTAGCACCAGTGGGCCCACCTCTGCTCCGCCTGGCTCCAGGACTCCACTACTCCCTGAATGGAGGCTGAGGCTTGGAGGCTGGGCCCCCTGAGGGACCCCGCCCACAGCCCCACAGGACCTGCTCTCCCTCCCACCTCCCCCACCCTGCCCTCAGCTATCCAAGCTTATGAGGACACCTGCCTTCCTTCAGCACACTCACATGCGCTCACACACACACACACTCACTCTCACACCCTCATATGCATCCTCACACTCACACTGATACTAAGTTATTCAGACACACTCATGGGCACTCATACACCCACCCTCACACTTTCAGGTGCACTCACACCACTGTCGCAATCACTAACACACACACAATCCCAGTCACACGTATGCACAAACAGATGCAAGCTGACACACACTCCCATGCACTCTCACATACACTTACCCCTCCCAATGCATACAAAAACTCACATATGCACTCACACTCCTCAACACTAGTAACGACCGATTACTCACCCACTCACACCTTTACCCACACACTTTCTCACTTTACACTCACACCTATACTGTTATAACCTCCCATTCACTGACACAAGCAAAATGCTCACATTCACTCACACGCATTCACAATAACATCACTCGTGCTCACACTGACACAAGGCACTCATACACATTTACACAAATGCTCGCACTCAATCGCACACTTACACTTGTGCCTGCCACCCACTCATACTTCCTCACACTCACCAACCCTCACTGACTTACACTTACACTGGGTGTCTCATTCGCACACCCAGTAATCCCCTCACACTCACACTCATGCCTCCCTCGTGCTCACCCTCACACACACACTGGCTCAATGCACTGACGCTTTCACTCCCACTTCACCTGAATGTAGTCACCTGCCCACTCACATGCTCTCATGGACACACACCCACACAACCACATGCTACAAACACACCATCACACTTGCAACACAAACGCTCAGCCACTTGCCCATCGACCACTAACACACTCACTCTCATCAATATGTGCGGACGCTCCAGCACACCACTAATACACGCATGCTCTCACACACACACTGGAGGACGCCCACATACCCACCCACACTCACATGTGCTCACTCGCAGTCACATGCACACTCACCCCACTCCCTCAGCTCACATTTCTCATACTTACTCTCCACACACACAAACACTTTATGGATTAAACTGTGCCTGTCCTCCAACTTCACATACATTCGGAACCTCAGAATATGATCTTATTTAATGAGGTCTCTGTAGACGTCATTAAGGTAAGAATTTAGGTGACATCATGTTGGATTAGAGTCAAAGAAACTCAATGAAAGAGTCCTTTCAGAGACAGAAAAGGACATGCAGAACACAGGGGCAGGGGCCATGTGAAGACGCAGGCAGAGACTGGCACAATGCGTCCCAACACCAAGGAAGCCTGGAGCTCCCAGAAGCTGGACAAAGTAAGGAAGGACCTTCCCCTAGAGCCTGTGGAAGAAGCATGGCCCTGCCCGCACCTGGATTTGGGACTTCTGGTCTCCAGAACTCTGAGAGAACAAATTTGTTGTTTGAAGCCAGTGTTACGGGTTGAATTCAGAATTGCAAAATTCGTATGTTGAAGCCCTAACCCCTATCGTACCTCGGCAGGTGACCTTGTTTGGAAATAGGGTCGCTGCAGATGTAATCAGTTTGATGAGGTTGAATGATGTCCTCATGAAAAGGGGAGATTTGGAGGCGACTCACACACAGGGAGAATGCCATGTGAAGATGACGGCAGAGATAGGGGTGACACCTCTACAAGCCGAGGAACGCTAAAGAGACCAGTAAACTCCAGAAGCTGGGGCAGAGCCCTGAAGCAGCTTCTCCCTCACAGCCCCAGAAGGAACTACCCTTGATCTCAGCCTTCCAGCCACCAGAACCGTGAGAATTTCTACTGTGTAAGTCCCCAAGTTTGTATACTTTGTTACAGCAGCCACAGGAAAGGAATCCACACACATCCACACCCACCCACATGCACACCCAGACACGACAAGCGTGCGGCCCCCAGCGCTGACTCCCTGGGCCCTCGATCTCTCATTCCATACATGTCTTGTCCGTCATTCCGCTTTCCACTAACATTTGCAGCAGTCCGCATAAAGTCTTGGTGGCTTCACTCTGCATGATCTCAGCATGAACTCCAGCAGACAGACAAAGAGTCTGCAGTAAGTTAATAGTGCTGGTAAACATCATTGCAGTGGGGTGAATGTTCCTTTCAGTTTGTTCGGCTTCTAAAAAAAATAATCAAAATTACAAATTATATTGGCAGCCCCAGCCTCTTGGATGGTCTTACCAAGCCCAACCATGTGAAGCTTCACGTGTTTTAGGAACAGCTAAGAAATGTCACGAAACCTCCTCCCACAACCTGGATCTCCACAGATAGGATCTAGCTTTCTTGGTCCACCCCTAAATTCTCACCTCTGCTTCCCTAGAAGCGATAAAGTGCTGACTAACTCCACATTACATGAAGAGTTCAGAGTCAGGGACCACAGAGGAAAGGTAAAGGCAGGTGGCAGGTGGGGTGTGCTTGGGCAGGGGCTCTCACTGGAGGAGGACGCGATGGACCGAGACCGCAGGGCAATTCCACCAGGCCTCGGCTCACTCGCTCAGATGCAGGCTCAGCACCAACCACATGAGACTCACTGGTGATGCAGCTGCCCCCACCTGGCCACCACATTCTCAAAGAGGGGCGGGTGCACACATGAGAGGAAAATGCAGAAAGTCAGTTCCAGCCAGATCGCCGGATCCCACAGTCACTCCACACACCTGCATCGGAGGTGCCTGGGAGCTTATTTAAATTACAGGTTCCGAGGACAGAGCGCCAGCTGCAGGTGTGTCCTGACATCCCATTCTAAGGCCCAGATGGCAGTGGCAGCACCCAGCAACTGGACAGTTTGTAGGCTGCCTTGGACTAAACACCTTCCTGAGTCACCCACCAGAGTCGTCCTCTGTGTCCGAATCCTCTGCTGAGGGCTGTGCAGGGGCTGGCAGCTCTGCCAGCTTGAGGTCGTATTTTCCTTCTTTCCCCATCCTGTAGGAGTTGGTGCTGCCTGTGTCCCACTGGACTCTTATCCACCCGTCCTCTCCCAGCTCACCAATCACTCGGCCTAGGCCTGGAGGAGGCCCATCCTGAGAAAGCCAAAGTAGAGATCAGTTAGGAGGGTGCGTAACCTGCCCTGGTCCTTCCATGGCTCCCAGCAGACCTCAGTTAGGAGGGTGTGTGCCCTGCCCTGGTCCTTCCATGGCTCCCAGCAGACCTCAGTTAGGAGGGTGCATGCCCTGCCCTGGTCCTTCCATGGCTCCCAGCAGACCTCAGTTAGGAGGGTGTGTGCCCTGCCCTGGTCCTTCCATAGCTCCCACCAGACCTCAGTTAGGAGGGTGCGTGCCCTGCCCTGGTCCTTCCATGGCTCCCAGCAGACCTCAGTTAGGAGGGTGCCTGCCCTGCCCTGGTCCTTCCATGGCTCCCACCAGACCTCAGTTAGGAGGGTGCGTGCCCTGCCCTGGTCCTTCCATGGCTCCCACCAGACCTCAGTTAGGAGGGTGCGTGCCCTGCCCTGGTCCTTCCATGGCTCCCACCAGACCTGCCACACAGATGTCGCCATATGCCACCCTGTCTGTCAGGGGCTGTCCCCAGACACAGATTTCACCTCTCCTACAAAATGTGTGCTTGCATCATTTTAAATTAAATGGCATAAAATAACGTGCTCATGCTGCTTTACCAAGGAAGTCGGGGAAATCTCATCTCAATGAGGATCCTCTGAGTCAATGCAGAGACAGGGCTTTGCAGCAAGTCCTGTCCCCACAATCCCTCACGGGCCTTGCAAGAGCGGAAACCTGAAACAAGCACCAGCACCTCCACATTCCCTTTGCTTCAGTTTCCCCTGGGCCCCAGGGGGAAGCTCTGTCTCTCACTTCTGCAGGAGAAAGCTGTTTCTAGGATGGATGCTGTCTCCAGACACTGCTATTTCTAAGATGACTGTGACAAAGCCAGGGCTTACCAGCGTGGCTGAGAAAAGCCAGACAGACCATGGGAAGGTGAACACTGCCCTAACTTAGCTAGGGCTGTGGTAAGTGACTTCCACCTGGGGGCACCTGGCAGAGATTTAGAAGAGACCTGCGATGAGGGAAGATGGAAACGTGGCCACAGGCCCATGAAGTAGATCCCTAACTACTGGCTTCAGGGCACTTCGCAGCACATGGCCATCAGCCCACAGGGGCAGCATCTGGGCTTCCTGCCTCAGAGCCTTCACTACACCAACTTTCAGAATGAGATTTACTCTCTTGCTCACTCTCACACTCTTGTTCCAGTGACCCATCAAACTGAGCCTCATGCCAGTGAGTTTCCTGAAAAGAGCTGCCTCTCTTTCCAGACTTGATTCTGCTCAGATGCCCTACTTATGATTCCCTGTTTGTGTTCACTCCCTTCAGCTGCTCGGGAACCAACACCTGTGTCATCGATCAACTGACACATCCTGGATTATTCCAATTTCCACCCACCAATATCGTACAGAACTATGCAGAAGATAACTAATGTGTGGCTAATGTGTTCACATCAAATCTCTGAGTACCTGATCGCCCCATTTCCAGTCCACACCTCTCATGACCCTTGTTCCAATCTTCATCATGGCAGCCAGTTCTGGCCCTGAAACAGGGAGCTGCACAGGAGCCGTTTCCTTCCTTGTTTCTTCCAAAACTGTGGCAGAAGCACCTTGAGCAGAAGCATTCATATCTTCCTCAACGTTGTCACAACTGGGGCCTGACGGAGCGTCAAAAACAATAGCTGAGCCAACAAGTAGCTACAGTGTCCCCTTAATACACACAAAACATTCACAAAGTACTAATGAAGATCGTAATTTTGAACAATCCATACTATATGTTTTATCAATATAATATTATGAATATTTTACTGATATAGGATAAAAAGAAGATAAACGGAAGGATGAAATACATAAATATCCTAGGAAGATATAAAAGATATTAAAATGCTCAGTAAAGCTACTTTCTCTACTTCTAGGAATTACTCCCCTGAAAAAAGCAAAATAACTGAGTTAGAAAGATCCTCATCACATTTTTTATTAATAGAAAAACAAAGATAACTACCTAAATATCTAACAGTGGGAAACTAACAAACTTTAATCATGGTTCTGTGCAGAAGACAGCTAACAGCTGGCCCGAGATACAACCTCAGACAGGGTTGCTGCAGGCTGGCCCTCAGCTGGAGTCTGGATCTCAGGAGGGCTCCCCCATTCCCTAGGTGGTAGGTGTGGTTCCCTGTGCCTGAACTGTCTGTACAAACAATGGGGTCTGTGCTGAAACCTGCTTTCCTTAGTCTGGAACTTGGTACACGCCAGGCAGGGGGTGCCCGTGTGATCAGTCCTGATGGAAACCGTGGGCCTGGAGTCTCTACCCAGCTTCCCGGCAGACAGCACTTGACACGGCTCGGTGCCAGGGCAGTTAAGCTCGTCCTGTGTGGATCCTGTGGAAGCTTGTACCTGCTTTCCTCTGGACTTTACCCATGTCCTTTTTCATGATTTTGCTCTGTGTCCCTTCACTGTAATAAACTATAGCCCTGAGTACAACTACATGCTGAGTCTTGTGAGTCCTCCTGGCCAACCATCAAACCTGGGGGTGGTCTCGGAGACCCCTGACAATTGGTGCCCTGGGTGGCTACAGAGTCATCCATAGCACAAAACAGAAGCCGAGCTGCTGTCACCTGAGAGAAGTAAAACTTCCCAATGGATCTGAAAATAGGAGCGCTAACCCTAGGAGAGTAGGCTAGATTTTTAACCCCCCTTTTCCCACTTGCTAAACTGAGAGGGGGTAGGAGTGTGGTTCTGGTAACTCCCTTGATTTTAGTTTTCTCCTCCAGGTGGGAGGGAAAAAGATCCAAACAGTCCCAAAGGTGGGCTGGGGTGGACCAAAAAATGTAAAAAGTTTGTGTTTCTCTCTCTTCCAAGAGAACAAAAAAGGATATTCAATTCCCAGGGCTGGAGCAAAACTTTAGATAAACTAGCAGCAGAAACAGCCTTTCCTTTAGCCTAGCCGCTACTTTAGGGCCCCCAGGAAGGAGCCCCAAGGAAGGGACAGGAGTTGCATTCCAGGTGGATCTCCCAGGATCCCCTGGGCAGCTATACTGTTAACTCTGTAAAGACTGAATTTATTGCTAAGGGCTTGAATAAATTTGCAACCAAAACCGGGGGGAATTTTTTTATTTTACATAGCTTTATGTTTTGTGGCTGTTACATGTGGATGTATACATTAAGCTGGTATAAAATATTATATGTTTATAATTTCTTAAATGATAAGAAGGATACCCTGATCAGGGCAAGCTGCAAATATAGACGGATATTCATGAGACACAACTTCCTTGCTTTTTGCAGCCAGTGGGCCAGATGAAATTTAAACACATGAATATTATCAACAGAACAAGTCCCCATACTTAATGATTTGTGCTGTGATTTTTACTTATGGGAACCTCTGGGGGAAAAGTAGACAACATAAAAAGGCCATTTCTCGATGGAGATATGCTTTTGTAATTTTTAAATGCAACTTTTGGTTGCTAATGAGGCCTCAGGAAATCAGATATAACCCTTACTAGATAATTCTTTTCAGCTGTAATACACATATTAAAATATATATTTAACATAATACAACATATAAACATAATATATAAATTAAAAAATAATTATATATATATATATAGAGAGAGAGAGAGAGACAGACAGACAGACAGATAGATAGAAAGATTCCACCCACCCCCAAGACAGGATTTCACTCTGTCACCCAGGCTGGAGCCCAGGCTGGAGTGCAGTGGCTTGATCTCCGCTCACTGCAACCTCTGCATCCCTGGCTCAAGCAATCCTCCCACCTCAGCCTCCCAGGTAGCTGGGACCACAGGCACACACCACTATGCCCAGCTAATTTTCGTATTTTTTGTAGAGAGAGGGTTTCGCTATGTTGCCCAAGTTGGTCTCAAACTCCTGAGCTCAAGCAATCCACCCGCCTGAGCCTCCCAAAGTACTACGATTACAGCCTGGCCTGATACATATTTTTGAATGGATTAATGTGAACTCTAAAACTGATGTGATTATAAGAGCTTGGGAAAACCTTGCTTTTTCACTGTGACTTTGACAACTGGCCCTGCAGCATCTCAGTTTTAGCCAAAGAACACCACCATAAACCAATCAGATCTAATAGACATATACAGAACATTTCACCAAAAAGAGCAGAATACACGTTCTTCTCAAGTATACCACAGGACACTCTCTTAGACTGACCAGACCATATGTTAGGCCACAAAGTCTCAAATTTAAACAGACGAAAATCATACAAGTTACCTTCTCCAACCAAAAGGAAATGATGAGAAATTAATAACAAAAGGAAAAGTGGAAAATTCACAAGTATATGAAAATTAAACAACACATGGTAAACAATCAGTGGGTCAAAGAAGAAATCACAAGGGAAATTAGAAAATACTATGAGATGAATGAAAACACAACACACCAAAACTTCTGTGCTGGGCCAAAAGCAGGGCTAAAAGGGGCAATTATACTATAAAAGTCTGCATTTACAAAAGATGATCTCAAATCAATAACTCTACATCTGGAAGAACTAAAAAAATAAGAACACAATAAAAACCAAAGTTAGGCCAGGTGTCGTGCCTCACACCTGTAATCCCAGCAACTTTGGGAGGCTGAGGCAGGTAGATAACTTGAGCCCAGGAGGTTGAGGCTGCAGTGAGCCATGAGTGCGCCACTGTACTTGGGCCTGAGGGACAAAGTAAGACCCTGTCTCAAAACAAAGACAAAAACAAAAACAAAAAAATACAAAGCAGAAAGAAGGAAACGATAGAGATTAGAGCAGCCATAAATTAAATAGAGAATAGAAAAATAATCTACAAAACCAAAAGTTCGGTTTCTGGCAAGAACAAAAAATCTGACAAACTTTTGGTAAATTAAGAAAAAAAGAGGCCAGTCAAGGTGGCTCACGCCTCTAATCCCAGCACTTTGGGAAGCTGAGGTGGGCGGATCACAAGGTCAAGAGATTTAGATCATCCTGGTCAACATGGTGAAACCCCATCTCCACTAAAAATACAAAAAAAATTAGCCAGGCCTGGCGGCAGGCGCCTGTACTCCCAGCTTACTTGGGAGGCTGAGGCAGGAGAATCACTTGAATCCGGGAGGCGGAGGTTGCAGTGAGCCAAGACTGTGTCACTGCACTCTGGCCTGGCAACAGAGTGAGACTCCATCTCAAAAAAAAAAAAAAAAAAAGAAAAAAAAGAGAAAAGATGCAAATAACTAACATCAGAAATGTAAGTGGAGACAGTACTACCAACATAAAAATAAAAAAGATTATAAAAGAACACTGTGAACAACTGTATGCCAACAAATAAAATAGCCTAGATAAAATGGACACATTCCTAGAAACATAAATTACCCAAACTGACTCAAGAAGAAATAGAAAATCTGAATAGAGCCATAACAAGTAAAGAGATTGAATCGGTAATTAAAAATCTTTCAGGCCAGGCGCCGTGGCTCACGCCTGTAATCCCAGCACTTTGGGAGGCCGAGGCGGGTGGATCACGAGGTCAGGAAATCGAGAGCATCCTGGCTAACACAGTGAAACCCCGTCTCTACTAAAAATACAAAAAATTAGCCGGGCGTGGTGGCTGGCGACTATAATCCCAGCTACTCAGGAGGCTAAGGAAGGAGAATGGCGTGAACCCGGGAGGCGGAGCTTGCAGTGGGCCGAGATCACGCCACTGCAGTCCAGCCTGGGCAACAGTGTGAGACTCCGTCTCAAAGAAAAAAAAAAAAAAAATCTTTCAACAAAGAAAAGCTTAGGTGGTCAACTCTACCAAACATTTAAAGCTGAACTGACACCAATCCTCAAACTCTTCTAAAAACAGAATATATGGGAACACTACCTAGTTCATTCTATGAGGCCATTATTACCCTGATAACTGTAAAACAATAAAATATTGCTGAAAGAAATTAAAGAGGACAGAAATAAATGGAAAGACATTCCACATTCAGAGAATGGATGTTAACATTGTTAAAATGGCACTATTCCCCAAAACAATCTACAGATTCAATCCCTAGCAAAAATCCCAATGGTCTTTTTTTGCAGATATGGAAAAGCCAGCCTTGAAGTTCATGTGAAAATGCAAGGGACCCAAAGTAGCCAAAATCATCTTGAGAAAGAAAACACACTTCTCAATTTTAAAACAGTACAAAACTACAATGTTCAAAACAGGGCGGTACCTGCACAATTATCAACATATAGAATGTGATAATGTAATTGAGAGTCCAGAAATAAACCTAAATATCCACAGCCAACTGATTTTTGCCAAGGGTACCCAGAACTTCAGGGAAAGAACAGTCCTCAACAAGTGGTATTGAAACAATCAGATCAACAAAAGAAAAAGGCTGGACTCTTACCTCACACTGTGTAAAAGAAATTACCTAAAAATGGACCAAAGATCTAAATATAAGAGCTGAAACTATAAAACTTACAGAAGAAAACATGAGGATAATCTTCATCAACCTTGTGTTTGGAAATGGCTTTTTGGATATGATATCAAAAGCATAGACGACAAAAGAGAAACAGATAAATTGAACTTCATCAAAATAAAAAACTTCTCTATCTAAGGGAATACAATCCAGAGAACAGGAGAAAATACCCTCAAATGATATACCTGATAAAGGTCTACAGATCTGTGAAGGTCTAGTATACACGAACTTTTTAAAGAGTCTGAGGACTGGTGTTAATTCTTCTTTAAAGGTTTGATACACTTATATAGTGCATTTATTGGTACAACAAGATGACGACAAATAACCCTATTTAAAAAGGAGAAAGGGGCTGGGCGCAGTGGCTCACGCCTGTTATCCCAGCACTCTGGGAGGCCAAGGCAGGCAGATCACCTGAGGTCAGGAGTTCCAGACCAGCCTGGCCAACATGGCGAAATCCCATCTCTACTAAAAATACAAAAGTTAGCCAGGTGTGGTGGTGTGTGACTGTAATCCCAGCTACTTGGGAGGCTGAGGCACAAGAAGTGCTTGAACCCGGGAGGCGGAGGTTGCAGTGAGCCGAGATCGTGCCACTGCGCTCCAGCTTGGGCGACAGAGTGAGACTCCGTCTCAAAAAAATAAAATAAAAAATAAAGAGAAAGGGACTTGAATAGACACTTCTCCAAAGAAGATATACAAATGGCCAACAAGCACAAACATGTAAAGAAGCTCAATGTCATTCATCATTAGTGAAATGCAAACCAAAATCACAATGAGATACCACTTCACACCCGCTAGGATGGCCTTAATCCAAAAAAAAAAAGAAAACCACAAAAAATAGTGTTGGCAGGGAAGCAGAGAAACTGGAACCCTGGAATCCTGCCCACTGGTGATGGGAATGTAAAAATGATATGGCACTGTGGAAAACTTTGGTAGTTTCTCAGTAAGTTACACATAGTTGTACCATATGACCCTGTAATTCCAGTCCTAGGTGTATAATCAAAAGAACTAGAAACAAGTGTTCAAACAAGTACTTGTATATAAATGTTCCTAGCAGCACTATTCACAAAAGTCAAAAGGCAAAACCAACCCAAATGTCCATCAACAGATAAATGAGTAAACAAAATGTTATATATTCATACAATGAAATCTTTTTCAGCCATAAAAATAAAGTACTGATATATACCAAATGAAATAACCCAGACACAAAGGCCACAAATGGTATGATTCCATTTATATGAAATATCCGGGATATGCAAATCCATAGACAGAGAAAGCAGATTTGTGACTACCAGGGGCTGGAGAGCAGGGGAGTGAGGACTGATGGCTAAATGGGGTGCATTTATAGTGATGAAAAAGTTCTACAACTAGACAGTGGTGATGACTCTAGAAAATTGTGAATGTATTTAATACCGCTGAATTGCGACGTTAAAATGCTACACTTTCTGCTATTTGTGTCTTACCATAATTTACAAAAAGCTTTTTTTAAAAAAAAGAAAGAAAATAAATCAAAGCAAAATCTTGACGTTTTCCCAAAGGCTCTCAAGCCAGTGCAGACCTACCAATCAGGCGCAGTGCCGTCTGAGCGAGGGCCAGCGTGCCGGAATTGAGCAGGAGGTCAAGGTTGTTTGCGCTGTGCTGCAGGGTGAGCATGCTGAGCATCACCAGGAGGAAGTGGGCTTGCGGGATGGTCCCCAGGCTCGGTCCCGATGGGTTCTCATTGGTGATGGTTTGCAGGGGAACCGGCTGGATACCTAATGAGCATTGGCACCCACTGACATTTCTTGTAATGGATACAAGAATAAATGTAATGCAGAAAGCACGGGCAATTACTCTAAACATCTGACTAATAAGCACTGACACCCACTGACATTTCTTGTGCGTGGATACAAGAATAAACGTAACGCAGAAAGCATGGGCAATTACTCTAATCATCTGACTATTTTGACACCCACTGACATTTCTCTCGCATGGATACAAGCATAAACGTAACGCAGAAGGCACGGGCGATTACTCTAAACATCTGACTATTTTTCAGTGGTTTCCACAGAGTGGGCAGCTCTGTCATGCTGCACGATGGGCCTACCCCCTGCATTCTATGCACAGGTCGTTCCATCTGTCTACAGGACTTAGTATGTTGCTCTCTGAATACACCGGTGCCCTATTCCATTCCTTCCATTTCAAATATAAAAGTTATGTCTCACTTTTCCTCCATAAAATCAATCCAATCAACTCTCTGTAGATGCTCAAACTATCCAGGAAATAAATATCAATATAGGACACAGACACTTTAGGATATGTGGTGATACACATAAAAATGTCAAAATGTAAAAATGTTATACTAGAGTACTTCAACATTGTGTCTCCTGCTAAATTTTAAAGTTTTGTTTAAAATCTGAGAAAGCTGACAGCAGCATAGATTATACAAGTACAAAGTACAAACTTATTAAAGTCTTCTCAAAACCAAAAATTGGCATTTGCAAGTTTCCACAACATATAATTAAAGGCAAACTATAAAATAACATTGATACAATTATTGACTCACCAAGCTCTTTAAATTTGGCACTGGCATCCACCAAAACATTTCGAATGTTCTGAACAGCCCAAGCGTACAGCTTGCCAAAGGTGACTTCCAGCAGCATCCGATTAAAAGGCGGGATCAAATCAACATCCTTTAAACAATCAGTAAGAGGTTCCCTTTCAAATAAAGATAAAGAATTTGACTTGGGACACTGCCAGACTTCTAACTGTTACAGAAAAACATTCTGTTGCCACAGCTTCCTTAATTAAGAAAAAAATATGCTAACGTTTTACCCTATATCGATTCCCTCAGGAATAAGTCTTTGCCATCCACAAAACATTGCATATGGCACAGATGGAAGTAAGAAATTCTTGCTCACCAGATACAATTTTAAAATTGTATCTATCCCTTCCAGGCGAACCTCTGCTCTCTCCAACTGCAAAATATCAATGCATACAGTTAAGTGTTATGTATATTACCCAATGCAGAGAAGCATTTCTCATCAAATGTTACCTGTTTTAGTAGGCACTTTCTCTTTTCCACATCCACTGGCTCTTCTTTAAGGGCAAATTCAGCAATTGTACTGAGGAGTGGAGACTGCGGATAAAGACCCTGCACATTCTGCTTCAACCACTTGTATTTGTGAACACCTGTAACAGTACTCAACAGCGGCTGCCATTTGTCCTAACAAAGGAAAACAATTTTCATCATTAGTCTACCCTATTTAATAATAAACTGTGCTCTAAAAGTTATTCAAGTAAAATATAAATAATGCTTATGGGTTTAAATTGGTTAAAATACGTTAAATTTAGTAATACATGTTTTTAAAACTATGCTATAAATATAAGTGAATTTATAATCTCTATACTATATGTTGGAACAGGCTAGCTTGGCATACTAAGTTAAGTTATGGTTCATATTAACAGCCACAGGGCCCAGCACTGTTTCTGGAACAAAGAATATATTTAAGGAATGAATGGTGAATAATTAATGATACAATCTAATACCAAAAATAAAAGGAAACCCTTCTCCAGCTACAGCTCTGACCAGGACATCATAAGTCAAGTTCATGAAGCATCACTGGGGCCGTATTTCTAACAACCGCCCGTCCCTCCCTCCAGATGCTCAGGTACAGAGGTACAAGACTGTGGATTCCTGTGCTACATGCTACGATTCTATTCAGCCAACCTCAGAATCACAGAAAATACTGCACCTTGGGTGATTTAATTGCAATGGGTCTCTTGTCCACATTTATTGGACTATGAGGCAAAATGCAAGCTTCTTCTAAATCACTCTCTTCGTTTCCAATTTTTTCTTCATCATCCGTAGATTCTGGCTTCTTAGGAACTGTGTTTTAAAACATCATTCACTATAAAAATCATACACTTAAATATTAATTTTAAATTAAGACATATTTAGATTTACATGAAGGACAAATATTTCATTCAAATAAACATCTGAACAACATTATAAATTGCAATGCTCAACAAGAGTGAAATGATCACCCTGGCAGAACAAAAAGACAAAGTGAGAGTGCGACGAGGGGAGAAGCCCCGAAGCAGGGGAAGCCCGGCAGCCAGCAAGCTCTTCCTCAAGTGCCAGAGAGTGAACATTTGAGTCTTTCAGGCCATGCTGTCTGTCGCAAATACTCAACTCTGCTGCTGTAGCACAAAAAGTAACCACAGATAAAGCAACAGGTGTGGCTGTGCTCCTGTAAAACTTTATTTATGGTGCTACAATTTTAGCTTCATGTAATTTTCATGTGCCAAAATAATATACTTCTTTTAATTTTTAAATAACAATTTCAAACTGGAAAAAAAAAAAAGGTCTTAGTCCATGGGCAACCCAAAGCCAGCAAGAGGTAGAATTTGGCCCATAGTTCCTGGCTTGTCCACCCTGGTCCAGTTCAGTGGTTCTGTTACTGTGTAACTGAATCAACTGAATTCACTGTGATATGTGGAATTTCCTCCCTATACTTTATCTCTTTTAAAATTTTTGGTCTAAATCTCCTCAGCATATAATATAAAAAATAAGCAACATGATAATACATCTGGGCAGTAAAGAGCTAACATAGCAGGCCGGGGTTGCTCAAACCCTGCAAATTCCCAAGGAAGGTCTGTCCCTTCAGGATTGGTCCTTCTTCTAGGAGCTGAGCTCTGAGCCCTTGGAACATCCTGCCTGAGAAGTTTTTTGGTATACCTGACACCCAGGACCTTGTGGCAGTGGTCTGGCCAGGTAGTTTATGCTAATGATGGGACTTGCGAGGGACCACTTGTTTTTGCACTGGGGCACTGGAGCCTGAGTGAGGTCAGTCACAGGGGCACTGCCTGCGTATGTGACTGGCCCCCAACAAAATCTCTAGACTCGAGGCTCAGGTGCGCTGGCCTGGTTGACAATTCTTCACACATGATGTGACACTGTTGCTGGGAGAGCTAAGCACATCCACGTGACGCCACTGGGGAGAGACACCAAAGCGTGTGCCTAGTTTCCTCTGGACTTCCCTCCATGCACCCTTCCCTCTGCTAATTTTAATCTGTATCCTTTTTGCAGTAAAAACACAGCTGTGACTATAACAGCTCTTCTGAGTCCTTTTAGTGAATCATCAAGCCTGAGAGAAGGCTCGGGGATCCCTGACACAGCAACAGGAATATTAATCACTTAATCTTTTCAAGTTACTTAATTTCCAAAAAAAAAAGAAAACCAGCTTGAAACACCACACGATAAATCTATAAACCCACAAGAAACTCTAAAAGTGACAGTGTGGGCTCAGAACCCACGGATATGAGATGGCAAATGTGGAGTCTCTCTCCCTCATTCCGAGGCAGCCTGTCTCCTGGGCCCAGGCTGAGTTCCTGCATGCCTGGGTTAAAGGAATCGCAGCAGTGTGACTGCTGTGACTTCCTGATCCAGAGCACCCCTCGCATTCAGACAGGCTGTTATGGTGTAGGGTTTGTTCAGGAACAATCAAATTAGGATGGCTTCTAACACACTTTAGTCTTTCATAAGCTTATTGTTCAAAATGCCCATCAGAAAGTCAGTAATCAATACTGTTCAATAAGCAGGTTTGTGAGTAAATCAGTATAAGTCATAATATGATCAGAGGCCAGGCGCGGTGGCTCACGCCCGTAATCCCAGCACTTTGGGAGGCCGAGGCAGGCAGATCACGAGGTCAGGAGATCAAGACCATCTTGGCCAACATGGTGAAACTCCGTCTCTACTAAAATATAAAAATTAGCCAGGAGTGGTGGCGCGTGCCTGTAATCCCAGCTACTTGGAAGGCTGAGGCAGGGGAATCGTTTGAACCTGGGAGGCGGAGGTTGCAGTGAGCTGAGATCGCACCACTGCACTCCAGCCTGGCAACAGACCAAGACTCCATCTCAAAAAAAAAAAAAAAAAGGATATAATCAGAAATTTCTGTAGTTTATTTATAATCACAAGTGACTAAATTCTAAACTATTTTATAATTTCTAAGCATTTTTATTCAAATTTGGATTTAATGCAAAAAGACTTTTCTGTACCCTTACACAGCTACTTCCAGGAAAATGTCAGTAACTCTTTTAGCTTCCCTTTATAGTTCTTCATGTATCAGAATACTCAATATTTCCAAACAAAAAACATTTCTTTAGAAGAATGGCAATAAGTTTAAATGTTCCCATTATATCTCATTACCAGGATAACTAATAAAAGTACTTCCTTGTTCCCATCAATTTAGCAAAGATTATTTACGTTTTCAACATCAATTTACTAGTAATCAAATCATACCACACTCAATTCCTAAACTGCCTCATTGTCTGATCATTTGGAAAAATAAGCGAGATGTCTGTATTTAATCCTAACTATAATAAAAATGATGGCAGCAGGTAGAAATGTTACATGGAATCAACAGTAGAGAAACTTCACTCTGAAATCACAGATCCAACGTGGCAGGGTGAAGCACAAGCTTTAATAGTATCTTCTGTCCTTTTACATTCTTACCTCTCTTTTTCCTTGGTTCTCGAATTATCTTCTGAGCTATCCTCCTCCAATGGGGCAAAGAACTTAACAATTTAAACTTAGACATTATAGAGAGGTCATTACAAACAGCAGGTCTCAATTCATTAAAGAGGAATCTCAAACGTTCGATGACAGGAGCGCAGACCTCCTTGTAAGAACGGTCCTGTTCTTGATGAGTCTGCAAAGTTAACCAGGAAAAGACAACTTTAACAACAAATATTTCAGCAACTGTCTGCAAAGCACAGAATAAAAAGAATTAAAATCTATCACCTTAATGAGCGAACATTTTGCTTGGTAGACAACTCTACAAACATCCACCACTGACTTAGGCAACGTTCTGTGCTTTACTTGCTCAATACCAAGTGCACCTGCATGAACTAAAGATAATGCCACATGACCTGTAAAAAGACATTTAAAAGAAGGGCAGTGAAGGAATGAATACGTACCACAGGTTAGTCGAGGAATCTGCAGTGTAGCTAAAGTACAAAGATATTGAGCTCCTTACCTAAATCTTCATGTTTTAAGAGGCAACATAACAGCAAGCGACCGACCTCTTCCACGGGATGCTCGGGGGGAAACATGATCGGTGTGGTCAAATGGCACTGCCTACAGTACCTTTCTATTTGACACAAAAAGTCCTGCAACAGGAACAGCTGGAAGTAACTTCAGGGAAACCCAGTGAGTCTTCACAAATCTTAAACATGCCACAGCTTCTGACGCACTTGCAATCACTAATGCTTCTGAAGCCTCGCTAGCATGTTAACACAATCAGGTTCTCACCTCAAAACCCTCCAAATAATACATGAAACAAAGTCTGTGCTGTGTTAACCAAAGAGCACATAAGTATTCCTATGTCAAAGTCCTCAGATAAACAGAGCACTGAGGTGGCAGTGGGGGCAGGCCTAGCTCACCTTCACGTTGTGATCCTGAATGTTGTTGTCTGCAATGGCTTGCAGAAATGCCTGGGAATGGTCCCCCAGGGCCCGTCTGTGGGAGCAGAGTCGAGATTTGCTGGCAGGTGTGCCCCCTGGGGAGCTGCAGTGGTCCTCGTCTTTCTCCTCGTTGTAGCTGTAGTGGATCTGGCTGGTCTGCAGGCCTCCAGAGAAGATGGATGACTGAAGCCATTCTAGAAAATGCACACGCAAACATGAAAGAGAAACTCAAGTGCACAACTCAAAATAAATACTAAAAAAAAAAAAAGATGCTCAACTGAACACTCAATTTAGAAGGTGAAATTCAGCATCATTCATATGAAAGAGCTCCACCTAACATGTTTACACAGGTTGACTTATAATTCCTCTATCTACGTGAACACACTTTCTGGTGATTCCACACGCCTCAGGCATGGCATCAGAACTCAGGATCGTAGTTCCAGTCCAACATTCTCTGGATACCTGTGCTCTGCCTGCAGCTGCCTGGTTCCACAGGTACCGTGTGAAGACTGAGGTGCACATTCTAACAGGGAAGGCAGCAAAGGGCACCGCTGACACAATTAATCACAGGATTTCAAGTCCAAAACTGTGCAACAGATGACTATGGGGGTACCAGGGAGACTGGAAGACAGACCACCGCTATTCTGAGGGTCAGTGAGGGACTTGTGGAAGCAACAACTGAGCTAAGATGAGGAATAAGACCCAGACGCTGAGTATCCAGGCAGGGAACAGCACATCTGAAGGGTTTCTACAAAGAATTACATCCTCAGGGTAGGCTATGTATTCCTAGAGCACTTATAAAGGAATGAAAAGGAGAAAATATTTAAGAAACACACAATCTGTAATGAAGGATAGATCCTTGGAGATGGGAGGGCCGATGGACTGGAAAGGAGACCTGTGCGTGGTGCAAGGCATGGGATCAACCAGTGCGAATGTTAATTACAACTGCTTATGGCAACTTGAGGGAGTGCACCACTACAGATCTCTATTAACAATCTGTGTTATCAAATACTGCTCCAAATCCAAGCAATCAAAGCGGGATGCACTTAGTGTTCTTTTACTGGACATTTAGATTTTAGAGCACTCAGGAGCATTCCCCAACACACCACATTCGTTCTTCTGAAACACTAATCCAATGCCGACTCTCTCTGGCCCCCTCTCTTTAAGCACAGGACAGCCCCTCCTTACTGCTCCAAGATAAGCCTCTGATCCTCCTGTGGATCGGACCCACCTGCCAGGGCCCATGGCACCCTCTGCCCTGGAGCTCGCCAGCCCTGCCCTCCTTGCCAATTTAAACAAAGCCCATCTTCTGGCAAGCAATGAACCTTGAGGAGGAGGGAAGGAAGCAGACACCTCAGAGGGCACCACAGGCAGCCCAGCACCTAGCACTGCACAAAGGTCCGCCCAACGGGGGGCTGTATGGACACCAAGATCCTCCTTCCCTGCAAGCCTCTGCCACACCCACTCCTGCAAGCAGCAGGAAAGCCCTGCTCCTCTCAGCAGTGCCCTTGACACTCCTGTGTTTTCTGCCCCGAATGCTCTCTCACGCAATTTCAGGACTGCTGCCAATGTGAAGCCTTTCTTCTCCCAGAACCATGTATGAACATCTCCATTTCACCATTCACCACCTTGTAATGTGACCTGCTTAGAATGGTGGCTCATCAACAAGCAGCAGCTGAAAGCAGAGGCGTGTCCTACCCATCACTGCATCCTGAACACCTCGCATGGTAACGGCACCAGAAAGCAGAGGTGTGTCCTATCTATCACTGTATCCTGAACACCTCGTATGGTAACGGCACCAGGCAAATGCTCAACAGAAGCTGCTCACATGGATGGACAGACAGACAGATGGGAAATGCACAACTACATGAAGGAAAATGTAAACCCATCTTAGGAGACAGGAAGAAACTTATTATTTTAGGTGGTTACAAAGGCTGCCATCCTGAAATATAACTGACTTGAGCCTGGTCTGGTAAAAACGCAGTGCTCAAATAGTATGCTCTTCCCTGAGAGGACAGCTGATCCACATTCTGTGCAATTTCTGGGCATGCAGGGAGACAAAAGCCATGCTGGGCCCATCAGGCAGAGGCTGCAATACGTGAGACCACCAAGGGCAGACGGGTAGACATTCCTGCACACTTTTTAGCTTCCTCTGCAGCAACAGACCATGAGGGCAAATGACAACCACTCACAGCTGTTTCTACCTGATTGAGTCTCACTATCCTTATTATTATTATTTTTATCATCATCAACTGTGTTGAATCCTCCTCTCCTTTTTTTTTTTTGAGACCGAGTCTCGCTCTTGTCACCCAGGCTGGAGTGCAGTGGCATGATCTCAGCTCACTGCAACCTCCGTCTCCTGGGTTCAAGCAATTCTCCTACCTCAGCCTCCCGAGTAACTGGGATTACAGGCACCCGTCACCACACCCAGCTAATTTTTGCATTTTTAGTAGACATGGGGTTTCACCACATTGGCCAGGCTGGTCTTGAACTCCTGACCTCAGGTGATCCACCCGCCTCAGCCTCCCAAAGTGCTGGGATTACAGGCATGAGCCACTGCCTGGCCATCTCCTGCTTTTTTAAAGAGAGAGTCTTGCTCTGTCACCCAGGCTGGAGTGCAGTGGTATGATCATGACTCACTGCAGCCTCAACCTCCCAGGCTCAAGCAATCCTCCTACCTCAGCCTCCTGAGTATCTGGGACTACAAATACGTGCCAACATGCCTGGCTAATTTTTGTGTTTTTTGTAGAGATGGGGTTTTGCCATGTTGCCCAGGCTGGTCTCAAACTCTTGACCTCAAGCAATCCACGTGCCACAACCTCCCAAACTGCTGGGATTACAGGCATGAACCACTGTGCCTGGCCCTCTCCCACTCTTAATGGCACTTACAGTTCAAAAAAAAATAATCTGCTGATCAGCAAAAAGCAAAGATTTTCTTACTGGCACATTCAATCTCGACAGGAGACAGCGGTGTGCTCATTGCCAAATAGGAAGCGTGTAATCCGAGAAGCAGGCCCAGATTCCTCTCTGTGTCTATCAGAGGTGAAGAGAGACTCCCCAGATCTGGTATGGTGACGATTTCTTGGTCAGGCTGGAAAAATAAATTTCATCATCAATCTGAGGAAACAGAATTAATTAAAAACATAAAACCAAAAGGACAGCTCTGTCCTGCAGCTGTAACCGCACGTGAGCCCAGGGGTGCTCTGGGCATTCTGCCCCTCCATCCTGTAATGAGTTGATGCTGCTGTGCCCAAGTAACAGCAGATACCACATAAACCCACAAAAGACCCAGATATCAGTACTTCTAGATCCAAATATTCCTATCACAAACACACAGAGGGTATCCCCTGCCATCCTCTGCATCACTCAAGGCATACAGCCTCACCTCCAAATACTGGCCAACACAAAATGCGTGCATGGATTCCCGGGTGTCTTCAAACTGCAAAGCAGCTTCCAAAGCTACCACTGGGTCTTCCCCTGCAAACTGAGCTGAAACAAAAAGGGAAAAAGCAACATGAGTTCAATTCAGCTTGCCTGAAGAGCTACAGGAGAAATAGTGAGTAGGAAATAAGTTAGGCTCTTAACTCAAAAGTGAGGGTTACCAGAATATAATGACCTCCCACTGTCTCCCAGGGTTGCCTGGGCCAACTCGGAACTTGAAATGAGTTCCAAGTATTAAAACAAAAGATACATAATGAAAGGAAATTCTTCGAATGTGCTGAATTTGTTGATAAGACAGACACCAAAGCCACAGATACATTAAAATATGCGGGGGCTGGCACAAAACTAAAGGAATCATTTATAAGCCAAATACTCTGCTTAAAATGATACAGGCTGTAACTTTTAACCAGGAAATAACAAGTGTAATCTTACCAAGAATACTATTTTCTGTTAACGACTGTGTCTGGAAGTCCTTTATATCATACACTTTCCCGTCAATCACAGTCCAGAAGCCTCCATCGTTATTATGGTTCTCCAAATCAGCTATGCGTACAAGTGTCACTTTCTCATTATTTCTACAGTTCTGACCTGTAAAAAATGACTCTGTATATACAGAAACCAGAATCAGTCCATTGATCAATCAACAGGTAAAATGAAAAGAACAAACTGTGTGAAAGAACTACAAGCAGAAATAAACAAATCCACAATCACAATGGGAGAAATACATACCTAGCTCTGAAACTAATACCACACATACAAATTCTGTTAAATATAGAATGCTTTAAAAAAAAGGTCTAGGCAGCATGAATACCAAATCGGGCCATGCCAGGCCATAGAGTAAATCTCAACAGATTTCAAAGAAATAAACTTACAGAGCATGTGTGCTGACTACAATGCAGTTAAATTACAAATAGGTTTTCAAAAATTCATTCAAAATAAAATAAAAATGACTCTGTATACACAGAAAATAAAAATATTCATCCACATATTTGAAAATTACAAGATACACTTATAAGTAACCCAAAATTCTAAGAAAAAATGACTATGAAAATTAGAAAATGTGTTCAGTTAATAATCAAAATACTGCAGATCGAAATTGGTGACATACAACTAAATGCATGCTTGAGGGCATTTATGCCTTTAAATGTATATATTTACACATTAAAGGGGGAAAAAGCTAAAAAAGAAAAGAAACACCAAATCAATAAAAGTCTGTTAGTTCATAAAAATACTCAAAAAAAAGAAAACCTGAGTGGTGGTCACCTATGCAAGTGCTAGGATACCAACTCAATATTATGAAAAATAGTTAAAGGGAGGTGGCAGTTCAAGAAGTCAAGCTTAGATTATGTCCTTCCTGTACAAATTGTACCTCCTGCTAACCAGACAGCAGAGGGCAAGGTTGGTAGGGGATTTTATAGAGGATACGCAACACATGAATTCCCTGGTCTAGCTTCACAGAACTAAAGCGGGGAGCCACCGAGCATTACAGGCCTCCTGAGCCAACAGAAAGCATGCAGCATGACCCCAGACATAACACCGCCCCAACGAGACTGAATTCAAATCCAACCAAACCTCTAGATCTAACCAGCAGATTAATGTAACTAACAGAAGAACATGTTGGTCTAGAATAAGAGAATGCAATCAACCAAGTTCAGAAAATGTGAAGTTCTCCAAAATAACCAACCTGCTTCTTTGAAAAAGAAAACGGTATGATCAGAGACAGGGAGAAGAGGGCCTGGAGCCATGTTGTTTGGGGAAAGAGACTAGAAGCATATGTCAAGCAATGCCAATACGCAGAACATGCTCAGGTCTTAATTCAAAATTACCACCTAAAAAAGGCATTTTTGAGATAGTCCAGGAAAATGTAACATGGACTGCATGTTAGATTAAGGAATCACTGTTAATCTTATAGACAGGATAATGATATTGTAGGGTTTTTTTAAAATCCTTATCATTAAGAGGTAAAATACCTTAAAATGTTTTAAAGACAGAGTTATGCTTTAAAATAATCCAATCAGCCGGGCGCGGTGGCTCATGCCTATAATCCCAGCACTTTGGGAGGCCGAGGCGGGCAGATCATGAAGTCAGGAGATCGAGACCATCCTGGCTAACACAGTGAAACCCCATCTCGTACCATGCCATATTACTGCATTTAACAGGTATGATGAAGCAACTGAACAGGCTATTTTTCCATTTCCATTGCATTTCAACAGAGCCCATTAAAAAGTAGTATAAATGGCCCTTAAATACTAATATATTTTAAAATGCTCAAACTATATCGGGGTCACCACTTTGTGCTTTAGCAGGCAAAATCCCAAAAGCCCACACACAAGGCTGGGAGACCAGCATCCCTATTGGTGGTGAGAGAAATCAAGATGTACAGGAGCAATCTGGTGACAACCAGCCCACACGAGGTCCATCCCCACCTGTGCATGTGCACAGGCACACACGCGTGCACACATGGAGGACACGTGTTCCAGGCCAGGCCTTGCAGTACTATTTGTGTTTTCTGTTGTTGTTGTTTGAGATGGAGTTTCACTCTTGTTGCCCAGCCTGGAGTGCAGTGGCGCGATCTCGGCTCACTGCAACCTCTGCCTCCCAGGTTCAAGCGATTCTCCTGCCTCAGCCTCCCAAGTAGCTGGGATTACAGGCATCCGTCACCACGCCCCGCTAATTTTTGTATTTTTTAGTAGAGACGGGGTTTCTCCAAGTTGGCCAGGCTGATCTCAAACTCCCAACCTCAGGTGATCCACCCACCTCGACCTCCCAAAGTGCTGGGATTACAGGCGTGAGCCACTACACCCGACCCTCAGCACTATTTGTATAGCAACATTGTGGCAATAAGCCCAAGTGTCCACCAATAAGAGACTCACTAAAGAAAGATAGATAAAAGACACATCCACACACTGAAGACTAAGCTGATTTATAAAAACAAAGAGGGACACTCTGATAAGGTACTCCAGTATATATGGTTAGTTAAAAAAAAAAAACAAAAAACAAGCAACACAAGTAATGAAGCATGCTACCACGAACGTACTCATGCCAGAGAACAAGGAGGTTACAGAGGAGACTGGAAAGTCAGAGGGAGCAGGTGGGAAAATGGGTGGAAGGGGTGGGCAGGGGAAGCGACAGTGTGTCTCTGCCTAGGTTTGATTTTTGAACCATGTGACTGTATTTTTTTTTTTAATGACTGTAAAACAAAATAAATACTCTTTATACTAGAAATAAAATGTTAGAAAAATCTGGATTCAAAACTAGGATTACTGTTCTGCACTGGCAAAGTTCACTACCATTCCCAAAGGCAGTTTTCTCATTGACATAATGAGATACAACAGCGTGCATGAGGTCCTCAGCGGGCCTGCACCCTACAGGTGCTCCACACATGCAAATCACTACCATTACTATTACATAAGAGATATAATACATAATTATACTGTCACTACTATAACCAGCATGACATACTAAGACAGCCTGCGTTCAGAGTATGAAGAAGGCTGTGGAACCCCCTGCAGAAGGTGGGAGGGCCTGGGGCTGTGGATAAAGGGGAGCTCTCTGGGGCTGTGCCACCTGAACCTGGAACCCGGGCCCCCAGGTTGGGTCGCCAGGCCTGTGCGCCTCAGCTTGCTCATCACTCACTCTCAACACGGATAACACCTTCAACTGCAAACACGTTTAAAAACCACAGGCCAGCTCCCCCTACCAATACCAGAAAAAACAAGTCTCCACACGGGCCCAGGATGAGAACCTACAAGTGGTACTAGCTACAAAACACATGGAGAACACGGTTCTTGCACACACCTTATGAGACGTCGGAGAGCTACACAGAGGAGGCATCTACAGGGTGTAGCCAGACGGTCTAAATGGGCCATGACAACAACCGCCGTTTGTTGCAGATCAATGGCAAGCCTGTTGTCTTGTGGAAGGGTGAGGTACCTCAGGAAACTCTCACTGGGGCTCAGAGGACCACACAAAAGCTAGAAAGGAAAAGTAAACAAAAATTCAGAACTGGTGGGAAAAACTAAAGTAACACAGTTTTTTACCCACGCTTTATATTTTGGTATTGACTCACTTGACCCATCAAATGACAATGTTGATGATACAGTTATACTATACGTCTATATATTTATGCAGCATATAAACTGTATAAATCTCTAAATCTGCTGTATACATGTACACAACATTGACTGTGCATGTATACATTTATGATACCATAGGTAAGTTGAATCCACACAGATTACTAACATGACCAAACCACTCTACAAGCCTAGGACCCCTGGAGAAAGGCAGAACCACCTCTGTGGGAACCCAGCACAGCATCTCAAGCTGGCCTTGAAATCTAAAACCAAAACCTTTATTTTAATCCACTCTGGAGAACACCTACTTTCATTTGCAAATTAAATCACAGTTCTAATTCTTCTAAAGGCAGAAGACCCCTATTATCATTAGTTTAAAGACTGCCAAATAATAGGCTGGGCATGGTGGCTCACACCTGTAATCCCAGCACTTTGGGAGGCCGAGGCAGGCAGATCACAAGGTTAGGACTTTGAGACCACCCTGGCCAACATGGTGAAACCTCATCTCTATTAAAAATATAAAACTGAGCTGGGCATGGTGGCGGGTACCTATAATCCCAGCTACTCGAGAGGCTCAGACAGGAGAATCATTCGAACTAGGGAGGCGGCAGTTGCAGTGAGCTGAGAACGTGCACTGCACTCCAGCCTGGGAAACAGGCAGAGACTCCGAAGACGGGAAGGGACGGGATGGGACGGGATAGGACAGGACGGGATGGGATAGGACGGGACGGGAAGGGAGAAAGAAAGCAATGTACCCGCAAAACAAACAAACAAACAAAAAAACAGTCTCGGGGACCTATGGGACTATAACAACTCCGGTCACTGAACTCACGAAGGGACAGGAGAAAGAAGGTGGGGCTGAAACTGTACTCTATGAAGTGATGGCTTACAAGTTCCCAAATTTGGCAAGAGACATAAATCTACAGATCTAAGGTAAGCAAACCCTAAACAGGATGAACCCAAAGAAATCCAAACTAAGACATATAATAATCAAACTCCAAAAAACAAAAGACAAAACATTTCAAAAGCCACTAAACAAAAACAGTGCCTTAACTATCGTGGATTAACAAGTCAAATGACAGCGAATTTCTCATCAGAAACCATGGAGCCCAGCTGAAAGTACAAAATATTTTTCAAGCGATGAAAAGAACCATTAACCCAGAATTCTTATATCCAGCAAAAATGTCCTTCAGGAATGAAAAGGAAAGCAAAACATTCTCAGAGGAAGTGAAACAGAATTTGTCACCAGAAGACCCACACCAAAAGAAAGGCTAATGGAAGTTCTCTAAGCAGAATGGCAACCATCAAAGAAGAAAACCCTGGAACTTCTGGAAGGAGGAGATGACAAGCACACCAACGCATAAATACAATAGACTTTTCCCTCACCTCTTGACTTTGCTAAATTATGTCTGAAGGTTCAACCAAAAATTATAACATTGTCATATGTGGTTATCAATGTAAGTAAATGAAATATTTAAGGCAAGTATATTATGAACAGAAGAACATAAAGGAACATCAAAGGAGGTAGTTTCTATATCCCTGAAGCTGGTAAATGACAACATCAGGTAAAATCTGATAAGTGTTCATACATACACAGGCTGAGTGTCCCTTATAAAATGCTCAGGAGCACAAGTGTTCCAAATTTCAGATTTTTATCAGATTTAGGAATATCTGCATATAAATAATGAGATATTTTGGGGATAGGACCCAAGTCTAAATACATTCATTTATGTTTTATATATAACTTACACACAGAGCCTGAAGGTAATTTTATATAGCATGCTTAGTAATTTTGTGCATGAAACAAAGTTCATGCTAAGTACTTATGAATGGAATTTTCAATTTGGGGGCGTCATGCTGGAGTGCCATAAAGTTTCGAATTTTGGGGCATTTCAGATTTTGGATTTTGGGTTTACAGATGCTCAATCTGTATGTAATATATTACCTAGAAAAGCCACTAAAAAAGCTATACAAAAAGATACACTCTAAAACACTACAGATGAAATAGAATGCTAAAAATGGTCAAGTAAACCACAGAGAGCCAGGAAGAACCAAACCGAAAAAATGAAAAACAGAAGAAATAGAAAATGCAAAACAAAATGGCAGTGTTAAGCCTCAATTTATCAATGACATTAAATTAAATGTAAACAATCTAAATACATCAATTAAAAGACACTAGGAGAGTAGACTAGAGAACATGATCCAACTATATGTTGTCCATAAGAAAGTGACTTCAAACAGGCAAACTGAAAATAGAAGTATAGAAAAAAAAAGATCATGCAAACATTACTGAAAGGACAGCAGGAGTTGGCTATATTTATATCAAATAAAGTAAACTTCAGAACAAAGATAATTACCAGGAGGGCCGGGCACAGTGGCTCACGCCTGTACTCCTAGCACTTTGGGAGGCCAAGGTGGGTGGATCTCAGGAGTTTGAGACCAGCCTGGCCAATATGGCAAAACCCCATCTCTACTAAAAATACAAAAATTAGCTGGGTGTGATGGCAGAAGCCTATAATCCCAGCTTCTCAGGAGGCTGAGGCAGGAGAATCACTTGAACCTGGTAGGGTCGGAAGTTGCAGTGAGCTGAGATCATGCCACTTCACTCCTGCCTGGGCAAAAGGAGCGAAACTCCGTCTCAAAAAAAAAAAAAGATAATTACCAGGAACCAACGGCAACATTACAAAATGAGAACTTGGTCAATCCACCATTAAGACACAGCAATTCGAAACGTGCAGACACCAAACAAACAAAAAAACAATGAACAGAACCGAAAGGAGAAAAAGACATTTATACTTTTATAGTTGGAGACCTCAAAATCTCTCTCTACAGCTGATAAAATTAGGAGACAGAAAAGCTGCCAGGATATAGAACGCAACATCACCATCCATCAACTAGAGCCAATCAAAATTTATAGAACACTCCAGCCAATAATAACAGAATACATAATCTTTTCAAGTATCCACAAAACAAATACTAAGTTAGAACATATTCTGAGGCATAAAACAAACCTAACAAATTTTTTGAAATTAAAATCACACAGCATATGTTCCCTCAAACAATGGGAACAAATCTGAAGTCAACAAGAGAACAATTACAGGAAAATTGCCTAACTCTCAGAAACTAAACAATAAACTTTTACATAACCCATGGATCAAAGAGAAAGTCTCAAGGGAAATTTTAAAATATATTGTGAACTGAGAGAAAATGCAAGTACAATACATCAAAATGTATGGGAAAGAGCTACAGTGGGTGACGAGAGACAAATTTACAGCACTAAATGAATGGTACATTAGAAACTTGGAAACAAATCAATAATATAAGTGCCCACGTTGACAACCTAAAAGAAAATTAAAAATAGCAAAATCAACCCAAAAGTAAGCAGAAAGGAAGAAATAATTAAGGTAAGAGTAGAAACAAAGTGAAAACAGAAAAACAATAAACAGTAAAGCAAAAAGCTGGTTCTTTGAAAAGATCAATAAAACTGACACACCTCTCTAAGCAAGACTGACAAAAAAAAAAAAGACATAAATTACCCAACATTAGTGATGAAACAGGCTCTAAAGATATGAAAAAAGATAATTAGGAATTACTAGGAACAACTCTACACACATAACTTTGACAACTTGGGCAAAATAGACTTATTCCTCAAATAATGCAAATTACCACAACTCACCAAATATAAAATAGATCATTTGAATAGCTCTACCACTATCAAGAAAACTGAATTCATAATTCAAAGAATCCCAAAAAAAAAAAAAGAAATTACCAGATCCAAATGAACTCACTGGATAATTCCATCAAACATTAAAAAAGAATTAACACAGACTCAAAACAATCTCTTCTGGAAACTAGAAAAGGAAAAACTTCCCAATTCATATTAAGAAGCTAATATTAGAGCTAATATTAGCATTTTAAGAAGCTAATATTAGAGCTAATATTAGCATTTTAAGAAGCTAATATTAGAGCTAATATTAGCATTTTAAGAAGCTAATATTAGAGCTAATATTAGCATTTTAAGAAGCTAATATTAGGTACCGTACCTAAAGACAGTACAAACTACAGAACAATATACCTTAATATATATATAGACACAAAAATATTCAGTGAATTATTAGCAAGTAGAAGTAAACAATATATAAAAAGAATTCCACATCATCGCCAAGTAGTTTCATTCCAGGAATGCAAAGCTGGTTCAACAGTCAAATATCAATGTAACCCACCCTATTAATAGACTAAAGAACAAAAATCACATAATTACATATCAATTGATTTAGAAAAAGCAAATGACAAAATTCAATACTCGTGAATGATAAAAATTCTCAGAAAATAGCAACAAATGGGAACTTCATCATCTTGATAAACAGCATTTACAACACCTTAAGCTAAAACCTATGCCAACAAGAATGTCAGAAAGGGTCCTCCCAGACCTATTTATACAGCAGAGAGAATCATTAAGAATGATTTAGATAGTTACTAAGAGTTTACTCTCCTAAGAGATTACAACACCCAATGGCCAGCAAGCCCTTTTCATTAGACAAAAAGAAAAGCTGTGATCTGTCAACACTCTCAGAAGGTTCACTGTGAAATGTGCACTTCTGAACTCCTGCTGAGGGCCTACACGCTGCAATGTTGAGAAGCAAGTGTCCAGAGGTCTCCTTGGAAACATTGCAAAAAAAATGTGAGGGACTGATGGATGAATAGAAGGATGAAAAGGTGGAGAGAACGGTGATAAAGCACGTGGGATGATGCCAGCGGCACAATCTTAGGTGGTGAATATGTGGGTGCGCGCTGTAAAATTCTTTCAACTTTTCTGTATATATTTTTTTCATAATAAAATGTTGGAAAAAATAAACCTGTGAAAAAGGAAGCTTTAGTCAAACATATCTAAGCAAAAGAAAAAACAAATTCTAAATTCCTATGGCTCAAATTAACGTGTTTTTCTTTTTAGGCTGAGATGGAAGAGTAAAAAAACAGAAAAAGAAATGAAAGGAATAGGAGCTATTCTAACAGCTACAAATTCCACCTGCAGTTTGATTAAAGATGGCGTGGCTCAAGAATATGCTTTGAATCCAAGCCCCTTCAAGGCTGCCAGGTACAGAGTCGGTTCTGCAAAAGCTCTGTACCTGTGAACAAGCAGAGCTTCCAAATAAACCGATTAAAGCTGCCCTGAGTCAATAAGCCGGGCTTTAATCTGAGCAAGAAAGGTACATTTTTAGTCTAGTTACCCACCCATAACTGTAGGTACTTTGATACCTAGGTGAGGGGAAACATGGAGAAAGGCAAAATAACAGATTTTTAAAATCACAACAAATCTTTATCAAACATTTGTGCCAGGCACTGACTTAAGAGCTTCAAATGCATTATTTCATGTCATTTGCACAGCAACTCTCTGAGTAAGTACTTTCACTTATTTTATATATAATTTTAATTATTTACATTATATTATACTTATTCCTTTTTTTTGTTTGTTTTTTTTGTTTTGAGATGGAGTCTCACCCTGTCACCCAGGCTAGAGTGGTGGTGCAATCTTGGCTCACTGCAAGCTCCGCCTCCTGGGTTCATGCCATTCTCCTGCCTGAGCTTCCCGAGTAGCTGGGACTACAGGTGCCCACCACCACGCCCAGCTAATTTTTTTGTATCTTTAGTAGAGACAGGGTTTCACCACGTTAGCCAGGATGGTCTCGATCTCCTGACCTCATGATCCGCCCGTCTCAGCCTCCCAAAGTGCTGGGATTACAGGCATGAGCCTCTGCACCCGGCCACTTATTCCTATTTTATACATGAGAGGCCCAAGGTGAGACAAAGTGATTTGTGTAGAGTCAGAGATAAAGCCAAAATTGATACCCAGACAGACTGAAAAACTTCTCTGTCAGAAAATCTAGAAATGGTAAAGGGAGATCTTCAAACTGAAGGAACATGATAACACAAGGTAGCTGGGACAGAAACAAAACCTTAAGGGCCCATAATGGTAAAATGAAAGTTAACATAAAAAACTTTTTTTTGGCCAGCCATGGTGGCTCTTTGGGAGGCCGAGGTGGGTGGATCACCTGAGGTCAGGAGTTCGAAACCAGCCTGACCAACATGACGAAACCATGTCTCTACTCAAAAATACAAAATTAGCCAGGTGTGGTGGCGTATGCCTGTAATCCCAGCTACTCGGGAGGCTGAGCCAGAATCGTTTGAACCCAGGAGGCAGAGGCTGCAGTGAGCCAAGATCATGCCATTGCACTCCATCCTGGCAGCCTGGGCAACAAGACCAAAACTCCGCCTCAAAAAAAAAAAAAAAAAGAGGCCAGGTGTGGTGGCTCACACCTATAATCCTATAATCCCAGCACTTAAGGGTGGCTGAGGCACGTGGATCACCTAAGGTCAGGAGTTCGAGGCGAGCCTGGCAAACATAGTGAAACCCTGTCTCTACTAAAAATACAAAAACGTTAGCCAGGCACGGTGGTGTGTGTCTGTAATCCCAGCTACTAGGGAGGCTGAGGCAGGAGACTCGCTTGAACCTGGGTGGCGGAGGTTGCAGTGAGCTGAGATTGTGCCATTACACTCCAGTCTGGGCAACAACAGCAAAACTCCGTCTCAAAAAAAAAAAGACTTTTTTTTCTCTTTTCAAATTTGAGGGGAAAAAATGTAATTGCCTATTTAAAGCAAAAACAAAAACATCATATTGTGGGGTTTATACCATGTTTCACTTGGACATGACACAGCAACACTACCAACCAAGAACATGTCAGAAGCAGGAAGCTACAGTCAGAGCACTGCCCCGCAGCTCAGGCAGTGTAATACCATTTGAGAGTGGGCAGTGACAAGTGAAAGATGTAACTGAAAACGCCAGAGATGATAGATTTAAACCCAAGTAGTCTAAAGATTCCAAATAAAAAACAGAGGTTGTCAGGGTGAATAAAGAAGCAAGACCTAATTAAATGATACCTGAAAGAAATCTACTTTACACATACACAAAGTTTGAAAGTGAAAAAAGCTAAACCTGGCAAACACACCACGCAAACACCAAATCAGAAGAAAGGAGAGTAGTCAGACCAAGGTGACTTCACAACAAAGAATGTCACCGGAGATTAAGGGGGTCAAATTTATGAATATGGCGTAAAAATCCTAAAAGTGCATGCACCCTATAACATTCTCAAATACATGAAGCAAAACCTGCAGAGCTGAAAGAAAATAATCCATAATTAGCATGAGAGATTTCAATTCTCCTCAGAAGAAAGAGGAACTAAGCAGTGAAATTGCTCTTCATGCCTCCCCAGCACAATGGAGATACTCCTGGGAAATAAAGCCAGTCACTGGGGCTGATCTCCCAGAACACTGAGACTGGCTTCTCTGTAAATAAATGACTGGTATTTGCTAGGAGAAGTGTCCTTATCTATGAAATGTTTTTAGCAAGATGTGGTTAGTTTAGGATTGTGTTTGGTAAACATACCTAAAATCCATGGACTTATGGGACATGGCTCCCTGGAAAAGGTTCCCTAAGGTGTATAAACTATCTGACTACAAAACGGGAACACTGCACATCCTTAATGCTCCTTGTGCAGTGAGATGACGACACACCTCAGTGAGAGGACCACACGCCTCAGTGAGAGGTCTCATCTCGCAGGCCGGGCTCAAAGAGGATGGACCTGCGGGGGTTGCACAGACTCTCCCACATCTCTCCCCACTTTGCCTGAGCACACAAGTGAGGATATTACTTGTATCTTTAAAGTTACTAAGTAATCAGCTACGGGTAACATCTCTGAGATTCATGTCAAACTAATGTGGTAAGCCAACCTTGTGTGTTAGTTCAACTCCTCTCCTAACAGTGACTAGAACAAGCAGGCAGAAAACTATTTCAAGTCAAGGATACCTGAACACTATCAACTTGATCTCACTAAGCTTTACAGAGCAGCAAAATACACTTTTTTTTTTTTTTGAGATGTAGTCTTGCTTTGTCACCCAGACTAAAGTGCAGGGGTGCAATCGAGATTACAGGCACCCACCACCACACCCAGCTAATTTTTGTATGTTTCGTAGAGACAGGGTTTCACTATGTTGGCCAGGCTGGTCTCGAACTCCTGACCTCAAGTAATCCACCCACCTCAGCCTCCCAAAGTGTTGAGATTACAGGCAGGAGCCACTGCACCCAGCCACATTCTTATTACATGTGCATGAAACATTCCACAGAATGCACCATATTCTGGGGCTTCAGACAAGCCTCAGCATTGAAATCACAGAATATGTTCTCTGACTACAACTAATTTAGAAATTGTTAACAGGAGATATTTGAAAATCCCCAAATATTTGGAAATGAAATAACACATTTCCAAATAATAAGTGAGTAAAAGAAGAAATTAAAAGGGAAATTAGAAAATATTTTCAACTGAATGAAGATGAAAATGAATAAACATTTCCAAATTTGTGAAATGTGGCTAAACAATGCTTAGAGGGAAATTTATATTATAGTTTTGAACACTTGTTAGAAAAGACAAAAAATCTGAAGTCAATGATCTAAGCCTTTACCTTAAGAAACTAGAAGAGACAGAAGAACAAATGGAACCCAAAGCCAGCAGAAAAAAGGAAATAATAAAGAGTAAAGCAGAAATCAATGAAAAAGAAAACAAACAAAATCAATAAAACCAACAACTGGTTCTTTGAAAAAACTCAAACTGATGACTTCTAGGAAGACTGATCAAAATCGAAAGAGAGAAAATACAAGGCACATTTCAGCAAATTTCTGGATAACAGGTAGTATATGCTGGTACTTACTACATGCAAAATAATAGCATACGCACTTTGTCTGGCCTACTGTACTGATCCCATAATAACCTATGAGGTAGGTACTACTACTAACCCCAAATACGAATTTTTTTTTAAGAGACAGGGTCTCACCCTGTCACCCAGGCTGGAGTGTAGAGGCACAATCATAGATCACTGCAGCTTCAAACTGATGGCCTCAAGCAATTCTCTCACCTCAGCGTCCCAAAGTGCTGGGATTACAGGCGTGAGCTACCATGCATGGTGTCACTAATTATTTTTATATATGTACATTTACATATGTATGTCCATGCCAGGAAAGAAAAGCCTGAATATCCACTCTGAAGGGATAATAGTGGCTAACTCTTAGAGGAAAACTGAAATTGGGGTGGGCAGCCAGGTGAAATTTCTGCTTTTATAATCGATACATTTTTATAAGAAAACATTTATTTGATGTATATTTTTAATTGGAACGAAAATGCATCAGACATTTTAAAAAATTCAATTACACACAAAAAAGTAAGCAAAGAATAAATATATGGGTTTTACTGGGTTGGAGAAAGGGAAGAGATTATGAAAGTCCATCCATGATAAGGAACTCCTATAACCCAAAACAAAAAACTCAATTAAAAAATGGAATTAGCTGGGTGTGGTGGTGCCCGCCTGTAGTCCCAGCTACTCGGGAGGCTGAGGCAGGAGAATGGCGTGAACCCGGAAGGTGGAGGTTGCAGTAAGCCAAGATCATGCCACTGTACTCCAGCCTGGGTGACAGAACAAGACTCTGTCTCCAAAAAAAAAAAAAAAAAAAAGAAAGGGCAAAAGGGCCAGGCACAGTGGCTCATACCTGTAATACAGCACTTTAGGAGGCCAAGGTGGGTGGATCACCTGAAGTCAGGAGTTCAAGACCAGCCTGGCTAACATAGTGAAACTTCGTCTCTACTAAAAATACAAAAAATTAGCCAGGCACGGTGGCGGACACCTGTAATCCCAGCTACTCGGGAGGATGAGGCAGGAGAATCACTTGAACCTGGGAGGTGGAGGTTGCAATGAGCCAAGATTGCACCACTGCACTCCAGCCTGGGCAACAAGAGCCAAACTCCATCTCCCCAAAAAAAAAAAAAAACAAAAAACGGGCAAAGGATTTGAATAGACATTTCTCCAGTGAATGTATACAAATGGCCAATAAGCATGTAAAAAGATGCTCAGCATGACTAATCAACAGGGAAATACAAATCAAAACAATGAGATGCTGTACCTACTCACACAAATTAGGATGGCTATCATCAGAAAACAAAAAGTGTTGGTGAGGGTGTGGAGAAATTGGAACCTTAGTATACTGCTGCAAGAATGTAAAACAATGTAGCCACTGTGGAAAACAGTTTACTGCTTCCTCAAAAAGTTACACATAGTGCCAGGTGCGATGGCTCACATCTGAAATCTCAGCAACTCAGGAGTCTGAGGCAGGAAGATCCCGTGAAGCCAGGAGTATAAGACCGGCCTGGGCAACACAGTGAGATTCTGTCTCTAATTAGTCAAGCGTGATGGCTGGGCAACAATGTCAATATATTTAATGCCAATGAACTGTACACATAAAACTGGTTAAAACGGTAAGTTACATGGTATGTATATTTTACCACAATATTTAAATTTTTTAATTAGTTTTTAAAAAATTGTTACCAAAAAAATACTAAGAATCCATTCAAGTTATTTAGAAAGGGAGTGTCAGATCAACCTTTCCAAAGTGCCAAAATTCGCAAGATCACCTGGTTGCTTGCCCCATACCCAGCTGTCCAGAATTGACTTGGCCCTATATATAGGTGCAGGAGTTTCTTCTTCATCTTTTTTCTCTTTGTCATTCAGATCTTTCTTTGTCCCACTTGGTTCGACACTATCATCTGCAGAATTAAAAATTTTTTAATCTGTCACCGCTTTTCAGAATGTCATACCGTTAGCCTCTGCAAATGTCCCTCCCCGAAAAGTTACAACACACATGATTAACTGAATGCTTGACAACTTAAAAATAAAATACATCAATCATACCTGTAACAGATCCAGTATAATTTTCATAAAGAAACCAATATATTGGCCGGGCGTGGTGGCTCATGCCTGTAATCCCAGCACTTTGGGAAGCCATGGCGGGTGGATCAGGAGGTCAGGATATCGACACCATCCTGGCTAACACGGTGAAACCTCGTCTCTACTAAAAATACAAAAAATTAGCTGAGCATGATGGCAGGCGCCTGTATTCCCAGCTACTCGGGAGGCTGAGGCAGGAGAATGGTGTGAACCTGGGAGGCAGAGCTTGCAGTGTGCTGAGATCATGCCACTGCACTCCAGCCTGGGTGACAGAGCGAGACTCCATCTCAAAAAAAAAAAAAAAGAAACCAATACAACAAATTATTTAAAGGATGTCTTCCAAAATGATATTCCATCTACTTCCTAGTACATTTCTTAACTGAGAAACTTAAGTCTTTCATATTTACCTACTTCAATTTCACACCAATTGCTTTTATCCAGTGAGTCCCAGTGCTTGTGTATCCATGGGAAAAGGGAGGGTGTAGAACAAGAGTATGATTCAAAAATCTTTTAACTCTTTACAAGGCCCTACTCCACTGCCAACTGGGAAGCACTGCTATGCAGGGGCACTGTCACTGCTGGCATAATTCAAGAGCACTGGGACACAAAGGAAAAGCTGAGAAAAATCACTTTAGGCCACTGACAATGTCAAGTTTCAGTCAAAAACAACTGTCATAAAACTCCTTACACAGTAAGCGAAGAGAAGAGAGAACTAACCTTAACCTTGAAGTGTAAACACATTCCATCACAGAAGGCTGTGACTAAATGTCTAACAACATAATTAGAAAAATGTATCTCAATCGGGGAAAGACATGATATCCCATCCAGATTACAAATAATGACTATCTAAAAATCTCGAAGGAAACAGTTCCTCTGTTTACAACACTTCTGACACCAAATGTATGGACTTTTGCACCAAGCAATTCTCCAGTTCTCTGCGACACCCAGCTTTGTGTCCCACAGTGCAATTCAATTCTGAAACTAACTACCTAGAATTAGCACAGACCCCACAGGTTAATAACAAGAGAGAAAAGGTGAATGCTGAAAAAAATATCCAAAGAACTAATGGCTGAAAACTTCCTAGGTTCAGCAAATGACATAAACCCAGGCAGACTGAAGAATCTGCACAAAGCCCACACAAGATAAATCCAAAGGAAGCCATGACGAGGCACATCATAATCAACTGCTAAACACTAAGGACAAAACCTTTTGAAAAGTGCCACGGAAAGTAGATACAGAAGAATTTCTCGTGTGGCCTGAAATTAAGACTAAATATTACGTGCTGCCTTGACATTGGTAAAATCAAGAAGGCCTCAAATAGCCTAACCACAAGGTCTCCCCTGAGCTCTGCTCTCACGGATAAGATCCCAAAGCCAAACAACCTCCTTATCGCGGAAACCCGACCCCAGCCTGCTCATCCCTGCCGGCCCAGAGTTATTCAAACAAGCCAGTCACATCTTCCCATGGAAGCAAGGTCATCTCACCCTCCTGTTACTACAAAATGTGCCTCCCACAGCCCCTCGTGGTTCGCTCTGTTCCCAAGTGCAGCCCCCGTGTGGCATGCGGTGTCCCCCACCCCAGGGCTGTGAGCATGCGTGACTAATAAACTGCTATTTCATCTGTCCAGTGTCGGTGTCCTACGTTCAGCCATCCCATATCCCTAGGGCAGGAATCTTCTAGGGTTATAAACAGAACTTTAATCAACCTCTCCTTGGTTATTTTACTGGTTCCATGATACAGCTTTTTCTGTGCAAAAGATCTGAACAGAAACTCACAGAGGATACAAGAGTGGCAAAAAAGAACATGATATTCAGCATTGTTAGCCATTACAGAATTGCAAATTAAAACCACAATGAGATCCCACTAGACTTGTTAGAATGGCTCAACTAAAAATCACTGATAACACCAAGTGCTAACAAAGACACAGAGCAACAGAAACGTGACAGATTGTCAGCGGGAATGCAAACTAAAACAGCCTCCAGTTTACCAAGGTAGACACCTCGAGTCACAGAATACAGAGTAGAACCCAGCCAGGAACACGGCTCAGGTGAGAACACAGGTGCTGGCTCTGAATGCCAGACTCTGCCGTGTGTGTGTGTGTGTGTGTGTGTGTGTGTGTGTGGTCACTAACCACAGCCCACAGGACAAACCCAGCCCACAGCCTTTTTGTGTATGGTCTGAACACAGAGAAAGTATTTTAGTTTTGTTGTTCTTTTGAGATGGAGTCTTGGCTCACCACAACCTCTGCCTCCCAGGCTCAAGCGATTCTCCCAGGTTCAAGTGATTCTCATGCCTCAACCTCCGAGGAGCTGGGATTACAGGGGTGCATCACCATGCCCGGCTAATTTTTTGTTTTCAGTAGAGATGGGGTTTCACCATGTTGGCCAGGCTGGTCTCGAACTCCTGACCTCAGGTGATCCGCCTGCCTCGGCCTCCAAAAGTGCTGGGATTACAGGTGTGAGCCACCACGCCCAGCCACCGTATTTTATAGTTTTTAATAATTGAAAAATAATCAAAAGAAAAACAGTATTTTGTGACTTGCAAACATTCTGTGGACTTCATCTTTTCGTGTCCATAAATAAAGTTTACAGAATGAACGTCCCCAGCCCGCTGACGTAGTATTGTCTGTGGCTACTCTGGCACTACAGCTGCAAGGTCCCATGGCTATGACAGAGACCATAGGGTCCATTGAGAGCTTAAAATATTTACTATCTGGCCCTTTACAGAAAGTAGGCCACCCCTACCCTACATCTGGCTATAAATTTTACAAATTTGACAAATTCTGAGACCCTGTCTCAGAAAATAAAATAAAATATTCATAGTCTTAATAATGGAAAACAAAAACATTTACTGAATGCCAAAACATCTCCCTAACAATCCCAATCAGTTGGGATCTACATAAAGAACAATTATGCTCTGCTTTCCAACCATGATTTTTAAAAGAACAAAAGACAAAAAAATTCATCAAATGTGGGCTGGGCATGGTGGCTCACACCTGTAAACCCAGCACTTTGGGAGGCCGAGGTGGGCAGATTATGAGGTCAGGAGTTCAAGACCAGCCTGACCAAGATGGTGAAACTCCGTCTTTACTAAAAATTCAACAATTAGCTGGGCATGGTGGAGGGCGCCTGTAATCCTAGCTGAGTACTCAGGAGGCTGAGGCAGAGAACTGCTTGAACCCGAGAGGAAGGGGTTGCAGTGAGCCAAAATCATGCCGCTGCACCCCAGCCTGAGCGACAGAACAAGACTCCCTCTCGAGAGGAAAAAACAAAAAAAATTCATCAAATGTAATGAATAAAACATATACTTTGGATTTTGCCATGTACTTAGCTTTTCTTAGAGCACCTTTTAGAACTATTGTTTCACAGAAAACACTTTGGGAAACGTTTTAATTTATAAACAAATACTGGAGGGCTAGGAAGAAGAGGTTAAAACTTTTTAAAATATACAGAATGAATTACTGATACAGAAAAACAAAAAAAGGTTGCTGATTCCTGTCTTGGAAGACACTGTCATATGGACACTCTTAGCCTCAGCATCCAGAGGTCCAGAAAGGGAAAATTTCAAGTCAGAGAGAATTCTATATATACCACTTACTTGGAACATTCAGCCCTCAAAATCCCAACATCATGACCTCAGTTTCAACACAATTGTCCTTAGTCCTTATGTCACTGCTTTTGGTGCTGCCTGCTGTCAAGGCAGTGGAAGCCAGTGATGCAACTGCTCTCTCGTTAAAAGGTGTGGTTCTCAGTATTACAGGTGTTTGTACTTGCTTGCAGGTATACGCACGAAAGATAAAAATGAACAGATGTGACTTTGAAGGGCCTAATGAATGAAACCTCACCCTGAAAACCTTTGTGCTACTGAAACTAAATGTAAGCTTTGGTGTCTGAAAGTTTCCAAGAATTAGTAAGTAGGAGAGTTTTACTTTCTGAGTTGATTCCATGAAATGGGAACAAATTGGTACATAAATGGATTTTGCCCAGAATCCTAGGAAATCGCCACTGTTCAGTCGTAATCACTGCCTCCTAAATCACTGAGTCTGTTCTCTGTATTTTTATTAGACTTTTGTCATCTCCCCAATTCAGATATCCAATAGTCAGCCAAAAAGGGAAACTTTTATCTCTGGAAAGAAAAAAAATCATTTAGAAAAATGTGTTCAGTGTATCTAATACTGAAATGGAGAAAAGACTTAATGTTAAAGAAAAAAAAACACTATAGACATTGACATGGAAAAGAGATTTAATGTTAATAAAAACTTTATATTAACTGAGTAACACCTCCTGATGAGAAGTGCTATATTAAATATAAACCCATTACGTTGTTTAAAAAAAAAAAACATGAAAATCAAAAGCACTAAACAGAGTGAAAGAAGCCAAGACACAGAAGAACCCGACTACATGATTCCATGTATGGAGTTCTAGAACAGGCGCAATTTGTCAATGCTGGAGAAACATCAGGCCAGCTATTGCCTCTGGGAAGAAGGGGCAGGACACCAGAGAACTTTCTGAGCAAGAGTCATGATAAAGATGTGGGTTACACGGGTTACATTTGTCAAAACTTGTGAAATGGTAAACTCAAAATAGATACATTTCATTATATATAAATTTTACCTGAAAGTCAAAAACAAAGTTGAACTAGAATCAATTACATACATGAGTGTCTAAGGAGCTAGGTGAGACAAACGGTGGATGGACAGACAGCAGGATGTGGAGCCAAATACGGTGGCAGGACATGGAGGTGGGTCTGCAGCCACTCACTGTACACGTCTGTCAGTTATTGTGTGTGTGTGTGTGTGTGTGTGTGTGTGAATATTTTCAAAAAAATATAAAAAATAAATTAAAATAAAAACACAGGTAACTCTGCTTGACACTGAAACTGAAGAGGGAGACTAATACTTTTTCCCATGGTTTGTTTTGTGTTTTTTGTTTTTTTTTTTTGAGATGGAGTCTCACTCTGTCACCCAGGCTGGAGTGCAGTAGCACAATATCTGCTCACTGCAACCTCCACCTCCCGGCTCCAAGCAATTCTCCTGCCGTGCCCTCCCAAGTAGCTGGGATTACAGGCGCCCGCCACTATGCCTGGCTAATTTTTGTATTTTTTAGTAGAGACGGGGTTTCACCATGTTGGCCAGGCTGGTCTCAAACTCCCAACCTCAAATGATCTGCCCGCCTCAGCCTCCCAAAGTGCTGGAATTACAGGCACGATCCACCGCGCCCGGTCCCCAAGTATTTTCAAGTGGACACCATCCCAATTCATTCCACAAAAGAAGAATAAATACTTGCCAGGCACGGTGGCTCACGCCTATAATCCCAGCACTTTGGGAGGCTGAGGCGGGCGGATCACGAGGTCAGGAGATTGAGACCATCCTGGCTAACACGGTGAAACCCTGTCTCTACTAAAAAATACAAAAAATTAGCTGGGCGTGGTGGTGGACACCTGTAGTCCCAGCTACTTGGGAGGCTGAGGCAGGAGAATGGCATGAACCCAGGAGGTGGAGCTTGCAGTGAGCTGAGATCGCGCCACTGCACTCCAGCCTCAGCGACAGAGCAAGACTCCTTCCCAAAAAAAAAAAAAAGAAGAAGAAATACTTTCTTCAGACTAATGCTCTCCCAACTGAGCTATTTCAACTTAGAATAAATACTTTCTAAAGTGGTAGCTTTATCCACGTTGATGACTCTCAAGCAGGGGGACCAACGAACTTCAACAGTGGTTCTCAACCAAGGATCTTTTCAGATTCAACAAGTTTAGGGTGTATACAAGCATCCATTTTTTTAAACCTCAATGGGGACTCTGAAACACAGCCACTGTTATGAACAACCTAATGATAGTCCTATTGAGCATGCAAAACTACAACGCTAAATAAGATTGTTCAATGGCATTTCCTTGCAGGCCAAAGGCTTCCAATAAGTGTTTAATACACCCCCAAAGAACACCACAAATGCGGCAAGACGGTTTTGCAATAAAAATGCCTTCAATTCACGTAAAACAATAAAATCCGGGCAGCTTGTATTAACTACCATTTTAGACAACAATCTCCAAAGTAAAAAGCAAAACTTCAAAGAGTTAAGCTCAAAGCTCCTGTTCCTATAGCACATTACAAAATTTCTATAAAATGCATTTTATAATGGTCTTTACCAAATAAAAAACACTAGTTAAAGGCCCTTACCTTTTCCAGGAGGGAGCTATCCGTTCTGGGTTGATTCTGTTCCAGTGTATACAATTTCTCCATCTTTAACCATTTCATTCCACAGACCACAGAGCCCATCTCTTGTGAATGCAAGCTGGCAATGATAAATGAGATAAGCTCACACTCACACTGCAATTTTTAAAGAATGATATGGGAAAAAATCTCAATCGCCCTTATGTATTCGATCATTCGGTAATAAAATCAATGATTTACTGAATTAGTGACTTAATCATTTTACATTTCATGAAAGTCATCCAAGAAATATAAATGAAAAGGTGCATAATAGTATAAATACTATTCTACCTCTTATGTAACATACAAGAAAAATGACACATGGTCGGGCGAGGTGGCTCATGCTTGTCATCCCAGCACTTTGGGAGGCCGAGCGGGGCACATCACGGGGGATCAGGAATTTGAGACCAGCCTGGCCAACACGGTGAAACGCCGTCCCAACTAAAAATACAAAAAATTAGCCAGGCGTGGTGGCGGGCGCCTATAATCCCAGCTACTCACGAAGCCGAGGCAAGAGAATTGCTTGAACCCAGGAGGCAGAGGTTGCAGTGAGCCAAGATCGCGCCACAGCACTCAGCCTGAGTTGATAAGAGCGAGACTCGGTGTTAAAAAAAAAAAAAAAGAAAAAAAAAAAAAAGACACACACACAAACACACACACGTGCATATGCTCTGAAAAGATAAACCGAAAGCAAGTACCAATGACTACCTACGGGGAAATGGGGAGGGGACATGGACAAAGGCAGCAGGACCAGAAAAAGCAACAACATTGTGAGTATACTTTAGATGTCTTTACTTCTGAAACATACATGACTTTCATCCTCAAAAATTAAAATTAAATCATAAAAAAGCAAAACCTACAACTGGCAACAAGCAAATTAACCCATGCATATACAAAGAAAAGTATGTCAAGGGACTTTTGAACTACATATCATTAATAGAATATACTATAATGAAAAATAAAATATTTATCGGTATTGATAACACTCTCACAATTTTAGAACTACTTCATGTTGCACAATAAAGCAGTGTAAATACAATAAAACATGTTTATGATAAAGTATTAAATGTTCTTAGAAATTAAGGTTTTAGGCCGGCCATGGTGGCTCACACCCGTAATCCCAGCATTTGGCAGGCCAAGGCAGGTAAATCACTTGAGGTCAGGAGTTCATGACCAGCCTGGCCAACATGGTGAAACCCCATCTCTACTAAAAATATGAAAAATTAGCCGGGTGTGCTGGTGCATGCCTGTAATCCCAGTCACTCGGGAGGCTGAAGCAGAAGACTAGCATGAACCCAGGAGGCAGAGGTTTCAGTGAGCCGAGATTATGTCACTGTGCTCCAGCCTGGGTAAACAGAACGAGACTCCATCTCAAAAAAAAAAAAAAAAAAATTAAGGTTTTCAGTGGAAAAGAGGAAAAAAAATCAAAGAAATTTTGAAAAACAACTTAAATTGGAAATCTATGAACTTTATTTTTGAATATATTTGCTTACTCTGTTTTTTAAAGGACTAGAATCAAAGGCAATCTGACAGCGGCACCCAGATTTTGGTCTCTCAGAACCATTTCCCGATAAAAGACGCTAGGGCTCTTGGGAAAATAAGTAGATTCAAGGGCCAGGGCAGACAAAGATGAGCCTGTTTCCTCAAAGAAAAAGCTGTTTCCTCAAACATGGCCAGGTGCGGTGGCTCACGCCTATAATCCTAGCATTTTGGGAGGCTGAGGCGGGCAGATCACTTGAGGTCAGGAGTTCGAGACCAGCCTACCCAACATGCCGAAACCCCATCTCTTCTAAAAATACAAAAATTAGCTGGGCATGGTGGCAGGCGCCCATAATCCCAGCTACTTGGGAGGCTGAGGCAGGAGAATAGCCTGAACCCAGGAGGCGGAGGTTACAGTGGGCCAAGACTGTGCCACTGCACTCCAGCCTGGGTGACAGAGCAAGACTTTATCTCAAAAAAAAAAAAAAAAAAAAAAAAAAAGCAGCTGTTCAAAGACGATAGGGACTCCTGGCCAAATTTATAATAATTATAATAACTGTGAGCATCAAAATCAAAAACGCCTTTGCTTGTCAACATTTGTGAGTCAGAAAAGGCTTCCCAGAACAGGAAAAGGGAGCATTTCAGACACTGGGGGAAGGCATCCATTCTGAAAACTGCGTATGTGACAGAAGCTCCCTTGTCTGGCAAAACAAAAGCCATTTTTAATTAAAAGAGACAGATGTTTGCCCATCTTTTTTTTTTTTTTAACTTCTGTGGATACACACTAGTTGTATGTATATATATATGGGTTATATATTCTATCTAACTTTTTTTTTTTTTTGGAGACGGATCTCGTTCTGGCACTAAGCTGGAGTGCAGTTGTGCGATCTCAGCTCACTGCAACCTTTGCCTTCTGGGTTCAAGGGTTTCTCCTGCCTCAGCCTCCCGAGTAGCTGGGACTACAGGCTCACACCACCACACCCAGCTAATTTTTGTATTTTTGGTAGAGATGGGGTTTCACCGTGTTGGCCAGGATGGTCTGGGTCTCTTGACCTCATGATCCACCTACCTTGGCCTCCCAAAGAGCTGGGATTACAGGCGTAAGCCACTGTGCCCAGCCCTATCTAACTCCATTTTTATACCCATTAACCATCCGCACTTCACCCCCACTTTATCCTTCCCAGTCTCTGATAACCATCATTCTACTCTATCTCCATGAGTTCAATTACTTTCATTTGCTTAGCACCTACAAATAAGTGAGAACATGCAAAGTTCGATTTTCTGGGTCTGGCTCATGACATTCTGTTCCTGACTTAACATAACGACCTCCAGTTCTATCCATGTTGTTGCAAACGGCAGTATCCCATTCTTTTTCATGGTTGAATAGTACTCCGTTGAGTATATATACCACATTTTCTTCATCCATTCATCTGCTGGGAACACTTAGGTTGCTTCCAAATCTTGGCTATTGAGAATAGTGCTGCAATAAACATGAGAGTGTACATATTTCTTCAACATACTGATATTCTTTCCTCTGGGTATATACCTACCAGTGGGATTGCTGAATCATATGATAGTCCTATTTTTAGTTTTTTGAGGAACCTCCAAGCTAATCTCCATAATGGCTGTGCTAATTTACATTCCCACCAACAGTGCACAAGGGTTCCCTTTTCTCTATATTCTTGCCAGCATTTGTTCTTGTCTTTTGGATATAAGCCATTTTAATTAGGGTGAGATAATATCTCATTATAGTTTTGATTTGCATGTCTCTGATGACCAACCATGTTGAGCACCTGTTCGTATTGCCTGTTTGTCATTTGTATATCTTCTTTTGAGAAATGTCTATTCAAATCTTTTGCCCATTCTTATTGGATTATTAGATTTTTTTCCTATAGAGTTGCTTAAGCTAATTATATATTCTGGTTATTAATCCTTTGTCAGATGGGTAGTTTGCAAATATTTTCTCCCATTCTGTGGGTTGTCTCTTCATTTTGTTGATTGTTTCCTTTGCTGTGCAGCTTTTTAACTCAATGTGATCCCACTTGTCCATTTTAGCTTTGGTTGCCTGTGTTTACGAAGTATTACTCAAGAAATCATTACCCAGTGCAATGTCCTGGAGAGTCTCCCCAATGTTTTCTTTTAGCACTTTCATAGTCTGAAGTCTTAGGTTTAAGTCTTTACTCCATTTTGATGTGATTTTCGTATATGGTGAGAGATAGTGGTCTAGTTTCATTTTTCTGCATATGGGTGCCCCATTTTCCCAGCACCATTTATCAATGAGGCTATCCTTTCCCTCATGTATCCTCCGGGCACCTCTGTCAAAGGTGAGTTCACTGTAGATGTATAGATCTGTTTCTGGGTTCTCTATTCTGTTCCATTGGTCTAGGTGTCTGTTTTTATACCAGTACCATGCTGTTTTGGTATACCTTTCTAGTAAACTTTGCACTTGATCTAAGCCAAAAAAGACCAGGAAGTGACTGTAGTATAATTTTAAGTCAGATAATGCAATTTCTCCAGTTTTGTTTTTTGCTCAGGATGGCTTTGGCTATTCTGTCTCTTGTGATTCCATACAAATTTCAGGATTTTTTTTTCTATTTCTGTGAAGAATGTCATTGGTATTTTGATAGGGATTACATTGAACCTGTAGATTGCTTTGGGTAGTACAGACATTTTAATATTGATTCTTCCAATCCATGAACACAGAGTAACTTTTCCTTTTCTGTGTGTCTTCTTCAATTTTCTGCATCAATGTTTTACAGTTTTCGTGGTAGAGATCTTTTCACTTCTTGGGTTAGGTTTATTCCTACGTATTTTACTTTATTTGTAGCTATTATAAATGGAATTATTTTTCTTGATTTATTTTTCATATTGTTCACTGTTGACATATAGAAATGCTACTGATTTGGCTGGGCAAAGTGGCTCATACCTGTAATCCCAGCACTTTGGGAGGCCGAGGCAGGTGGATCACCTGAGGTCAGGAGTTCAAGACCAGCCTGGCCAATGTGGTGAAACCCTGTCTCTACTAAAAATACAAAAATTAGCCAGGCCTGGTGGCAGGCGCCTGTAATCCCAGCTACTCAGGCGGCTAACACAGGCGGATCGTTTGAACCCAGGAGGCAGAGGTTGCAGTGAGCCGAGATTGCGCCATTGCTTTCCAGCCTAGGCCACAGAGTGAGACTCCATCTCAAAAAAAAAAAAAAAAAAAAGAGAGAGAGAGAAATGCTACTGATTTTTGTATGTTAATTTAGTATCCTGCAATTTTACTGAATTTATCAGTTCTAATCATTTTTTGGTGGAGTTTTTAGGTTTTTCCAAATATAACAATCATCTGCAAACAAGAGTAACTTGGCATCTTCATTTCCAATTTAGATGCCCTTTATTTCTTCTTCTTTTTTTTTTTTTCTGAGATGGAGTCTTGCTCCATAGCCCAGGCTGGAATATAGCGGCACAATCTCAGCTCACTGCAATCTCCACCTCTGGGGTTCAAGTGATTTCCCTGCCTCAGCCTCCCGAGTAGCTGGGACAACAGACACCCGCCACCACGCCTAGCTAATTTTTATATTTTTAGTAGAGATAGGGTATCACCATGTTGGCCAGGCTTCAAACTCCTGACCTCAAGTGATCCACTCACCTCAGCCTCCCAAAGTGCTGGGATTATAGGTGTGAGCCACTGCACCCGGCCTTTCTCTCTCTTATCTGACTCCTCTAGCAAGGGCTTCCATTATTATATTGAATAACAGTGGTGACAGTGGGCATCCGTGTCTTGTTCCAGATCTTAGAGGAAAGGCTTTCAGTTTTTCACCTTTCAGTATGATACTAGCTGTGTGTCAGTTGTATATGGCTTTTATTGCGTTGAGGTGTGTTCCTTCTATAACCAGTTTTTTGGGGTTTTTATCATGAAAGGATGTTGAATTTTATCAAATGCCTTTTCAGCATGAATTTAAATGATCATATGGTTTTTTATCCTTCATTCTATTGATATGATGTATCAAACTGATTGATTTGGATATGGTGAACCATCCTGGCATCCCTGGGATAAACCCCACTTTGGTCATGATGAACGATGTTTCTAATGTGTTGTTGAATTCGGTTTGCTGGTATTTTGTTGGGTATTTCTGCATCAATGTTCATCTGGGATACTGGCCTGTTTTGTTTTTTTGATTATGTCTTTGTCTGGTTTTGGTATCAGGGTAATATTGGCCTTCTACAGTAAGTTTGGAAGTATTCCCTCCTCCTCTATTTTTCAGAATAGTTTCACTAGGATTGGTAATAGTTCTTCTTTAAATATTTGGTAAAATTCAGCAGTGAAGTCACTGGGTCCTGGGGTTTTTCTTTGCTGGAAGACTTTTTATTATTACAGTTTCAATCTCATTACCTGTTATTGGTATGTTCAGGTTCTGGATTTCTTCATGGTTCAAACTTGGAAGGCTGTATGTGCCTGTGAAATTATCCATTTCTTTTTCCTTCTTTTTTTGAAGACACAGTCTCACTCTTTCACCCAGGGTGGAGTGCAGTAACATGATCTCAGCACACTGCAACCTCCCCCTCCCAGGGCTCAAGTGACTCTCGTGCCTCAGCCTTCCAAGTGGCTGGAATTACAGGCACGCAAAACCACACCTGGTTAATTTTTGTATTTTTAGTAGAGATGGAGTTTCACCATGTTGGCCAGACTGGTCTCAAACTCCTGACCTCAAGCGATCCACCCGCCTCAGCCTCCCAAGGTGCTGGGATTACAGGTATGAGCCACCACGCCCAGCCTGCAAACTTATCTATTTCTTCCATGTTTCCCAATTTATTGACATATAGCTGTTCATAGTCTCTAATGATCCTTTGAATTTCTGCAATATCAGTTGTAATGCCTACTTTTTCACCTCTGATTTGGGTCTTCTTTTTCTCTTAGCCTGCCTGAAAGCTTGTCAATTTATCTTTTAGAAAAACCAACTTTTCATTTCATTGATCTTTTGTATTATTTTCTTCATTTCAACTCCATTTTATTTCTGCTCTAATTTTTATTATTTCTGTCCTTAAAATTATGGGTTTGGTTAGCTCCTTCATTTCTAGTTCTTTAAGATGTATCATTAGGTTATTTATTTGAAGTTTTTCTACTTTTTTGATTTTCCTCTTAGTATTGCTTTCACTATATCCCACAGGTTTCGTATGCTGTGCTGCCATTGCCATTTGCTTCAAGAAATTGTTTAATTTCATTCTTAATTTCTTCACTGACCTGTTGGTCATTCAGGAGCATATTGTTTAATTCCCATGTGTTGGTGGAGTTTCCAAAATTCCTCGTTATTGATTTTTAGTTATAGTCCATTGTGATCAGAGAAGATACTTAACATAATTTTTTTAACTTTTATATGGCAAAAGAGGAATCTAGCTTCATTCTTCTGCATATGAATATCAAGTTTTCCCAACACCATTTATTGAAGAGATTGTCTTTTCCCCAGTGTTTGTTCTTGGTACCTTTGTCGAAAATGAGTTCACCGTAGATGTGCGGATTTGTTTCTGGATTCTCTATTCTGTTCCGTTGGTCTGTGTCTGTTTTATGCTAGTACTATGCTGTTTTGGTTACTATAGCTCTGTAGTATAATTTGAAGTCAGGTAATCTGATTCCTCCAGTTTGTTTCTTTTCAATTATGAGAGCTTCGGCTATTCTGGGTCTTTTGTGGTTCAACATGAATTTTAGGATTTTTTTTTTTTCTGTTTCTGTGAAAAATGTCATTGGTATTTTGCTAGGGATTGCACTCAATCGGTAGATTGCTTTGGGTAGTATGGACATTTTAACAATATTGATTCTTCCGATCCATGAAGATGAAATATTTTTCCATCTTTTGTGTCCTCTTTAATGTCTTTCATCAGGGTTTTAGAGTTTTCATTACAGAGATCTTTGTAATTATCTTCTTTGGTTACTTCCCAGGTACTTAATTTCATGTGTGGCTACTATAAATGGGATTAGTTTTCTAATTTTTTTCATATTGTTTACTGTTGGCACACAGAAATGCTACTGATTTTTGTATGTTGATTTCGTATACTGCAACTGTACTGAATTTATCAGCTCTAATCATTTTCTTGTGGAGTCTTTAGGTTTTTCCACATATAAGATCATATCATCTGCAAACAAGGATAATTTGACTTCTTCCTTTCCAATGTGGAGGCCTTTTATTTCTTTCTCTTGTCTGATTGCTCTAGCAAGAACTTCCAGTACTATGTTGAATAACGGTGGCCACACTGAGCATCCTTGTCATGTTCCAGATCTTAGAGGAAAGACTTTCAGTTTTTCACCATTCAGTATGATACTAGCTGTGGGTCTGTCATATACGGCTTTTATTATGTTGAGGTATGTTTCTTCCATAATCAGTTTTAAGAGATTTTATCATGAAAGGATGTTGAATTTTATCAAATGCCTTTTCAGCATCGACTGAAATAATCACATGGTTTTTATCCTTCTGTTGACATGATGTGTCACATCGATTGATTTGCATATGTTGAACCATCCTTGTACCCCAGGGATAAACCCCACTTCATCACAATGAACGATCTTTCTAACGTATTGCTGAATTTGGTTTGCTAGTATTTTGTTGAGGATATTTGCATCAATATTCATCAGAGACATTGGCCTGTAGTATTCTTTCTTTGACGTGTCTTTGTCTGCTTTTAGTATCAAGGTTTCAATTTTTAATGACTTATTTTGTGGCCTAACATATGGTCTAACCTTGAGGACGATCCATGTGCTAAAGAGAACAATGTAAATTCTGCAGCCATCAGATGAAATGTTCTAGAAATATCTATTAAATCCATTTGGTCTACAGTGCAGATTAAGTTTGATGTTTCTTCGTTAATTTTGTCTGGATGATCTGATCTGTCCAATGCTGAAGTGGAGTGTTGAAGCCTCCATCTATTAATGTATTAACGCCTTTCTCTCTCTTTAGCTGTAATATTTGTTTTATGTATCTGGGTGCTCTAGTGTTGAGTGCATATATACATATATTTATAATAGTTATAGCCTCTTGCTGAATTGGCCCCTTTATCATTACATAATGACTTTTTTGGTCTCCTTTTATAGTTTTGGTCTTGAAATCTATTTGGTCTGATATAACCGCTATGCTCTTTTGTGATTTCCATTTGCCTCTCCCTTTTTCCATCCCTCCGCACCGTCCTGAAGAGATGGTCTCCAATCTGAAGAAGCAAGCAGCCAATGAACTGCCTGTGGGGAGGGGCAGCCTCCAAGAGCCCAGGGTTTCAGTCCCACAACCACAATGGATTCAATTCTACCAATGAGGACCTGAGCTCCAGATGACAGCGTGCCCTAGCCAACACCTTGACTACAGCCTGTGACACCTGAAGTAGAGGATAGAACTAAGCTATGGCCAGACTCCTGACCCACAGAAACTGTGAGAGTGTAAATGCTTGTTGTTACAAGCTGCCAAATTTGTGTTTGGTAACTTGTTCTGTAGCGACAGAAACCAAGCCAGCATCCTTCAGTTTTTGTAGAAGGAACAGCTTTCTCTCAGCACTGTTATTTTTTCTGTTCACATCACTAACAGGATAACTGCCATAAACATACTTGGAACCAAAACATATGACTTTTGGTAAAAATATCAGCTGGTGGGGGAGAGGTAAACTCCTTCCTAAAAAGTGAGCCCTGGCCAGGTAGAGTGACTCACATCTCTAATCCCAGCACCTTGGAAGACTGAGGCAAGAGAATCACTTGTGCCCAGGAGTTCAAAACCAATCTAAGCAACATAGCAAGACCCTGTCTCTACAAAAAAAATTGTAAAATTAGCCAGAAAGCTGGGCATGGTGGCTCACACCTGTAATCCCAGCACTTGGGAGGCCAAGGCAGGTGAATTGTTTGAGCTCAGGAGTACAAGACCAGCCTGAACAACATGGCAAAACCGCATTTCTACCAAAAATACAAAAAATTAGCCAGAGGTGGTGGCGCGCCTGTACTCCCAGCTACTTGGGAGGCTGAGGTGGGAGAACTGCTTGAGACCAGGAGGTAGAGGTTGCAGTGAGTTGAGATCACTCCACTGTACTCCAGCCTGGGCAATAGAGCAAGACCCTGTCAAAAAAAATTTTTAATTTAAATTTAAAAAATTAAAATAATATAAAAAATAAAATTAAAAAGTGAGCCAAAAACATTCAGGGCCCCTGAAGTTTAACGAGTGAATGGAAAGCTTTGACTCTTCTAGTCTTCAGTCAGAGGAGAGCAGTGAATACGTGCACTGGGGTTCAGTCCAAACCCTACCACAATGCACATGATAAGAGGCTAACAGTGGTCAGAACTCACAGCTCCATGTGGGCCGTGCTCCAGGAGTTTCAGACTATCTTTAGGCACTCAAGGGAATACGACATTTGACCCGTGTCTTAAAGTGTTTCAGAAAACAGAAACAGAGAAGGTGAACTAAGAAGCTATTACTGGCCACGCACGGTGGCTGACGCCTGTAATCCCAGCACTTTGGGAGGCCAAAGCGGGTGGATCATGAAGTCAGGAGATAAAGACCATCCTGGCTAACACAGCGAAAACTCATCTCTACTAAAAATACAAAAAATTAGCCAGATGTGGTGGCACGCGCCTATAGTCCCAGCTACTCGGGAGGCTGAGGCAAGGGAATTGCTTGAACCTGGGAGGCGGACGTTGCAGTGAGTGGAGATCGCACCACTGCACACCAGCCTGGGTGACAGAGTGGGACTGCATCTCAAAAAAAAAAAAAAAAAAAAAAGGCTATTACCAAGGGTCCAAAAAAGAAAGGATGACAGCAGAAGTCAACACAGGGAAGTACAGTCTTTAAGATTATTTCAGGCAGGGCACGGTGGCTCACATTTGTAATCCCAGCAGTCTGGGAGGCCGAGGTGGGCAGACTGCTTGAGCCCAGGAGTTCGAGACCAGCCAGAGCAACACGGTGAAACCCGGTCTCTACAAAAAATACAAAAATTAACCAGGCGTGGTGGTACGCACCTGTAGTCCCACTACTCAGGGAGCTGAGGTGGGAGGATCACCTGAGCCCGGGGAGGTTAAGGCTGCAGTGAGCCGTGACGGTGCCACTGCATTCCAGCCTGGGCAACAGAGTGAGACCCTGACTTAAAAAACAAAAAAAGAAACTATTTCAAATCACGTAAGTTAAATCAAATGTGAAAGGGAAAATAAGGGAGGGAACAGAAGAGGAATGAGAATTAGTTCCGTTTTAACCACTAAGATTTGCACTAACTACTGAACATAAACATGGAGCTCCTCCCCACTCCACCAACCCTCAGTAAATATAGATCCAGATCTTAGCAGAGTGTTCAGGGCTAGAGACTCAAATCTGGGAGTAGTCAACAAATGGACTGTAGGTGGTGTCCTGGAGAAGATGCCAACACCCAAGCAGAGAGGGGAGACCCCTGCCCAGCCCTGAAAGCACTCTAAGATCGCCCCAGACTGGCTGGGCTCCACACATCAGTGTTCTGCGGTACAGCCTAGATTGAGAAACATTAGTGTTACAGAGGTACCATTTAAAAAAAAAAAGCCAAAAGATGGAACATTTAAAGACTAAGCCAAGGAGGAAGCCCAGTTTACATGGAAACAAGAATAATTACCACCACCTTTCGATTATTACCTGGGTAGCACTGGGAAGGAAGAGGATAGGCCAGACCTTGTCCTTCTGAGTAACAAGGAATTCTTTTTTGGAAGGTAGACACTGGACTCCTGGAAGGACATGCACTGTGGAAGCCTCCTAGGAACTGATGACCCAAATAAATGGTAAGCACCATTCAAAAAACAATTTGGGCACCTTAAAGGTGGAACATTACTAAGGCAATAAAGCAAGCCTCACTGGAGGAGGTCTCCAGAGAGTTAGACTGTGAACAAGCAAAAGTGAAGCCCAGGAGAAGAGCTCTCCAGATCACAGACAGTACAGGATCCTGACTGAGGAAGCAGCAGCCTGGGAACAACTGGAAGACAGCCGTGGCACTGAGAAGAATGGAGACTACAGGCAGGGCGTGGTGGCCCACGCCGTAATCCCAGAGCTTTGGGAGGCCAAGACAGAAGAACTGCTTGAGGCCAAGAGTTCAAGATCAGTCTGGGCAACATGGTAAGACCGTGTCTCTACAGAAATGTAAAAATTACCCAAGTGCATGGCACGTGCCTGTAATCCCAGCTACTCAGGAGGCTACAGCAGGACGGTCACCTGCACCCAGGAGTTTGAGGTTACAGTAAGCTCTGATCACACCACAGCATTCCAACCTGGGTGACAGAGACCCTATTCATTTAAAAAAAAAAAAAAAGAAAGAAAAAGAAAAAAATGAATGGGACTTTCCATTTGTAAAGTGAGAGTATTTATTTCTACAACTGTCTCCAATTAGCTTTTTATTAGTAGCTGACTTACCTAAACGTGCCCAGTAGCTTTTCAACTTTTGACTTTTTTGGTTCAGATCCCAGAAGCTTCTAATTAGGTTATTTGGGCTAAGAACTCTTTTCCAATCTTTTCCAATCTCACATTCCTATCTTACACCTCTGAAATGACATGGCAAGTAAAGGCACTTTCATCGTCAAAAGACCCCAGCAAAAGAGGCAGTAACAGGCTCACTTTTTGTAAGTTACTAAACTGAAGCTCAGAAGGCCAATGACTTGACCAAAGGCCACACAACACTGAGGCTGTGAGAGGCGGGATTTGGGAAGAGGCCCAACTCCAAGGCTTATTCGCTTCCCACCAACACCATAACATGCACCCACACCTGCAGCACGGCAGCCAGGGCAAGCCTTCACGCTCCCATACATAGGCCACCAATATTTTAATACCAATCAGGACTAGGCAAGCAAACAGTTAAGGCATTTTTTTTTTTTTTTTTTTTTTAAGACAGAGTCTTGCTCTGTCGCCCAGGCTGGAGTGCAGTGGCGCCATCTTGGCTCCCCGGGTTCATGCCATTCTCCTGCCTCAGCCTCCCAAGTAGCTGGGACTACAGGCGCACGCCACCACGCCCGGCTAATTTTTTGTGTATTTTTAGTAGAGACAGGGTTTCACCGTGTTAGCCTGGATGGTCTCGATCTCCTGACCTTGTGATCCACCCGCCTCGGCCTGGGATTACAGGCGGGAGCCACCGCACCCAGCCCGTTAAGGCATTTATTAAAGTGACTTCAGAACTATAGAGTCAGGCAATAAAATCCAAAACTGAATAATATAACAAATGAATATCTGATTAATGTATAGGTTAGAAAATGTTTCTTTTTCATGTCCTTACAATTTGACAGAAAAGTAATCTTCAAATATTTGCAGATGAGTAAAGGTATACGGCTTTTTTTCTTAAACCTACAGAAAAATACTAAACACCTACTGAACGTAGGACAACATATGAAAAAATGTTAAGAACAGGTTCCTAGAACAATTAGAAAGGTCAGACAGGAACATTAAGTACGTCGATTTGAAGACATCCTAGAAGCAGCAAGGGAGTGAGGTCTTCCTAAAGTCTAAGACCCACGAGAGGAAGAAAGAGGCCCAGAGAACCTAAGCACGCAGGGATGAGACTGAGAAGCAAAACGGAGCTTCTGAGAGACTCCCAGGGCCCTCATACAGGAGAAAGAGGCCTGGCAGATCCCATGCTCTGAGCTGGAACCTCAAAGGGCCACACACCAGAAATACAGGTGAGTTAGAAGTAGACCAGCCTTCACGGAAAACCAGCCCAGTTTTGCATTCTCTCAATTTCCAAAGGGACTGCAGTGACCTGGGATTGCCTAGAACATCCTCTCTGGAGGAAGATATTGTTACCTAGAGCCTCGATTTATTGCTACAATATTGCATATACAATATCTGAAAGTCAAGCAAATATAATAATGACAAAGATACAAGACCACATCATTGAAAAATGAAAAAAAAATAGAAGTCATTAGAACAGACCGAGTAGATCCTGAAAACAGAAATATAAAGACTTCTGTCGTGAAAGAAGAGCCTGAGGAATGAACTGAAGTGTTGACACTCTGCTCAGCAGATGTCAGCTCGGGGCAATGGGGTGAGGGAAGTGGGAAAGTGAGACAAGGAGATCAATGAAGTAACGATATGCAGTATATGACTTCACAGTCAGCTAAGTGTGATTTTAGCCTACTCTGCCTATGTAGGAGCCATTCTTATTTCCTTTAATTTCCTAAAAAAAGAAAAATATATATTAAAAAAGAGTGATTTTATATTTTTCAATGGTTGCAACATAATCAAAAGAATCATATGTCAGCCAAGCACGGTGGCTCACACCTGTCATCTCAGACTTTGGGAGGCCAAGGCGGGCGGATCACGAGGTAAGGAGTTCACGACCAGCCTGGCCAACATGATGAAACCCCATCTCTACTAAAAATACAAAAAAAAAAATTAGTGAGGCATGATGGTACACGCCTGTAATCCCAGCTACTCCAGAGTCTGAGGCAGAACAATTGCTTAAACCCAGGAGGTGGAGGTTGCAGTGAGCCAAGATCGCGCCACTGCACTCCAGCCTGGGCAACAGAGCAAGACTCCCTCTCAGAAAAAAAAAAAAAAAAAAAATCATATGTCAACAAATGAAAATTATATGACATTCAAATTCTGGTATCCACAAAGTTTTCCTGGAATATAGCCATACACATGTTTGGCAGCTTCTCGCAGGACAATGGCCAAGGTGAGCTGTTCTAAAAGAGCACGTACGGCCCACATAAACATTTACTATCTGGTGCTTTACAGAAAAAATGTGCTGACCCCTATGTTAGTGCCACCTCTTCTCAATGAGCTGCAAATACAACCAACTGTTCAGCCAGCACATTCACTAGGCATATGTGGCTTTTCCAGAAGGTTTGCAAGAAGAAACTACACCATAAAATAGTCCAAAGAGGAAAGAAAAAAGGGAGGAATAAAAACACTGAGTTCCCTCATCTCTCCTTGTAAAGTGGTGAACGTTCATACCACAAGGAATTCACACCCACACACACTCGCCACACCTTCCAGGCTGTGTCACTGGCTCCTTGGTAGGCAGTCAGGAAGCCATACTCCAACTCTCTTGCGTGACATCACAGCGGAGACTGGAGCCGAAGGGCGGCTCACAGGCATGAGTCAGCCAAGAGGGACAGAGAGAGGCGGCTAAGGAATCTATGGGGTCGGACAAGGTTTATAAACACACTTTTAAAATAACTACCTTTAATAGAGTCAAGCAATTAAAAGATCCTATTAACAGCCGGGCACGGTTCATGCTTGTAATCCCAGCACTTTGGGAGGCCAAGGCAGGCGGATCACGAGGTCACGAGTTCAAGACCAGCCTGGCCAATCTGGTGAAACCCCGTCTCTATTAAAAATACAAAAATTAGCCAGGTGTGGTGGCGGGCACCTGCAGTCCCAGCTACTCGGGAGGCTGAGGCAGGAGAATCACTTGAACCCAGGAGATGGAGGTTGCAGTGAGCCGAGATTGTGCCACTGCACTACAGCCTGAGCGACAGAGCGAGACTCCTTGTCAAAAAAAAAAAAAAAAAAAAAGATCACATTAACAATTTCAACACAGAAGTTGAAACTAGAAAAAAGTACCTAAAGTGGCAGTTAAAGAAACTGTCAAACATTTCAAACTAAACATTTTAAAGGGATGTGTTTAATATAATTATACCTCAATAAAGTTGATATGTTTAAAAAATGGAAATTCTGGAATAGAAAAATATAATAGTAAAATTTAAAACTCAATGGATTTGATTAAAATCAGATTGGGAAGGCCTGTGCTTCCTCCACCTATAAAGGATGAATTCTGTAGAAATCACTTCCTTGCTATAATCAACTAGAAAACCAGACAGAATATACCGAAAAGCTGTTACCAAAAACTGGACAACAGACAGCCCAGAGCTGGGATCCCTGAGAGAAGGGAAACACTGCCCAGAAGCAGCTTCCAGGCTGCAGCACAGGAAAGGGGAACCCAAATAGAGCCCAAAGAACTTGCTGAGCTCAGGAGACAGATCAGCTATACGTAGGCCAAATGACAAGAATACAGCAAGCTCCAGAGATGAGTGGAGGGGCCCCTTGAGTATCTGTCTGAGTACTACTCTGAGCATAGGTTAAGAAAACTATGGAATACTGGGGAAAGCAGCACTAGAAAGTAATAAGCAGCACTGCCATGATGCACAGTCTGGGAAAAGCCTGTGTTTCCACAAACAAGGACAGAAAGATCTTCTCATACACCAAGCATCAGGTGGAGTCCTGAGAACAGTATTGCCTTCGTTGTATGGATAAATGAGCCCAAGAGTAAAGCCTGTGTGGATCAGCCTAACAAACCTCAGAATCAAGCTTTGAAAAGATCAAACTGACCCCATGTAACTTACATGTATGGCAGAAGAAAACTAAGGCTCTTTAAAAAAATAAAACAAAATCCTGCACAGAAGATAAAATTAATGCCTAGCATTCAATCAAAAATTAGCAGGCATACAACCATGCCCCCATAACTAGGGCAATCAATCAATAGAAATGACAGAATCAATCAACAGAGATGGATCTAGAAGTGATCAGAGATTACAGAATTCACAGACAAGGACATTAAAAGCTCTCTTACAGAAATTCTCCCTATACTAATAGAAGGAAAGCATGAATGTTATAAGGAGTGAAACAGAAGATATAAAAAGGACTCAAATGGAATCTCTAGAAATGAAAATACAAAATGGATGGATGAGATTAACAGAACTGCATAACAGTTACAACCATAATCTACAATGTCTAAGCACATGGCTATGCCATGCTCTCTCCCTTAACACTCATGCAGTCTAGGTTTAACAAATAACTGTTTCATGCCCATCATCAGTTGCAGGTTGATCTACAGTCATCCAGTTGTCTAAAGATCTTTCTCCACTCCATTCCTAAGGAAGGGCTCATGAGAACAATACTTCCTAAGTTACAGCTCACTGAGAAGTTTGTGTGTTTTTCATCTGAAAAGTCGGTTTTGCTGGAACAAAAAATGCTTTACTCACATTTTCTTTTCTTGAGTGCCTTAAACAGGATACTCAATTTCTTCTTCATAAAGAATTGTCATCTGCTGGGCTCAGTGGCTCACTGCTGTAATCCCACCACTCTGGGAGGCCAAGGCAGGTGGACTGCCTGAGCTCAGGAGTTCAAGACCAGCCTGGGCAACATGGTGAAACCCCATCTCTACTAAAAATATAAAAAATTATCTGGGTGTGGTGGTGCACACTTGTAATTCCAGCCACTTGGGAGGCTGAGGCACGAGAATGGCTTGAACCTGGGAGGTGGAGGTTGCAGTGAGCTGAGATAGTGCCACTGTACTCCAACCTGGGCAACAGAGTGAGACTCTGTCTCAAAAAAAAAAAAAAAAAAAAGGAATTGTCATCAAAGTCCTACGGCTAAACCCTTTTCCTTTTTTTTATAACAAGTATTGCTAGTCTTTTCCAAGAACCAAAGTTAAAAGTTAGTTCTTTAAAACACCAGGCCAGGCACAGTGGCTCACACATCTAATCACAGCACTTTGGGAGGCCAAGGCAGGAGGATCACTTGAATGCAGAAGTTCTAGACCAGCCTGGACAACAAAGCAAGACCCTGCCTCTACAAAAAACTTTTTTTTTTGCTGCAAAATGCTCTTAATTAACCTGACAAAATGCCACATACAGGGTTACTGCATCTTTTTTATCATGGAATTTTGAAAACAAAAATTGTTCTCTTGAGGCAGCAGTATTTGGATATTAGAGGTAAAAACCACCCTTAGAATCCAGTCCTAAAAACATCAATGAATATTCCTATATTTACAAATTCTTCTATTTCTACATGTCATCTATCAACAGGATTATGAACCTGAAAGCCTGAGAATAGAATTTATCAAGATACTCATGTTTGTACTTTTTTTATCTACTGCCCTTTTTTATTTTTTTTGAGACAGATTCTCGCTCTCTCACCAGGCTGTAGTGCAGTGGCGCGATCTCAGCTCACTACAACCTCCGCCACCTGGGTTCAAGCGATTCTCCTGCCTCAGCCTCCTAAGTAGCTGGGACTACAGGCACGTGCCACCACACCCAGCTAATTTTTGTATTTTTAGTAGAGATGGGGTTTCACCATGTTCGCCAGGATGACCTCGATCTCCTGACCTCAGCCTCCCAAACTGTTAGGATTACAGGCTAAGCCACCACACCCGGCCATCTACTGATATTTCTAAGCATGAAGTGACATTTTTTTTTTTTTGAGAAGGAGTCTTGCTGTGTTGGCCAGGCTGGAGTGCAATGGCATGATCTCGGCTCACTGCAACCTCCACCTTCTGGGTTCAAGCAGTTCTCCTGCCTCAACCTCCCAAGTAGCTGGGATTACAAGCGCACACCACCACACCTGGCTCATTTGTATTTTTAGTAGAGACAGGGTTTCACCATGGGGGCCAGGTTGGTTTTGAACTCCTGACCTCAAGTGATCCGCCCTCCTCGGCCTCCCAAAGTGCTGTGATTACAGGCGTGAGCCACCGCGCCCAGCCGAAGTGACTATTTATATACAATAAGTTTAACTGTAAAAGCTTACATTTATGCGTGGTCATTTTTAATTGATGATTAGATGAAGAGACAAATAAATGGTCCCAGTTTAGCTACTGATATACTCAACAAACCTTGACGGACCTGAGGGCATTATGCTGAGTAAAGAAAATCATTTCCGAAGGTCACATATCACTTGGTAATCTCACAGTAACAAAATTATAGAGATGAAGAACAGATCAGTGGTTGGCAGGAGTTAGAGATGGTGGCAGAAGAGAGGCAGGAGAGAGATCTTTCTGGTGATGAAACAGTTCTGCATAGGAAATTGTAGTAGTAGTTATATTTACAGACACTTGATAGAATGGCACAGAACTACGCACACACATTGTACCAACTTCAATTTCTGGGTTTTTATACTCTATTATGGTTACATAAAATGTAACCACTGGGGCAGTATGCGCAAATATACAATGACCTCTCTAGTTTCTTTACAACTTCCTGAGAGTCTATTATTATTTCAAAATAAAAAGTTTTTTTAAAAATTGCTTCATGCATATCTAGTTTCATGTGCCACTTAAAAAAGAACCCAAAAATAGAAACTGTAGGAAATTCATCTGAGTGCAGCTTATGCAAGAAGGGGCAGGATAACTCCATTCTGGACCTATGCTCAAAGACATGCACCTTTACCTTACAACAAAACTGGCGAACAGGCATGTGTTTTAAGAATAAAAAGCTTTTAAGGTCTCATATATTGGTTTTTATGATTCCTTTGCTTAACTGACTTTTTGGTTTGCTAAAAAACTACCAATCACATCAGATTAGAAGTACTTTCACGGTAAAAATAAAAAGTGATGTGACTGACACCTCTTACCTCTGTAATGTATTACTCTTCACGAGAGCAGTGAAGGAAAACATGGTGATTCAATCACTCCACACATCAAGCAGAAAAGAGTGTTGAACAGGCCAGGCGCGGTGGCTCACGCCTGTAATCCCAGCACTTTGGGAGGCCGAGGCGGGTGGATCACTTGAGGTCAGGAGTTCAAAACCAGCCTGGCCCACATGGTGGAACCCTGTCTCTACTAAAAGTACACAAAATTAGCCAGGCGTGGTGGTGGACACCTGTAGTCCCAGCTACTCGGGAGGCTGAGGCAGGAGAATGGCATGAACCCAGGAGGCTTGCAGTGAGCCAAGATGGCACCAATGCACCCCAGCCTGGGAGACAGAGTGAGACTCCGTCTCAAAAAAAAAAAAAAAAAAAAGTGTTGAACAATTAAACTGTTTATATGTAATAACCAGATATATATGCCTGGCATAAAATGAGCCCTGCATTAGAGGTTGCTGGATGTAGGGTCCTAGGCCTGACGTATCCAAATAATGTCTATGATAAAGAAGTCAATAAGTGCTCTCTATAACACACAAGCATTATAAGTTTTCACACTCCAAAAACTCTTCCTTTCTAAAGTTACTAAAACTTTTAAGGGCATTTCAAACAAAAACAGCTGTGGAAAACAGATCGGTTAAATCCTATGGCTAAGAAACATCTTCCTATCCCATGTATTATTCATTACCCAGGTGTCAATTCTGTTTCCAATACAAAAGTCTCAAGCAGTGAAGCGCTTCCCACTCCAGCTGGGAGAGCCATCCTCAACAAGATAAGGGTAAAACCTGTGAGCACAAGGCTTCCATCTGCAATTCCTGTCTGCAGGGAAGCTCCCCAAAGAGGGAAACCATGTCTTATTCCTTACGGTAAAACACCACCATTCATTCCTTGTGTTTAACAACCAATGCTGGTGGAACATAAAACAAAACTTAGCAATCACTTTTTTCATGCTACTTAGACCTGTAACACATTTTTCCTCTGGTGCACACTATCCAAAACCTAGTCGTTTCCCTTACTCCTAGGAGGAATTTAGATGACTTTTTTTTTTGGCCAGGTGCAGTGGCTCACGCCTGTAATCCCAGCAATTTGGGAGGCCGAGGCAGGCAGATCGCTTTGAGGTCAGGAGACCAGCCAGGCCAACACAGTGAAACCCCATCTCTACTAAAAATACAAAAATTAGTCGGGCATGCATGGTGGCACACACTTGTAATCCCAGCTACTCGGAAGGCTGAGGTGGGAGAATCACTTGCATTCGGGAGGCGGAAGTTGCAGTGAGCCAAGATTGCGCCACTGCACGCCAGCCTGGGCGACAGAGCAAGACTGCGTCTCAAAAAAAAAAAAAAAAGACTTTCTAATCATATTGGAAATGTGTAACAAGGACCAAGTACTGTGTATTAAACTTAATAAATCAAAACAACAGGCCCTCTAAGATATAAATGGTGCTTCACTGTATGTTTATCTGCCCAACCCATCATAGGAACTCAATTCAGCATTAAACTGGTTTTAGATCAAGACACTAGAACTCATGTTTAGCAGTTATTAAATTACAATTATTAAGAAAAAAACTTCATTACGTAAAGTCCTTTACTCCAAAAAGTTTCTCAAAATACATAAACACTAATATAAAAACGACTATTAAAACTTTGCCTGAATCTCAGGATTTCAGAAATATGAAAGTACTCATCTCTCACGTCTCCCATCCACTTAAAATGACAAAACAGATCATTATAGCTAAATCAAAGGAAATGTTTAAAGAGAAACAAACCCAAAGAGTAACTACACCAATTCTTGACCCAATTCTCTGTACTCTGTCTTATGTAACATTACACTATGAATAACAATCCCATCATCCACAACAGCTTTTTTTTTTTTTTTTGAAAAAAAAGCTCTCATTGTCCAGGCTGGAGTGCAACGGCACAATCTTGACCCATTGCAACCTCCACCTCCCGGGTTCAAGCGATTCTCCTGCCTCAGCCTCCCGAGTGGCTGGGATTACAGGCATACACCACCACGTCTGGCTAATTTTGTATTTTTAGTAGAGACGGGGTTTCACCATGTTGGTCAGACTGGTCTCCAACTCCTGACCTCAGGGCATCCACCCGCCTCGGCCTCCCAAACTGCCGGGATTACAGGCGTGAGCCACTGCGCCCAGCCACGCAACACAGCTCTAAACACTGGACTCTCATATCCACCAACACTCAATACCTGTTTAAAAAGAAAAAAAAAATTAGGAAGGGGCAATAACACTTCAGTGTAAGTATCCATGATCAACTACTGCTTAACAGCCTACACGACTTTTGATGAACAGTCAAGGCACATTACTTAATACTTAAAATGGTTAACCTTAGGGAGTAGGAAAATACAGACACACACAAAATATTTCAAACACTTCTTTTTGCTGCTGATAAGGAGTTCCAAAAGTAGTTTTTCCAAGCCATTTCCAAATAAAAGTAGATTGGGTGTAAAGAACTGTCTATCGAAATATTACCGTTATTATTTATTTAATAATGTCCTGACAAGCTTGCAATTATCTCATTAAATCAAAAAATTAGGATCTAAGGCCAACATTGTTTCCTCATATTCTTGATGTGAAAATCTGAGCACTCCTCTTAATAAGGAGTTACAAAGACAAAACAAACAGCTCAACTGAACTAACTCGTCTCTCCAGAAACACAAACACAAGACCTCATAAAATGAGTGAGTTTCTATAGGCCATAATTACTGCAACTTACTTCTCCAATTTTCCCCTCCACAGTTAACTCAACAGCTCAAAAACGATCAGTAACAAACAACAGTCACCATGATATGGTTAGGAGTGTGGCAGATTTCTTAACCAGTAATAATAAATAGGAAAAAAATTTTCTCTATTAATAGATCTCAAGTTTCGTGCACTTGCAAGAAACTAATTAAAAGGCAGCCGCGCACGATCTACAAAAACAGCCATAAGACTGTTACATTTTAAGTTACAGGAAATAAACCTGCTCCTCTAATTCAGCAAGATACAACTGACTTCCCCTTACATACCCTAAAAAAAAGCCTTACACGAGAAATTTAAACATGGAAGCAGAAACACACCAAGAAAAAGACATGTCAAACCCCACCTGTATATCTGTTTTCAACCATTTGGAGTCGAGGCGAGCCTGGGCAGCCAAACAGAAAGATTCAGAGGGCATCTTTTCTCCAGCTTCCTCCCAGGTCTCAGGCCTGCAAGTAAACACATACGCTGAAGACCTAATGCTTTTTAATAGTTTACAAAGACACTCCCGAAAGGTTCAATGCACAAAAGAAAAAAGAGAGAGAGAACAGAAAGGGGGGAGAGAAGAGCTGGTGGAGGGGAGAGAAGGGGAGAGAGGGAAAGAGGGAAGAGATGGAGGGAGAGGGAGGTGGGGAAGGGAAAGCCTCCTTCCAAGGTAGGCAGGGTGTGCCGAGTTTCTGCACCACGCTGACGAGACCTTGAGAATGGACGGTCACAGGAAGCCAAGTCACAATGTCATCCCCCTGCCCTCAAATCCAAGAAGTACACACACATAACACACATCGTTTTAACGACAAATGACAGCAGCATGAATCTGCCGCTTTACCCCACAGCAGGGCGCGTGCGTGAAACAAATTACTCAAAAGGATCGCCTGCAGAAAAACCCACAGCCACCACCACTTAAGAGATGGAGAGAGGCCCGAGGCTGCCCCGCGGGTGGTCCGCGCAGGCCCCGGTGCGGCCGCCGCGCCCACGCCCGCCTCCCGGGCTCGGCCGCCCGCCAGCCCCGCGCCCGTACCGCCCCCGCCACCGGCCGCCCAGGTGCCCCAGGCCAGGACCTGACGCGCAGGGCCCGGCCGCCTCGCCTCGCCGGCGCGCGGACGCAGCCTCCCAAGAGCCGCTGGCTCAGCCGGCGCCCGCGATCCCGGCGCCTCTCGCGGCCCGAGGGGCGGGCCGACGCGGGACTGCCGCCCCCCGCGTACGGCCAATCGCAACGAGGCTGCTCCGTGGGCGCAGCCAATGGGGAAGAGGAGCCCTTCGCCGCTCCTCCCGACTCTCCCGCTTCCAGCAATCCCGCTTATCTTCCTACTTGGAGCGCCCTGGCTGCGGCCAAGGCCAACAGCGGGCGCCGGAAGGCGGGATTTCCGCCGCACGCACGCACTCCCGCACTCCCACGGGAGACTGCTTGGCCCGGAGCGCTCTTGATCACGCCGCGGCGGGTGGTGGCGCTCACACTAACTATAGCTATCCAGGGCGCGGGTCGAGTGGCGAGACCAGCTCCCCTGGGTATGAGAACGCATCTTTGTGCGGTCGGCTGGCTGGGGCCTGAAGAGCTTCCTCCTGTGTGTTCAACTGAACGCAGCAAAAGTCTTGGGCAGATTCCATGGAGCAGCTGTGGAAGCACTGTGCAGGGAATCGAAGAAGGAAACACCTCCGGCGACCACAAAACAAAATTGAAGAACTATAAAACAATATAGGCCGGGCGTGGTGGCTCACGTATGTAATTCTCAGCGCTTTGGGAGGCCGAAGCGGGAGGATCCCTCGAAGCCAGGAGTTGGAGGATCCCATGTTGCCAGACTGGGCAACATAGCAAGACCCCATCTCTAAAAAATAAAAATAAAAAAATTTAACAATTAGCCAGGTGTGGTGGCACACACCTGTGATCCCAGCTGCTCGGGAGGCTGAGACAGGAGAATCGCCTGAGCCTGGGAGATCAATGCTACAGTGAGCTTAGATCGTGCCACTGCACTCCAGCCTGGGCGACAGAGTGAGATCCTGCCTCTAAGAAAGAAAAATAACGGCCGGGCGTGGTGGCTCAGGCCTGTAATCCCAGCACTTTGGGAGGCCAGAGCAGGTGGATCATCTGAGGTCAGGAGTTCAAAACCAGCCTGGCCAACATGATGAGACCCCTTCTCTACTGAAAATACAAAGATTAGCCAGGTGTGGTGGCACGTGACTGTAATCCCAGCTACTCGGGAGGCCGAGGCAGGAGAATCGCTTGAACCCGGGAGGCGGAGGTTGCAGTGAGCCGACATTGCACCACTGCACTCCAGCCTGGGGGACAGAGGCTGCACCACTGCAGCCTTGACTTACCGGGTTCAGGTGGTTCTCCACCTCAGCCTTGCCACTAGCTGGGACTGCAGGCACATGGAACCACACCTGGCTAATTTTTGTAGTTTTTGTAGACGGGATTTTGCCATGTTGCCCAGGCTGGTCTCGAACTCCTGGGCTCAAGTGATCCGCCCGCCTCAGTCTCCCAAAGTGCTAGGATTACAGGTGTGAGTCACTGCACTCGGCTAATAGTAATGAACTTTGAACAGAAGGAAAGTTGTTATTATTTTCTTGGTTATGTTCTATCTATATTTTCTAATTTTTCTAAACATGTAAAGATAAAATTCTAAAAACTCAGACCTCAGAACAAAAAAATTAGAGTATAAATATTTATTTTAGTTAACTTGTACAAATTTGGTTTCTGGAAAAAGAATGGAATAGATTTTCTGAGAAAAAAAATCCACCACTTTGGCCGGGCGCAGTGGTTTACGCGTGTAATGCCTGCACTTTGGGAGGCTGAGGCGGTGGATCACCTGAGGTGAGGAGTTCAAGACCAGCCTGACCGACATGAAGAAACCCCTGTCTCTACTAAAAATACAAAAATTAGTCAGGCCTGGTGGCACGCACCTGTAATCCCAGCTACTCAGGAGGCTGAGGCTGGAGAATCGCTTGAACCCAGGAGGCAGAGGTTGCAGTGAGCTGAGATCGCACCATAGCGCTCCAGCCTGGGTGACAAAAGGAAAACTCTGTCTCAAAAAGAAAGAAAGAAAAGCAGACTGGCTGAAAGGATTGAAGAACAAAATATGATCCACCAATGTGCTATCTACAAGATAAACATTTTAAATACAGAAACAGATTGAAAGTAAAGGGATACAAAGATACAATTAAAATAGTAACCAAAAAAGAGCTGAAGGGGCTGTACTAATATCAAATGTAATACACTTTAAATTAAAGCAGGGCTGGGCATGGTAGCTCAGGCCTGCAATCCCAGCACTTTGGGAGGTGGAGGCAGAGAGACACTTGAGCCCAGAAGTTCGAGATCAGCCTGAGCAACATGGCATAATCCCATCTCTACAAAAAATACAAAAATTAGGCGGGCATGGTGGTACCCACCTGTGGTCCCAGCTATTTGGGAGGCTGAGGTGGGAGGATCATGTGAGCTGGGGAAGTTGAGGCCGCAGTGAGCTAAGATCGGGCCCCTGCACTCCACCCTGGGCAACAGAGCGAGACCCTGTCTGAAAATAAAAAAAAATAAAAAACGGGGTTGAGAGACAAAAAAGGACATCCTTTTTTTTATTATTGTATTTTGAGATGGAGTTTCGCTCGTTGCCCAGGCTGGAGTGCAATCGTGTGATCTTGGCTCACTGCAACCTCCGCCTCCCGGGTTCAAGTGATTGTCGTGCCTCAGGCTCCCGAGTAGCTGGCATTACATGTGCCTGCCATCACGCCCAGCTAATTTTTGTATTTTGGTACAGACGGGGTTTCACCATGTTGGCCAGGGTGGTCTCCAACTACTGACCTCAGGTGATCCACCTGCCTTGGCCTCCCAAAATGCTGGGACTACAGACATGAGCCACCGCGCCAGCCGAAACCTTCATTTTAAAAAAGGCTGGGTCAGGCATCATGCCTCATGCCTGTAATCCCAGCACTTTGAGAGGGCAACGCAGGCGGATCACCTGACGTCAGGAGTTCGAGACCAGACTGACCAACATGGTGAAACCCCGTCTCTACCAAAAATATAAAAATTAGCCGGGTGTGGTGGCACACACCTGTAATCCCAGCTACTCAGGAGGCTGAGGCAGGAGAATTGCTTGAATCTGGGAGGTGGAGTTTGCAGTGAGCCGAGATTGTGCTGCCACACTGCAGCCAGGGTGACAGAGTGAGACGCCATCTCAAAAAATAAATAAAGGCTGGGTGCCAGATGTGGTGCATAGGCCTAGTTTGTTGACTCCTGTACTTAACATATAAAACTCTAAAGAACAGTGGGAAGGAGCTTCCCTCTAGAGGCACAGGACCGGCCAAGTTGGTCCCTGAGCAGTGACTTTATAATAACATGTTACACTGTGTTTTTTGTTTTTGTTTTGTTTTTTGTTTGTTTGAGACGGAGTTTCGCTCTTGTTGCCCAGGCTGGAGTACAATGGCGTGATCTCAGCTCAAAACAACCTCTACCTCCCAGATTCAAGCGATTCTCCTGCCTCAGCCTCCAAAGTAGCTGGGATTTCAGTCATGCAACACCATGCCCGGCTAATTTTGTACTTTTAGTAGGGATGGGGTTTCTCCATGTTGGTCAGGCTGGTCTCGAACTCCTGACCTCAAGGGATCTGCCCGCCTCGGCCTCCCAAAGTGCTGGGATTACAGGCGTGAGCCACCACACCCGGCCTATATTTTTTTTCTTTTTTTTTAGACACAGTCTGACTCCGTTGCCCAGGCTGGAGTGCAGTAGCGCGATCTTGGTTCACTGTAACTTCTGCCTCCCAGGTTCAAGCGATTCTCCTGCCTCAGCCTCCCAAGTAGCTGGGATTACAGGCATGCACCACCACATCCGACTAATTTTTGTATTTTTAGTAGAGATGGGGTTTCACCATGTTGGCCAGGCTGGTCTCAAACTCCTCACCTCAAGTAATCCGCCCGCCTCGGCCTCCCAAAGTGCTGGGATTACAAGGCGTGACCCACCGGGCCTGGCCCTGTGTGTTGTTTTATGTATGTTTCTATATGTGTTATATTTCACAATAAACTAAATATTAAAACAAAGAATAACTGATAGCTATGCACAAAGGTATTTAAATTTCACCCTCACAGATAATTTTTTTTTTTTTGAGACAGGATCTCACTCTGTTACCCAGGCTGGAGTGCAGTGGCACCACCTTGGTTCACTGCAGCCTTGACCTCCCAGGCCCAAGCGATCCTTCTACCTCAGCCTCCTGAGTAGCTGGGACTACAGGCACACTCCACCACACCCACCTAATTTTTGTATTTTTGGTAAAGATGGGGTTTCACCATGTTGGCCAGGCTGGTCTCGAACTTCTGGGATCAAGGAATCCTCCAACCTTGGCTTTCCAAAGTGCTGGTATTACAGGCGTGAGCCACTGTACCCGGCCAAGAATAGTTTCTTCTCCTTACCTAGGTAGAGACCTCTGCAGAAATGCTGGGAGATCTTTGGAGAGGGGAGATTTTTTAAATAAAAAATTTAATACTTGGAGGGGCGTGGTGGCTTACCCCTGTAATCCCAGCACTTTGGGAGGCCAAGGCGGACAGATCAGGAAGTCAGGAGATTGAGACCACCCTGGCTAACACGGTGAAACCCCATCTCTACTAAAAAAAAATACAAAAAATTAGCTGGGCATCGTGGCGGGCGCCTGTAGTCCCAGCTACTCGGGAGGCTGAGTCAGGAGACTGGCGTGAACCTGGGAGGCGGAGCTTGCAGTGAGCCGACATCGGGCCACTGCACTCCAGCCTGGGCGACACAGCAAGACTTCGTCTCAAAAAAAAAAAAAAATTAATACTTTGGGATGCCAAGGCAGGTGGATCACGAGGTCAGGAGTTCAAGAACTGCCTGGCCAAGATGGTGAAACCCCGTAAAAATACAAAAATTTGCCGGGCTTGGTGGCAGGTGCCTGTAATCCCAGCTATTCAGGAGGCTGAGGCAGGAGAATTGCTTGAACCTGGGTGGCAGAGGTTGCAGTGAGCCAAGATAGCACCACTGCACTCCAGCCTGGGCAATAAGAGTCAGACTCTGTCTAAAAAAAAAAAAAAAAAAAAAACTGATCTAGTTCAAAACCTCACTTTGAATCCACCCACATTGCTCTAAAATACTTTCATCTTTCCTGTGGCTAAAACCTTAAAGCCTTGCCAGTAACTCCCATTGCACTTAAGGAAATCCAATCTCCCTTGTTGTGGCCCCTGAACAGGCTGCTGCTGGCCCACCACGGTGCCTCTAGTTTGTGTAAAATGCATATGTTAATTTATAATATATGAGGCTTTTTTAGCTCTAAAAGGCTATTATTCACTAGTTGCTGTGTGAATCAGTATTTCTGGGTGCAGTTAGAAATTATTAGAGTTGATGCCCAAGACTCATCTCCATCAGCACGGGGGAGGCATCTGCTCGTTTTATGGTCAGTGACTCTGGGCCTCCTGCTGGGCTAAGTCCTGAGGTGGGTCTGACTCAGGTCAGAGCTGTGCACCCCGGCCCTCCTCCTCAACGTGCATGAGTGCTCTTTAGGATGGAGCTGAACACTGGCTTCTCAAAACCACTTGGCCCCATCACAGGCCCTGAGAACTGATTGGGTCACTCTGGTGGGCTCCCCAGCCCTAGCCAAGAAGGGTTTCTCTAGGGAGCCTGGCCCCCCACTTATGAGACCTGGAGCCCCAAAGATCCTGACCAGGGGCCTGCCTCCTCCAGGGAGGGGCCACTCGCCCCCACCAAGCTCCCTTCACAGAGACCCATCCAACAGAGCTGAGGAAAACCATGCCTCATAAATGAATAAATACATAAATAAGAATGCCGGGGACCTGTGGATTTTGTAATTCCTGAAAGAAGGCAGAGTGGCTGGCTCACAGCAAGCGCAGTAGGAGATACTGCTCCCCGGCCAGGCTGTTCTCTGTCTCTTTGGAGGGAGCCCTAGGGTACAAGAAAAGCCAGAGGAGACCAGCTGGCCCAGAAGGTGCCTCTCCACCCCTTCCCCAGAGTTTCTGGGAAACAAAGCCCACCCGAGGGACACATGCCTTCTTGGGAGTTGTACCAGGCCTCCTTCCTCATCCAGCCATGCAGTGGTTTTCAGTGCCCGAAACAGATGAATAAAATAGGCCCTTTACGGGATGTTCTTCAGGAACATGCACACTTCTTTGGATCTTACCATCGTTTTATCTCTATTTAAAGTTAAATGCTGTGTTATACAGAGTATTGGTAAAGATGTAGAGCTACAAGAACTGTCAAGCTGGCAGTAGCATAAAATTGTATAAGCACATTGGAAACCTGTTTGGCAGCTTCTACTAAAGCTATATCTATGCCTACCTTCAGAAATTCCATCCTAAGCATGTACACAAGAGAAACGAGTGCATATGTCCACAAAAAGACTTATATAAGAATGTTCACTGCCATTTTTATTCATAAGAGCCCCAAATGAAAACAACCTAAATGTCCATCAACAGGAGAGTGAATAAATGGTGATACAGTCACATCATGGAATACTACACAGCCAAAAAAGAAAAATGAAGTGGTAGGAACACTCAACGACATGGGTGAATAGAGGGAGCCAGGTATGAGAGACAGTGCACAGTACCAGCCCACCTAGATGAAGCGCAGGAAGACAGAACTGACGATGATTGAAGTCAGAAGAGTAGTTTCCTTTGTGGGAAAGTGTAGGTCAGGAAGGAGCCTTCTGGGGTACTACAAATCTGCCGTATTTTGGCTGGGTGCAACAGCTCACACCAGCACTTCGGGAGGCATAGGCGAGAGGGTCACTTGAGCCCAGGAGTTAGAGACCAGCTTGGGCAACACAGCGAGATCCCATCTCTACAAAAAAATTAAAAATTAGCGTGGCATGCTGGTGTGCACCTGTAGTCTCAGCTACTCAGGAGGCTGAGGCAGGAGGATTGCTTGAGCTTAAGAGTTTGAGGTTGCAGTGAGCTCCCAAAGTGCTGGGATTACAGGTGTGAGACACTATACCAGCCTGATTTTTAAATACTGACCAAGCCTTGTGTTACTGGGATAGGCATCACTTGGCCACGATTTACTACTCTCTTTCTTTTTTTTTTTTTTTTTTTTGAGACAGAATTTCACTCTGTCACCCAGGCTGGAGTGCATTAGTGCAATCTCAGCTCTCTGCAACCTCTGCCTCCTGGGTTCAAGCAATTCTCCTGCCTCAGCTTCCTGAGTAGCTGGGATTACAGGTGTGCACCACCACACCTGGCTAATTTTGTTTGTTTGTTGTTTGTTTTTAGTAGAGATGGGGTTTCACCATGTTGGCCAGCCTGGTCTCCAACTCCTGACCTCAAGTGATCCACCCTCCTTGGCATCCCAATATTCCTATGATTACAGGCGTGAGCCACTGCGCCCGGCCCTATTCTGTTTCTATATTGCTAAATTTGACTTGCTAACACGTTTTTGAGGATTTTTCTGTTGATGCTCATCAGGGATGTTGGTTTGCAGTTTTCTTTCTTTGTATTATACTATCTTGTCTGGCTTTCTGTCAGGGGAAAGCTGACCTTATACAAAGTATTGGCATGTGTTCCCTCCTTTTCCATTTTCTCTAAGGGATTGTGTAGAATTAGTGTTATTTCTTCTTTAAATGTTTTTGAATCCATCTGAACCTGGAGATTTCTTTCTAAAAGATTTTACGCCGGGCACGGTGGCTCGTGCCTATAATCCCAGCACGTTGGGAGGCTGAGGCAGGTGGATCACCTGAGGTCAGGAGTTTGAGACCAGCCTGGCTAACATGGTGAAACCCCGTTTCTACTAAAAATACAAAAAATTAGTCGAGCTTGGTGGCGTGCGCCTGTAATCCCAGCTACTCAGGAGGCTAAGGCAGGAGAATCACTTGAACCTGGGAGGCAGAGATTGCAGAGAGCTGAGATTGCACCAATGCACTCCAGCCTGGGTGACAGAGTGAGACTCCGGCTCAAAAAAAAAAAAAAAATTTTTACAAATTCAATTTATTTAACAGATACAGAACTATTCAGGTAACCTGTTTGTTTCTAGGAGGATTTTCCTGGTTTGTGGCACTCGGACATTGCTTTATTTCATCTAAGTTGTCTGATTTTTAAGTGTCAAGTTTTCCTTAGTGTTCTCTTGCTAACCGTCTGAAGTCTGTGGGGCCTGCAGTGATGTCCCTTCATTCATTCCTGATACTGATAATTTGTATCTTTTCTGTTTTTTTCTTTGTCAGTTTTCCTAGAGTTTTTCAATTTTGTTGATCTTTTCAAAGAATGATCTTTAAGTTTCATTAATTTTTCCCTTCTTTTTTTGCTTTCAATCTCATTAGTTTCTGCTTTTATCTTGGCATTTGTTCCTTTGGCTTGTTTTGCGTTCACTTTGCTCTTTTTCTGGTTTCTTAAGGTGGAAACTTAGATTGCTGATTTAGACCTATCTTTTCTGTAATATATAATGATTTGATGCTATAAATTTTCCTCTAAGCAGTGCTTTAATTAAACCCACAAATTTTGGTGCATTTTCATTTATGTTCAAAATATTTTCTAATTTCTTTTGAGAATTGTTCTTTGACCCATGGATGATGATGATGATTATTATTATTATTATTTTTCTTCAATACGGAGTTTCACTGTTGTTGCCCAGGCTGGAGTGCAATGACATGATCTCGGCTCACTGCAACCTCTGTCTCCTGGGTTCAAGCGATTCTCCTGCCTCAGCCTCCTGATTAGCTGGGACTACGGGCACCCGCCACCATGCCCGGCTAATTGTTTTGTATTTTCAGTAGAGATGGGGTTTCTCCATGTTGGCCAGGCTGATCTTCAACTCCTGGCCTCAGGTGATCCCCCCAACTTGGCCTCCCACAGTGTTGGGATTACACGCGTGAGCCAGTGCGCCCGGCCTGACCCATGGATTATTAAGTATGTTGTTTTATTTTGAAGTGTTTGCAGATTGTTTTGTTAATGATTTCTAGTTTAATACCATTGTGATTGGAGAACAAACTGCATATGATTTCATTTCTTTTAAATTTGTTAAGATTTATGTGTCAGGTTATGTTCTCAGTGAACATTCTGTATGTGCTTAAAAAGTATATGTATGGTCTGTATATGTATGGTCTGTATATACATATATGTATACATATATGTGTAAAAAGTATATGTATGGTCTGTATGTGCTTAAAAAGTATATGTATGGTCCAGCACTTTGGGAGGCCAAGGCAGGCAGATCACAAGGTCAGGAGATCGAGACCATCCTGGCTAACAGGGTGAAACTCCGTCTCTACTAAAAATACAAAAAAAATTACCCGGGCATGATGGCGGGCGCCTGTAGTCCCAGCTACTTGGGAGGCTGAGGCAGGAGACTGGCTTGAGCCTGGGAAGCAGAGCTTGCAGTGAACTGAGATCGTGCGACTGCACTCCAGCCTGGGCGACAGAGCTAGACTCCATCTCAAAAAAAATAAAATTTAAAAAAAGTATATGTAAAGTGTATGTATGGCCGGGCACGGTGGCTCACGCCTGTAATCCCAGCACTTTGGGAGGCCAAGGCAGGTGGATCACGAGGTCAGGAGATCAAGACCATCCTGGCTGACATGGTGAAACCCCATCTCCACTAAAAATAAAAATTAAAAAAATAATAATAATTAGCCAGGCGTGGTGGTGAGCACCTGTAGTCCCAGCTACTCAGGAGGCTGAGGTAGGAGAATGGCGTGAACCCAGGAGGCACAGCTTGCAGTGGGCTGAGATCCCGCCACTGCACTCTAGCCTGGGCGACAGAGCGAGACTCTGTCTCAAAAAAAAAAAAAAAAAGTATATGTATTTTGCTGTTGTTGGGTGAAGTGTTCTATAAATTAGATCCAGTTTATTGAAGGTGTTCTACAGTTCTCCTAGATTTTTGCCGATTACTTGTTCTCTCACTATGAAAGGTATTGTGTGTGTTATATGTGTCTAACAATTCATTTTCTAGTTAGAGTTGCTATTATACCACTTCAAGTGGATGGAGAGCCTCACTGCCATCCATTAATGTGCATTAATCATTTTGAGAGTGAAAAGATTTTTTAAAATGTTTTTACTTTTTTAGGTATGGCCAAGTGAGATGGGGCTAGTGAAATGGGTGGGAGAATTGGAAGCTGATAGTGTGTGAGCTAGACACCCATGAATGCTTTTCCACTGGGCAGTTAGAGGGATGATAGGTAATAATATAAGGCAGCTCCATCACACAAGCTGGTGACTCCTGTGCGACAGACCAAGAGCTGCATTTGGAGATTCATTTCCGATTGTTGCGTTTCCTCTTAGAGCATTGCTTGGTCATCGTGTTCTGAGTGGTCCATTGGCCTCCATGTCCCTTTTGGGGTGGATATTTGCTCAGTGACTTTTGAGCAGCTGGATCTCCTGCTTCGGCAGGTGAGTGAGGGGATGGATGGCTCCGCGGACTGGCCCCCGCCCCAGGAGAAAGAGTGCGTGGCCGTGGCAACGCTGAATCTTCCCCGACTTCAGGTATTCGTGATTTCCCTTCCTCTTGCTCCTTTTATAAGTGTCTTAGCGATTTGTAAGAAGGTTTATGTATTCTGAAGGACATAGGTTTTAGCCTGTTGGGGGAAGTATTTTAAAGTAAGATTGTAATGCACTAATAATGGACGCAAGGCTTAAAAAACTTGATCTGTTTATTTTATGTTTGTCCTGGAAGTCAGCCTCGGCATGCAGGAAGAGTGTATATGGATTGTGTTATTTTTGCTATAATCATTAGTTTGTTGGTATTCTTACTGTTTTACTGTTGTTGCGTGTGGAGAAATGACTGGGTGAGATCACAGGTGATGGAGAGAGACAGAGCTCAGCTGAGAGACCAGTGCTGGCCTGTCTCTCCTCTGTCCTGTGAAAACCCTGCTCCAGGAGGGTCCAGTCTTTTGGTTTCCCTGGGCCACACTGGAAGAAGAATTGTCTTGGGCTACACATAAAATACACTTATGATAGCTGATGAGCTTAAAAAAAAAATCCCAAAAATATCTCATGATGTTTTAAGAAATTTTACTTTGGGCCACATTCAAAGCTGCCCTGGGCCACATGCTGCCCTCGGGCCGTGGGTTGAACAAGCTTGATCTACTCAATAAGCTCGGCTCCCAAAGCAATACCTTCCTTTCCTCACCATGAAGGCTGTGGTTAGGGTCACAATAAAAGCTACAAAAGCCTTCCTCCCTAGCAAAACTAAAGCTGAAGTGTTTGATCATCATCTTTTGTCTTTGTAATAAAACCCTCTAACTTAATGACAAGAACCACGGTTTTCTCGACATAGTAATTTTTCCCTTTTATTACAGTGGTTTCTTGTAACAACCCGTCATGTCCCTCTTCCAGCCCCTCCCCTTTTTGCCCTGCTTCTAGAATGTACAGAACTGAGTGTAGTGTTTAGTTGCAGTAATGAACTGAGCAGAGGTCTGGAGCATGCTTCTCCTCTAGTCCTCTGTAGCACTCATTTATCACCATACCTGTGGCATCCTGGCGTTTGCGTGGTTGCGCCCCAGGTGTTTGCTGCCCCTCCTGGTTTGCGGTGATGTGTCTGTTCTGGTCAGTGCTGTGGGGCGTGGCCTTGCGTATGTCTTAGGCTGTCGAGGTGTCCCAGCGTATGGTTTTGCATTTGCCTCTCCGGGGTCCTGAGGGTTCTGTAGGTTTCACAGACTCCAGGTGAGTTTCGGTGGTCATTTCCTGACCTGTGATATCTATACCTAGATGAGTGGTGTGCTTTTGATTTCACTTCTACTTACAGGGCAAGGCCGGGTCTCTGATTTCTCATGGGGCCTCTTGCTACCCAGAGCCTGGGACGGGCAGTGTGTTGCCCCCTGGCTGCGGTTGGCTGGCAGGCAGGTGATCCTGAGTGGCTCCCAGCCTTCTGCAGGAAGCTCGGGTTCAGTGGGTCCTTGTGTGCATTCCCGTGTGGGAGGTTGTGCTGAAGCCTGGCGGCTTGGCTCTGCTTTCAGAGCCCGGAACCTCTTGACTCCTGCTGTGTGTGCCCATGTGAATTTTGGTTTTGCACTTGAGGAGTTTCCCTGTGTACTCTCAGCTCCGCAGTCTAATTTTTAGCAGCTCTTTTTTTTTTTTAGACAGGGTGTCACTTTGTCACCCAGGCTGGAATGCAGTGGTACAGTCTTGGCCTGCCAGGTTCCAGTGATTCTCCTGCCTCAGCCTCCCAAGTAGCTGGGACTACAGGTGTGTACCATCACACCCGGCTGATTTTTTTATAGAGATGGGGTTTCATCATGTTGGCCAGGCTGATCTTGAACTCCTGATCTCAAGTGAGCTTTCCACGTCGGCCTCCCAAAGTGCTGGGATGACAGGCATGAGCCACCGCCTGTGGCAGCTTTTGTGGTTACATTGTAGCCATTATTTCTGTGTTTGGTGCAGATTGTTGGGGCGGGGTGGAGGTTGCTGTTGCTAGTTGTTTAGCTCTTCTGCTCATCTTGAGCTTTTCCATATATGTGTTCATAGTGGGGTTAAAAAAAATTCCTCTAGAAAATACTTCAACTATTGTGGGTAAGAGTTTTTTTAGTCCAGTTTTTAAAAATACGTAAACTGAGAAGTTATTTTGTCTATTTAAATAATACTTCAAATTGACTTTTATTCAGTGTTTAATAAGACTTTGAAATTCACTCATTTTTAGGGGTTCTAAGTGAAAATTGTTTTTCTCCTTTCAGTTGCATGCTGCCATTAGTCACCAGGTTGACCTGGAATTCCTTGGTTTAGGTCTGGGCAGCGTCTTCCTGAACAGCCTGAAGCAGAAGGTGGTGACCCTGGCAAGCAGCGCAGACGTGCTGAGCACCGTGCAGTCGGCCTCCCAGGCCATGCTGCAGAGCGGCTGGTCCATGCTGTTGCCCACCGCTGAGAAGCAGGCCCGGGCACTCTGCTCTCCTGTCCTGTGGAGGTGGGCTCGGGGAAGGAACAGGAGAGGGCATGGGTCAGGGTGCTGGGAGGGGATGGCGTTTCACTCAAATTGGCACAGACTTTCTATTTCAGTTTCAGGCAATGAAGTGAACATAAGTCCAGGTCATCGATTGGTGATTGATCTTCTGGTGGGCAGCTTGATGGCTGATGGAGGGTTGGAGTCAGCCTTACACGCAGCCATTACTGCAGAGATCCAGGTATGGCCTTGGAGGCACACGTGACCTGGTGGTGGGCTGAGATCGGAAATACCACACTCACACATGTGAAGAATAACTGAAAACAGTAAAACACTAAACTTATATCCAAGTATTTTTTTAAATTAAAATTCTTTTATGTGCTAATTTTAAAAATTATTGAGATGATTTGTGATAAAATACTGCATGTTGTCTGTTTCAGTGAAGTTAACAGGTAACCTGTTCCTCATGTAGACCATTCCCGTCACCCGGAAAGATCCCTGTGCTCCTTGGCACTTGCAGCCAGGATACTCCCCTGCCCTGAGATTAGATTCATTTTTCCTGCTCTGAGTGTCGCAGCAATATAACTGTATAGTATGCACTCTTTCCTGCTTTGCCTTGGAGAATGATTTTCAGATTCACTCACTGTTGTGTGTATTGCGACTTCGTTTTTATTATTGGGAAGTTTTCCATTTTATAGGTGTAGTACTGTTTGTTAGTTCATTCTCCTATTGAAGGACATGTAATTGTTTTTGGTTTTTGTTTTCTTTTTTTTTTTTTTTTTTTGAGACAGGGTCTTGCTCTGTCACCCAGGCTGTATACAGTGACCTGATGTTGGCTCACTGCAGCCTTGTCCTCCTAGGCTCAAATGATCCTCCCACCTCAGCCTCCTGTGTTGCAGGGACCACATACATGTCACCATGCCCGGCTAGTTTTTTGATTTTTTTGTAGAGACAAGGTTTCACTGTGTTGCAAGGCTGGTCTTCAACTCCTGGGCTCCAGTGATCCCCCCACCTTGGCCTCCCAAAGTGTTGGGATTACAAGCGTGAGCCACCGCGCCCAGGCTTTCTGGTTTTTGGCCGTGTAGAGCTGCCACAATTGTGCTGTGAACAAGTACTTTAGTGAACATATGTTCTCCCTTTGGATAAACACTTGGAGTGGAATTTGTTAGGTCCTGGGGTAAGTGTGTGTTCATAGTTTCCCAAAGTGGCTTTGCCATTTGCATTTGAACCAGGACTTTTGTGTGTGAGAATTCTAGCTCCTTCTTGTCCTTACAGAGCAGCTGGATGCTGCGTGTGTGGAGCCGATCACATTGGGTTTTGTGTGAGCCATTAGCAGGGTTAAGGATTTTAGGGACTTCACAGAAGGAGGCTGGAGAGCATCAGCAGAGGCAGCCTGGACCTTGGATCTGTAAAAAGAAGACACTGTTTGAAACTGCACAAATGAGTTGGGGTTTCCAACAGGGCAGGTGGGGGGCCTGTGGGTGGATGGGTGTGGCAGCCACAGAGGCTGGGATAGCTTGGCACTGGGGTCAGGGCTCAGCCAGCCTGTGTGCCTTCACACCTGGTAATGAGATCACTTGTAAACAATTTCTGTTTATCAATTACAGGATACAAAAAAAGAAGCACGGAAGGAAAAAGAAATTTATGAACAGGAAGCAAATGCCTCAACATTTCATAGAAGGAGGACTCCATTGGATAAAGACCTTATTAATACGGGGATCTGTGAGTCTTCTGGCAAACAGTGTTTGCCTCTGGTTCAGCTCATACAACAGCTTCTTAGGTAAATCATATTAGCTGTATTGTATTGTGTTTTATTTATTTACTTTTTTTTTTTTGAGACAGAGTTTCGCTCTTGTTGCCCAGGCCGGAGTGCAGTGGTGCGATCTTGACTCACTGCAACCTCCGCCTCCCAGGTTCAAGTAATTCCTCTGCCTCAGCCTCTCGAGCAGCTGGGATTACAGGCATGCGCCACCATGCCCCACTAATTTTGTAGTTTTATTAGAGACAGGGTTTCTTCATGTTGGTCAGGCTGGTCTTGAACTCCCGACCTCAGGTGGTCCATCCACTTTGGCCTCCCAAAATGTTGGGATTACAGGCATTAGCCACCACGCCTGGCCTATTTATTTACTTATTAATGGTGTTTTTTGTTTTTTGTTTTTTTTTTGAGATGGAGTCTTGCTCTATCGTCCAGGCTGGAGTGCAGTGTCACGATCTTGGCTCACTGCAACCCCCGCCTCCTGGGTTCAAGCTATTCTCCTGCCTCAGCCTCCCGAGTAGCTGGGACTACAGGCGTCTGCAACCACACCTGGCTGATTTGTGTATTTTTAGTAGAGATGGGGTTTTACCATATTGGTCAGGCTGGTCTCAAATTCCTGACGTCAGGTGACCCACCTGCCTTGGCCTCTCAAAATGTTGGGATTACAGGTGTTAGCCACTGTTCCCGGCCTGTATTGTATTTTAATAGGTGATTATTGGTTTTCATATTAAGATAGTGAAATCTAGCGCAAGGGTCTCAAAAATTTGTTTGATGATTGAAGGAATATTCTGAAAATTACCTAGTATAGATGTTAGGATAAAGAGCAGACCCTTCTCAATATAGGTGAGAGGAGAAGTTGGAGGGTGTGATGATACTCAGAAGTTTTTCACAGAAGAGAAATTGGGGCGTGCAGTAAACATGTAAAAAGATTCTTACTAATAAGCAGGTAGGTGCGAATGAAAATCATCATGGAAGGTTATTTTTAAAACTGGTTCTATCATTGCCTCACTTTACATATTACAGAGTTGTACCTACTACTTTGTAAGATAACTTTTCTTTTCAAAACTGAAGTCAATGTGATAGAATGGTGAGCATTATTTTGGAAGGCCAGACTAGGAGGAGGTGGGAGGAGGAAGTCAGACTCAGCCTGTGAACAGACGCTAACCTTGGCAGAAGCCAAAACAGTCAGACAGTGTTGTGTAAAAATGATCATTCAAGAAGAGCGAAACAGCAAGGTGATTTGTGAAAGAGATTTATTAGAAAATGAAACACATTTATACCTCTGTTCAATAAAAATCTGCTTTTCGTCAACTGATGCTCCTGGTTTTTGTTTCTACACATAGAGAAAGCAGAGCCCTGGCAGCTTGGGTCAGGCAGCCGAGTACAGACCAGGGAGCCCTGGGCAGTGGCTGCAGCTCTCAGCTGGCCTGTTCATGGGGCCATGGTGGGTCTGTGGCGTGGGGTGGGCCCGTGGCGTGGGGTGGGCCCGCGGCGTGGGGTGGGCCCGCGGCGTGGGGTGGGCCCGCGGCATGGGGTGGGCCTGCTGTCCACAGCCAGCAAAACTAACTTAGTGCACACACAGTGAAATTTTGAAACAGGAAGTTTTAGAGCTAGTTTCTGTCATAGATTTTAGTAAATGCTATTTTGCAAAACCTTTTTCTGATGTTTGTTTTGTTTTTCTAATCTGATAATGCATATTTCACACATTCTGGTCTTTAACAAATGGAAATAAAGAGAACTAAACAATATAGTTTGTGTCGATGGAAAGAGCTTGGGATTTGTTCTCAGAAAATTTCAGTTACAACAGTTTGTTCATATAGGTGGACTTCCAACACAGTAACTATAGGAGTAAGAATAAAAGCTGTGTTTACTTTCACAGAGTTAATTAAGAATACATGAGAAAATGGATGTTAAAAACCTTGTAATTAAAATGTACAGTTACATGCAAAGTTTTAAAGTGAGCATTTTCCAGAGGTGCTTTTCTAAGTTCTTGAATGCCTCTCCCTTTTCTGAAGTGGCTGCTTCGTGGGGCTGTTGGTCTTTGGCAGGGGGTGAGTGCAGGGTTCCTGTTGTGGGTCCTTTGTTCTCACGAGGGCAGTGCCCGTTTTCCCCGTCTCCTGCTTGCCCAGACTGTTCCCGTGCGCAGAGAGACTGGCCTGTTTGACCTGCAGCTGTGCTGTTTGAGCTGCAGCTGTGTAGCCTGCGCTGGCCCATCTGGCTACACTCAACACCGTTTGCTGATCAGCACTTGAAGTCTGTCCGTCATAGCTGAGACACTGAATATTTTATCTGTTTAATTTTTATTCATTAAAATGCAGGTTTGAAAATTTGATTCTGTTATTAGAAAGCACTTAAGTATGTTTAGAATCACTTGGCCTTGGGAGTCTACTTTGTCAACTGTGTATTTTATGAGTCTAAATGGAGATCAGATGTTTTCAATGCAAATTTCACTGTCCAAATTGAAATGTGTTACATATGTAAGCTACTCAGATGGTTTTTGAGGACTTAATATGAAATAACCTATGTAAAATATCTCAATAATTTTTCTTAGATTGATTTCATGTTGAAATGGTCATATTTTTGATCTGTTGGAATAACTATGATACATTATTAAAATTATTTTTATTTTTTAAGATGGAATCTTACTCTGTTGACCAGACCGGAGTGCAGTGGTGCAATCTTGGCTCACTGCAACCTCCGCCTCTTGGGTTCAAGTGATTCTCCTGCCTCAGCCTCCTGAGCAGCTGGGACTACAGGACTACAGACTCCCGAGCAGCTGGGACTACCACCACGCCTGGCTGATTTTTGTATTTTTGTAGAGACAGAGTTTCACCATGTTGGCCAGGCTGGTCTCGAACTCCTGACCTCAAGTAATCTGCCCGCTTTGGCTTCCCAGAGTGCTGGGATTACAGGCATGAGCCACTGCAACCAGCCATTATTACAATTAATTTTATGTGTTGTTGTTTTTCTTGTTGGTGTTTTTTGTTTTTTTTTTTTACTTTTGTTAATGTGACTAAGAACAATTTTTTTTCCCCACCCGGAGATGGATCCTCACTCTGTTGCCTGGACTGGAGTGCAGTAGCACGATCTCAGCTCACTGCAGCCTCTGCCTCCTGGGTTCAAATGATTCTCCTGCCTCAACCTCCTGAGTGGCTGGGACTAACAGAAGCATGCCACCATACCTGGCTGATTTTTGTATTTTTAGTAGAGATGGGGTTTCACCATGTTGGCCAGGACGGTCTTGAACTCCCAAACTCAGGTAATCTGCCCACCTCAGCCTCCCAAAGTGTTGGGATTACCGGCGTGAGCCACCGCACCTGGCCATGTTTATTAATACGACTAAGAACATTCTGAATTGCACCTGTGGCTCCATTGGTGTCCTGGGCAGGTGGCTCTGTGCTGTCCACACAGGTTGTCTCCTGTGTCTTCGTCTTCGCTGCGTGTGACTTTTTGGTTCCTGTGGCACGTGGGGTCCTGTATGGGACATTGGTTCTACAGCAGATTTATAGTAAGGATGTACCTACTAAAAAATACAAAATAGAAAGAATAGACACAAACATAGAAATAAGTATCACCTCACAAAAATTTTGGAAAGTAGAAAAAGAAAAATGCATTCGCAGCTTTCCAGTAGCCGATATCCAGGCTGTCTTCATAAGCATGGATCATGTGTCCCTCTCCCGCATGGGTAGACACTGTTTTCTCACCTTAAGTGTTTGTGAGTGAAGGATTCTTGATGTGTTGACTTGGCAGATGCAGTTGTTGAACAGTAGTTTATCTAAAGATCGTAAGAGACTTTTGGAGACATTTCACGTCCTTTTTTCCCTTGGAAAACGTGAGTTGGAGAAATCGCTGCTTGCCAAAAATAAGCCGTGAAACGTATTTCAGAGTAGATCGTTATTTACTTGCTGGCGAGGAGCCACAGAATACCATTTACATTTGAAAATAGAGCGCTGCAAAGTTTTTATAAGTAGTGAATCCCATCAGAATTACACATTTTGATTATGGCTCTAAATTTTATATTAAATAAACTAAAAATTTCATTGTATTGTATTACCGTCTCTTGCTCCTTCAGGTGTAGCATACATGCTAGATTCTAGACCTGTTTCTTGTGTTACAGTGGTGTTATCCAGGCAGGGTATCATGTAGTGAAGGTGATGTCTGGTGGTGGTGAGCCCAGTGAAGGCGCATCCTTGCCGTGTGTGATGAGGGCCTGTGGGTTGCTATGGGATTCCCCAACCCTGGCTCCTCTGTCTCCTGCTTCTGTCCTTACTCATGCTGCTGGTAGTTTTCTGGTGTGAGACACGGGGGCAAGTGGGATTGACAAGCCTGCTGTCACATTAGGAACCTGAGTTAAAGTGGAGCTGAAAGCATGTCCTCGCTCTTGATGTTGTGCAGAGAGCCACCTGTGCTCCTGGCTCAACGGGGCAGGTGTGGTGGGTCTGGAACCAGGCCCTGGTTTGGCTCTCCTCCCCTCCATGTTCCCCTGTCCTGTCTGATTTGCTTCACACTGACATAAGAGTTACTTTCCCTCGGCCTCCCAAAGTGCTGGTATTACAGGCATTAGCCACCGCGCCCAGCTAGCATCCTTTCAAGTACTGGGGTACACCCAAGCTCCCAGCTTCTAGCTAGGAGTCATTTTGTCCCTCTTTATCCCAAAGGACTTGCCACCATCTTTGGTTCCCAAAGCCCAGGAGGGTCCAGGCTCTTCAGCCTCCAACCACTTTGCATTTCTTGTCTGCTTTTCGTTCATGGAGATAATTAACTTATTTTTCAGCCTGGGCATGTCTTTTTTATTTACTTTATTTTTTATTTTTATTTTTTGAGATGGAGTCTCACTCTGTCGCCCAGGCTGGAATGCAGTGGCGGGATCTCATTTCACTGCAGCCTCTGCCTCCCGGGTTCAAGTGATTCTCCTGCCTCAGCCTCCTGAGTAGCTGGGACTACAGGTGTGCACCACTATGCCCAGCTAATTTTTACATTTTTAGTAGAGACAGGGTGTCGCCATATTGGCCAGGCTGGTCTCGAACTCCTGGCTTCAAGTGATCCTCCTGCCTCAGCCTCCCAGAGTGCTGGGATTACAGGCACGACCACCGCACCCAGCCTTTATTTACTTTGTATATCTCATCTATTACTGCTGCAGTTTGCAGAAGAGAGGATGCCCTCAAACCTAACTTCTCCAAACCATCCCAAATGGGAAGTCTGCTCCACGTCAACAGCATTGTTGCTTTTAAAGACTATACGTCAACATGGCAGATTATAGCAAAAGGATGTCGAGGGAGCAATAGGAAAGCAAGCCTGAGAGTCCTGGAGAGAAGGTGGCAGAGCTGCCTTTTGAAGGTGGTTCCTTCCTCAGACCCTGCCCTTCCTGCCTTGTTCCTCCAGTTGCCAGATTTGCTGTTGGAGCTCCTCCACGGGCGAAGAGGTGAGGCTGGACTGAGAGGGAGATGGAGAAGCTGCCAGAGATTCTTTTGGATCTAGAATTGAGACAGCAGTTCCAGCCAGGTCCAGAGGTGGGGGCTGTCACCCAGCCCCCAGGGGAATGGTACTGATTGCAGAATGTGGCGAGAACTCCCTGGCTGGGAGAGGGAGGTGCTTGCTCCCTTGAATCACCTGAGCTCAGGCTGGAAGGCCCAAGGGGGAGGACGAGGCCAGCTCACTCCAGCTCCATCCCCTCCCTTTAACCCTAAGCTAGTTAACCCTCCCAGACTCCAGTCCTTTTTCCTAAGTGCCCTCCCTGCAAAGTCTGCACCGAGCAGCGCTCCCTCGCACCAGCTCACCCTGCACTGTCTTGTCTTTCAGCAACCCCATGGGTTTGAACTTGAGACGATTCATTTTCCTAAAAGCCTCTTTGGGCTGAGGGAAGGCATGGGTGGCTCTGCCAGTTTTGGAGTGGGGGCCGACTCTTCTCAGAGCCGCTGCAAGGGCCAGGGCCACCCTCCCAGGCGGGTGTCTCCGGGCTGGGCAGCAGCTTTGTAGGCAGCCTGGGTCATCCCCACTGGTCTGGGAAGCTGGGGGTGCACCGGCTCCTGCTCCTGATAGGGCCAAGGCACCTTCCTTACCTAAGAGCTGACTTTCTTGAAGAGTGGGCACAGAGGAGCCGGCAACCTGGGCTGTGTAGGCACCCAGGAGAAAATCTGCAGCTCAGTATCAGAAGTCTCCACCAGCACGGCTGTTGCAGAGATGGGGAAACTGGGCTGAGAGGGAAGGGGGCTTCCCCAAATCACCAGCCCTGGAATGTTTGGAGCTTTGGGGGTGGATCTCCCAGGAAACGTGTTTTTATGGCACCACCGCCTCTGGTCACCCACCCCGAGGTGTGGCGGGCCTGGACAGCCAGCTTGACTGAGGGCCAGGCTGGTGAAGTCAAAACTACCACTCAGGAAGAAGACCTAGCCCTTCTCCAGACAGAGTTCAAATGTGAGGGCTGCCTTCTTTGGGCCTCAAATTCCCCACGTGAATTCCAAGGACCCCTCTAGCTCCTACACTCTGGGCCAAGGTTTCCTCTGAGCCGCAGTCAGCCTAGAGGACCTAGGATACATCTTCCTTGGACAGAGACCCACCATAGGGGCAGCAGGAGGTAGGGGTGGGGGTAGGCAAGATTCCTGTGGGGAGGTGGAGCTGTCATCAGAGATGGTGTCTGCAGGCAGTGGGTGTATCGTGGCTCTGCTACTACTTGCTGGGTGGCCCCATGACGTTTCTTTCCCCACTCTGACCTCAGTTTCCCTATCTGTTCTGTGGAGATAAGATGCCTGCCTACATATTTGTGGACTGGGATGTGTGTGGGCCAGTTGCAGTGTTTCTTGGTGTGGTCCTGGGGCAGGCTGCACCACCCCATAGAGATTTCTGGGCCCCACCCTAGGCTCACAGGACCAGAATCTCTGGGAATGAAGCCTGGGAATTTGCATTTCCACAGGCATCTGGCTGATTCTGACATGACTGAAAAGCACTAATAGTATATAGCAAGCTCTTTATAAAAGGTAAATTCATAGCTGCCTTTTACTAAACATAAATCTCACCTTCCCTTCCTCAGTTAAGGACACACACTGCAGTTGAAAATCACTGTGCCTTTCCAGATGCAGAGTCTGACCTTTCCGATAAGATTCTGTTAACTGCTGCTTTCTGCAGTTTGTATTCCAAAACAAGGGGAATATGTTTCCATTTTTTCAATACAAATGTTTAAGTCGGATATGCTTTCTCAAACTGGACACACACTCACACAGCTTAGGGTTTCAGCTATGGCTTCCTCTCAAATTATTAGCCTCTTTCTGCCAGGGAGCAGTTTTTCCCAGACAAGACCCTGGACAGAGGTTGGTGGGGCCCTCCTCATCAGAATCACTAGATTATGACTGACCCCTAGAGGTGGCTTTTCTGCTTAAGTGTCAGCCCATGGGCTGGGTTGTGACCCCCAAAGCTGCGGCAGAAGCTTCCACCCATCCTGGGTCCCCCCTGCCATCTATGGGGAAAGGCCTGTCCCTTGTCTTCTGGGCCCAGCCGGCCTCACAGGCATTCAGCAGATTGGAAAGTCGAAGCATGTGCTGTGCTTGGCTGGGCTCTGCTGTGCCCCTTTTTGGGGTGAGGTGGAGTGCATCCAGCCCCCAGCATCCCTGCCGTTTATTCCCACCCCTCATCCCCACCCCCATACACACTCACAAGTACAAACACAAGCACAGTCACTGGCACACACCACTCTGGACAGCACCATTTCCAGCCTCAGCGGGGCAGTTTCCTTACAGGGAAGTTAATGAGGCACTAACGAAGGCTCAGGGGACAGGGGGAACCTCTATCGAGAAGAGGCTCCTAGACCTGGTTCTGCCTCTGAATTGCTGGGGGTCCTTGAGAAAGTTGCTATCCCTCTCTGGTCTCAGTTTCCTCAGGTGAGAAATGGGGGGCCGGCCAAATGGTCTAAGGTTCTGGGAACCTCTAAATCAGAGCCCGTAGCTGGTGGTCAAGATGAGGGAGAGGCCCTCAGGGTCAGCCGAATGCCTGAGAGGCAGGACAGGCCCAAAGGTGAGCAACGTGAGCACATCAGGTGGGCTCAGAGCTGGCGCATGAGCCCCACAGCCTGCAGAGCAGCCCTGTACTCGGGAGCCCGCTCACACCCACCCAGTGGGACTTCAGAGATGTGGGGTCCAGCCTTTCCTACTATTGCTGGGCTGAGGGCTGGGAGCTGCAGATTCTGACCCCACAGCTGCCTTAGACATGCCAGATGGTCTGGGGCAAGACACACCCCTCTCTATGAAATGAGCAGCCAGTCCAAATAGGTACATTAGAGAAGGGCTGTGGGATGGACCCAGCTGTAGCCTGGGGCTACAGACTGGCTTCCGGGGTACTCAAGCAGCTGGCCTCTGGGGTAGCAGCCCCAGGTATGAGAGGCAGGACTCAGAATCTAGGCCAAGCCTCCATAGGAATCCCCTCTGGAGAGCCCGGGCACTCTGCAGGAGGGGCAGCAGGCAGCAGGTGCACCAGGAGCATGTTTCACAAGGTGCCCAATATCGCATCTGCTCAGATAGGCAGCGAGTTGGAAAGTGGATGCAATAGGCAGGGTGGCGGCTGCTCCCCACAGCCAGGAGTCCGGCCCAGCACCCACCTGAGTCCGCCTCAGTCCTGCTCAATTGGGTTATCCGTGCTCTTGGCCCTCTGGTCCCACCCACAGAGGGAGGTCTTTGGGGCGACCAGGTGAGCTGGCCCTTGTGGGAGGATGTAACTGACTCCTGAGCCTGGCGAGCCAGGCAGCCCCTCGCCAACATCCCCACCCCTACCTCTCCAGCCCCCCCGCATTCCCTGATCCTCCCATCCGCTCCCCTGACCCAGCAGTTGCCTCTGCTCACTCTCTTTTCCTGCTCCCAGGCTCGCCTGGTCATGTGTCCTTCACTCTCCTCTGAGTCTCCCTCTTTCCAAGCCGCCTCCACTCTACTTGACACACTCTCCCTTAAGACACCAGAGTACACAAGCGCAAGTCCCTGCACCTCACCTTTACTCCCAGACATGGGAGGGAGATGACATGAAGACCCAAACGCCACTTAGCAGGAGATCTGGGGTATGCAGAGGGGCAGAACGGAGGCTGTGGAAGCTCCAGGGGCTCCCTGCAGGAGGCCACATGTAAGCTGGCTATTGAATGTGGCTCTGAGCTGAGACCTCTCCTTGAAGCTCCAGACCAGGAGCCAGCTGCTAGCTGGACCCCTCCATTTGGTGCCTCAGAGAAACTTTGCACTCTGTAGGTCTAACTTTGAACCCAGAAAATTCCCCCATGTCGGCCCTGTCTCTTCACAGGGAAAGCACCACCTCAGACCCAGTTCTGCACCAAACCCACATTTGAGTCACGAGGCTCCTGCCCTGCACTGTGAGCACTCTGGATAAGCCAGTGCTGAGGGGGAAAGAGCTCTGAATGCCAAGCCAAAACATGAGCTTCAACTCCACCTCCAGCTCTGAGAGCTGTGGGTAGGGAAGGGCCCAAGTCCAGTTTGCTGTAGAAAGACCAGTCTGCCACTGTATGGCACATGGATGGCACGGGCAGAGTGTGGGTGGAGAGAATAGAAGGTGGGCAGGGCGGGGGAGGCAGGGACATGGCTGTAGCCGTGGAGATGGGAGGACAGACAGGACTTGGTGGCCACTTGGGTGAACCAAGGGAGGAGTCAGGAAGAGACACCCAGTTTTGTATCAGATGTGTAGAGCGTGGGATGCTGTTCATTGACGGAGGGAGGAGGAGGAGGAAGAGGTATGGCATGGGGAGGAGGTAGCTGAGCTCTGTCGTGAATGTCATTTGAAGTCCCCAGGGAGAGCCAGGCCGGCCAGCACCTTCAGTGCTTCAGCCAGCTCTCAGGGTGTCTGTGCTCCCTGGCCCTCTCAGCTCCTGCTTCATAGCTGTCAGCTGCAGTGGGAGACAGCTGCACAAGGGCCCAGCATGTCTGTGTGTTTACCCAGGGGACTGCCGCATGGCCCATGCCGAGCAGAAACTGATGGACGACCTTCTGAACAAAACCTGTTACAACAACCTGATCCGCCCAGCCACCAGCTCCTCACAGCTCATCTCCATCCAGACGGCGCTCTCCCTGGCCCAGTGCATCAGCGTGGTAGGTGCAGAGGGTACCTGTGGCTCAGGCTCAGGTGAAGAGGAAGCTCATGCCCAAGCCCTAAGCAGTCAATGTCCAGAGGAATGAAATGACTAGAGTTGACTTAGACTCACCGGTACACGGTGGGGAGGCTGGAGGAGGGTCCATGAGGTTTATAGGTGTCCAGTATTTAATGAGGTCATGGTTTTGTTAACAAAGAAGAAATGAGGGTGGGAGCGAGATCACCACTGGCTAGGCAGCCAATGGGCCTGCATAGACTCTGCTCAGCTGAGTCTCCAGCACGACCATGAGCTTCTCCTCCTCATCCTCCCAGCCCCACCCTACTCTCTCCCCCAGCTTGCTCAACAGGTGACCTTATAGGCTCCCTACTCTTTGCAGGGAATAAGAACCAGACTGGGGGAACTGACGGGTACAGAGGCCCAGGTGTAGGCGCAGGACCACAGGCAGTGAAGCGTCTACTGACCCAGGCGGGTGAGGGTCTGGAGAGTGGGCATGGCTGCTGCAGGCATGGAAAGCAGGCACAGATGGCGGCACTCCCAGGGCCCATTGTCAGGGTCTCCACATGTGGACATGTGCAGAGGTGGGGGTGCTGAGGGAGGAGGGGCAGGGAATTTCTCATCTTCTCTCTACTGCCTCTGAGTTGGAGATGTCAGAGGGAGCCATGGCCCACTGTAAAGTAACACAATGTCCCCACCCACAGGATTAGAACCCCTCCCCTGGAAGCAGCTCTGAGGGGAACAGTCACATGTAGAGAGTGCAGGGCACTGTGTCCAGCCGGGGGAAGGAGGTCACCAAGGGGGTTGACCCCCCTCTGGCCAGGTGGCTACCTTCTGACACACCAGCCTCTGTCTCTAGCACGGTGGCCCCCACACACCCAGCCTGTGAAACCTACAGCCCTCAAGAAGGCTTTGGCCAAATTAATGAGCGGCTCCCTCTCCCAGGAGGAAGCACGGGTGAAGGATGTGGAGGGCAGTAGAGTTGTGTGTGCTCCGCCCCCTTTCTCCACAGTCGGATGGAAAGAAGGGGGCTTTCAGCCAGGCTCGCCCAGCCTGGGGTCTGAGTGTCACTGTCCAGCTATTGGCTTCTTGCTTAATGGGTGAGCCCAGCTGCTCCCGTGCAGCTGCCGCCCTAGTGAGGGTGAACCGGCAGGCGAGTTACATTTCTGAAAGCCTGGGAATACAGTAAATATTAGGCTGTGGGCTGCTGGGCCAGGAAGAGTTGTTTATTTTTCAGGGTTTGTTTATCTATTGACTTGATGAGGGAGGGTTATAGGTACAACCAGTTTAAAGATGGAAATTTTGAGAGAGCAGGCAGGGATTTAGTGCTGGGTAAGCCTGGTCAAAGCGGCTCTTTTGGGGCGGCCAGAATCCAGTACCAATGTCCTCAGCATGTTCATCAGCTGCTGGGGGAGTGCGGGACAGCATGAAAGCACAGGAGAACTTTCTGGATGATAGAAATACTCTGTATCTTCAAAGGAGGTGGGTTCCATAGTAATGTTAAATGAGTTAAAACTCATCAAAATGTAAACCAGACCTGTGCATTTCACTAATAGAAATTATACCTCCAATTAAAAACATGTTTTAAAAGACAGATGGGCCGGATGCAGTGGCTCATACTTGTAATCCCAGCACTTTGGGAGGCTGAGGCAGGTAGATCACCTGAGTCAGGAGCTCGAGACCAGCCTGGAAAACATGGTGAAATCCTGCCTCTATTAAAGGTATAAAAAAAAATTAGCCAGGCATGGTGGCACACGCTACTCGGGAAGCTGAGGCAGGAGAATTGCTTGAACCCAGGAGGCAGAGGTTACAGTGAGCAGAGATCGTGCCATTGCACTAGAGCCTGGGCAACAGCGCAAGACTCCATCTCAACAACAACAAAAAAAGGACAGATGAAGGTTTTCAACTTTCAATAAAGGCAGAGGAGCTTGTTACAGATTCGCCTCCCCGCAAGAGCAGTTAGAAAAACTGGATAAAAATGTGCCCCGCCCCCAATCAAAAACAATTGTTGGAAGGTAATTGGAGACCTCAGTCAGGACTTGAGTGACCAGGCCTAGGAGGTGATCCTGACAGTCTGTAGTGCTTTCCCACATTTGGTGATTGGTCAACAGTAGAGGGCTAAGAGGCTAAGAAACTGAGTATGAAGTGGTAGTTAAGAGGCTGGAGAGCCTAGCTGAATGTTTGGCACTCTCACAGGGCTGAAATGACCTAATGAGAATTTGGGTCCCAGGAGGGAGATGGGACCTTGGTGGGGACCCTGGAAGGGCCACCCCTGGGAGTCCAAATGAATAAAACATAGACCAGCCATCAGAAAACCTAAAACCTGCTTTGAACCAGCTTAGTCCCGAAGTAGATGAAGGCGATCTGCCCTTACTCCAATTGTGTGCCATAAACTCAAAGTCAATACTCTCTGGAGGCAGATAAAAGTTTACTATGAATGCCAAAAGACAACACAAGACTAAATGAGAAAGACCAAGAAGAAAACTAATAGAAACATACATGTAAGGAAGAAACTTTTTTTTTTGAGACGGAGTTTCGCTCTGTCACCCAGGCTTGAGTGCAGTGGCACGATCTCAGCTCACTGCAACCTCTGCCTCCCAGGTTCAAGCGATTCTCCTGCCTCAGCCTCCCAAGTAGCTGGGATTACAGGCATGCGCCACCATGCCCGGCTAATTTTTGTATTGGCCAGGCTGGTCTTGAACTCTTGACCTCAGGTCATCCATTTACCTCGGCCTCCCAAATTGCTAGGATTACAGGCGTGAGCTACCATGCCTGGCCAGTATTTTGCCACAATTTAAAATAAATAAAATTTTTTTTTCAGGTTTGTGCTCAGACTATATTCTAAACAGTCACATGGCGGCTTACTCTTCTCCAGGCCTTGCTGCCGGCTTTTACATGTTTATTGTCTTTGCCTTCTTGTCATGTGCTCATTAGATGGCAGCTTCCAGGTGCTCCTAAGGGGCCAGGAAAGAGAGTGAGAAGGCACGGAGGTTGCCAGATCATCCCCCTTGGGGCCCCGCCCTCATCAACTCCCTCAACCGGGTCTCCTGCAACTATCGGTGGGCCATCTCGGCCACCGCTTCGCCCTGAGCTTCCTGCTGCTGCAGCTGGGCAGTGCCTCCTTCTCAGAGGCCAGCTGCTGATAGGCGGCCACGTACTGCTGCAGGTGACCCAGGTAATGGTCTCGCTGCTGCTGCAGACTCAGCCTCTTGGCTCTTCAGCTCCACCTGCAGGATAGGCGTCAGGGTAGGTAGTGGCTGGCTTCCAGATTCTGGGCCCATAAACAGGGTAGTGAGGGCACTGCGGGGCTCTGTCGCCTACCCAGGCCCCTGGCCCTGGCCCCTTCCTCCAGGCCTAAATGACTGCCTCCCTTGCCTAGAGGCCCATGCCTCCCTCCCCAGCCTCAAATCTCACACCCTTCTTCCCACCATTTAAACTGTAGGCCACAGACTGGTGGAAAAGCAGAGGGAGCCAACCACCATCTGCTAAGTTGTGGTGAGGTCGTTCTGTATGATCTCCAGGGTTTGCACACACCTCCGCCTGCTCCCCCCAAGAGCTCGGCCTTCTGCCCCAGCTTCCCCAGCCTCTCCTCCAGCTCCTGCAGCCTCACCTAGTGTTCCTGCATCTTCTCCTCCTGCTGCCGCAGCCTCACTTCCTGCTCCCGCATCTTCTCCTCCTGCCTCCGCATCTTCTCCTCCTGTTCTTGCATCTTCTCTTCCTGCTCACACATCTTCTCCTCCTGCTCCCACATCTTCTCTTCCTGTTCCTGCATCATCTCCTCCTGCTCTCGTATCTTCTCCTCCTGCTCCCGTATCTTCTTCTCCTGCTCCCTTATCTTCTCCTCCTGCCTCCGCATCTTCTCCTCCTGTTCTTGCATCTTCGCTTCCTGCTCACACATCTTCCCCTCCTGCTCCCCCATCTTCTCTTCCTGTTCCTGCATCATCTCCTCCTGCTCTCGTATCTTCTCCTCCTGCTCCCGTATCTTCTTCTCCTGCTCCCTTATCTTCTCCTCCTGCCTCCGCATCTTCTCCTCCTGTTCTTGCATCTCCTCTTCCTGCTCCCACATCTTCTCCTCCTGCTCCCCCATCTTCTCTTCCTGTTCCTGCATCATCTCCTCCTGCTCTCGTATCTTCTCCTCCTGCTCCCATATCTTCTCCTCCTGCTCCCGTATCTTCTCCTTCTGCTCCCGTATCTTCTCCTCCTGCTCCCTTATCTTCTCCTCCTGCCTCCGCATCTTCTCCTGTTCTTGCATCTTCTCTTCCTGCTCCCCCATCTTCTCTTCCTGTTCCTGCATCATCTCCTCCTGCTCTCGTATCTTCTCCTCCTGCTCCCGTATCTTCTCCTGCTCCCGTATCTTCTCCTCCTGCTCCCTTATCTTCTCCTCCTGCTTCCACATCTTCTCCTCCTGCTCCTGCCTCTTTTCCTCCTGCTCCCGTATCTTCTCCTCCTGCCTCCACACCTTCTCCTCCTGCTCCCGTATCTTCTCCTCCTGCCTCCACATCTTATCCTCCTGCTCCTGCCTCTTCTCCTCCTCCCATATCTTCTCCTGCTCATGCATCTTCTCTTCCTCCCTCCACATCTCCTCCTGCTCCCGTATCTTCTCCTCCTGCCTCCACATCTTCTCCTCCTGCTCCCGTATCTTCTCCTCCTGCCTCCACACCTTCTCCTCCTGCTCCCGTATCTTCTCCTCCTGGTCGTGCATCTTCTCCTCCTGCCTCCACACCTTCTCCTCCTGCTTCCGTATCTTCTCCTCCTGCTCGTGCATCTTCTCCTTTTGCCTCCATATCTCCTCCTGCTCCCTTATCTTCTCCTCCTGCCTCCACATCTCCTCCTGCTCCTGCCTCTTCTCCTCCTCCCGTATCTTCTCCTGCTCGTGAATCTTCTCCTCCTGCCTCCACATCTTTTTCTCCTGCTCCCGTATCTTCTCTTCCTGCTCCCGTATCTTCTCCTCCTGCCTCCACATCTTCGCCTCCTGCTCCTGCCTCTTCTCCTGCTCGCGTATCTTCTCCTCCTCCTGCCTCTTCTCTTCCTGCTCCCGTATCTTCTCCTGCTCGTGCATCTTCTCTTCCAGCTCCCGTATCTTCTCCTCCTTCTCCCACATCATCTCCTCCTGCCTCCGCATCTTCTCCTCCTTCTCCCACATCATCTCCTCCTGCCTCCGCATCTTCTCCTCCTGCTCCCGTATCTTCTCCTCCTGCTCCTGTATCTTCTCCTCCCGCTCCTGTATCTTCTCCTCCTGCCTCCACATCTTCTCCTCCTGTTGCTGGTTCAGGCGGTTCCACAACTCGTTCTCTTCCACCTGGGCTTGGAGCTTTGCTGACACACTCTGCAGCTCCTTACCCAGGTGGTCAGCCTCCGCCTGCAGCTGCTGCTGGAATAGTGAAAGTGTTTTTTTGAACCTCAGAAGGAAGCAGAATCATGAGCTAGCCACATAAATGTAATCTATAGGCTGGGCGCGGTGGCTCACGCCTGTAATCCCAGCACTTTGGGAGGCCGAGGTGGGCGGATCACGAGGTCAGGAGATCGAGACCATCCTGGTTAACACAGTGAAACCCCGTCTCTACTAAAAATACAAAAAATTAGCTGGGTGTGGTGGTGGGCACCTGTAGTCCCAGCTACTTGGGAGGCTGAGGCAGGAGAATGGCGTGAAGCCGGGGGGTGGAGCTTGCAGTGAGCCGAGATTGCGCCACTGCACTCTGGCCTGGGTGACAGAGTGAGACTACTTCTCAAATAAATAAATAAATAAATAAATAAATAAATAAATAAATGTAATCTATAAAATAATGGTTTTCATCCATGATCCTTTAAAAAAATATTTTTAAGCCCTAACTCTTGAGATTCTGATTCCCCAGGCAGGGCCCCAATTTGTACATTTTTAGTACACTCTAGAGGATTCTATGGCGGGGCCAGAACAAGGACCCAAATTTTCCAGCTCTTGGCTGGAGCCTCCCCATACCCTGCATGATCCCTAGACCATGGTCCCAGCTGGATGGGTCTCCCACAACCCCCGGGGCTGCAGCTGCTCACCTGTGGCAGCAGGAGCTTGGCCCTCTCCAGTTTCCTTTTTAGCTCCTTTACGTTGAGCTGGATCTCAGACTTTTCAGATTCTACAAGTTGAAGTTTTTCTTGTAGTTTGGCATTTTTCTCCTTCAGCTCCTCATCAGTTATGCTATGGCCAGAGGCAGTAGAGAAAGGAATGAATGAAGAACATAAAAGACCACTTTGGTGATTGACCCCCTACCCTCGCCCCACAACCACAGAACCGTGGCGCTGGAAGGGACCCCAGGAATTAAAAGTCCCAGGTGGCAGGCCAGAGAGAAGACATGAGTTGCCTGAGGCTACCCCATGAGTCAGTGGCACAGCCAGCACTAGAGTTTCCGTGTGCACACATGAAAACATGTATGAGCCTCTCCCCACACTCACCTGGACCCCCCACCTCCCAGCACACCACCCATGCTAAGGGCCCCCAGACCTCCCATTCCACCTTCCCCCATCCTACGTGTTCCTGTACAGTTCCAGACTCAGGGCGTCCCTCTCCTTTGTTAACTCCTCAATGTACTGCAAATAGAGAAAGGTTAAGTCAGGATAGAGCAGGCACAGCAGTAGCTGGACGACCAGGAACAACTGCTACAGTGACTACTCCACAGTAACACTTCCTCACTCTCAATCACACCTGACGTGTTCTCAAGGCATTTCCAAGCCCATGGTCTCATTTGTTTTTCTTTCTTTCTTTCTTTTTTTTTTTTTGGCAGAGTTTCATTCTTGTTGCCCTCACTGGAGTGCAATGGCACAATCTCAGCTCACCACAACCTACACCTCCTGGGTTCAAGCAATTCTCCTGCCTCAGCTTCCCGAGTAGTTGGGATTACAGGCATGTGCCACCACACCGGGCTAATTTTGTATTTTTAGTAGAGACGGGGTTTCTTCGTGTTGGTCAGTCTAGTCTTGAACTCCTGACCGCAGGTGATCCGCCCACCTCAGCCTCCCAAAGTGCTGGCATTACAGGCGTGAGCGAGAGCACCTGGCCCTCATTTGTTTTTCAAAGAACTCAGTGGATGTGGAAGGGACAGGGAAAGAGATTGAATTTAGGGCTGGCTAACAGGGGCCCAGAGCGATCAGATAATATTGTTATTGTTATTACTGTTATTACTACCACTGTTGGAGCCTTTATTGGGTGCTTCACCAGGCACTATGCTAACAATCCCATTTAATCCTCACAACCTCCATAGGAGACGGTTACCATTATTACCTCTATTGTGTAGATGAAAAACATGCAGTATTAAAGGTTAAGTGCTGCCTAAGATCACTTGGAGCTGGGATTTCAACACCCAGGTATATCTGATTCTCTAAGCCCATTCTTCCGCTGGAGGTAGGGGCACAGTTAAGAAGGAGGAAATTAATCCTTTGTTGAATTTTTGAAAGGATGATACGTTCGCATAGTCCAAAACTCAGAAAGTCCAGAAGGGAAATATCTCCCCCCAACACTGTGCCTCTATCCTGAGTTTTTTAATGAATCCTTACAAACGTGTTTTATGTATGTTACCATAATACGTACACACACACACATATACACCTGCCCCCTCTCTCCACACAAATAATAACATACTCAAGATACTCTTCTGTACCTTTATGGTACAAGTACCCTAACCGCCACTTAGGACTTGGCCAAGGCCACAGCCAAGTATGGGCAGGGCGGGCACTTGGCCTCTGAGATCTATGTCCAGTGCTCGCTCCTCACAGTGCTCCCCAACTCACCCACAACAGCCGACTCAGCCCCAGTCTGCCTCTAACAACCACACACAAAAGCAGCAAGAAATGGCCATGCTGCCTTCTGGGCAGGACACTCCATCCTACAGAAGGGACCTTTAGGCTCACTCCTCCATCTGCGAAGCTGGGCTCCCAAGGGACGGGGCCGTGTTTGGACTCACCCTATCCGCCTTCTTCTTCTGTGTAGCGACAGCAGAGAGAGCCTGCTCTAACTCTCCTGCAAACTTCCATGAATCATGCAGGCGGCTGATCAGATCCCTGGCCTCTCCTGGAATGAGAGACATTCAGATGTGGCCCAAAGGACTCCCCCTAAAGGCCTGTCAAAGTGCCAGGTTGAAGGATGATGGGGTGCCAGATTCCCACCTTCCAACTGCTTGACAGCATGCTGGCTGTAGTAGAGTGCCATCTGAAGCTCAGTTTTCTGACATGTAAGGATTCGTATGGTATGAACCTGGGCCTTTGGGAGAAAAGACAAGCAAATGCTGAAAGAGAAGCAAAGAAACATTCTCCAGAGGGCAGGAGGGAACTTCACACCCTCCACTCACCTCTAGCTCCCTCCTTAGGGCTTCCTGATGTTGGTGGCTTGCCTTCTGTTCCTATAGAAAGAGGAAAACAGAGCTCTTACTAGGGGGAGGCAGAGATCCACAGCAAGAGACATGCCCCCAGAATGGCACCACTGCCCCAGAACAGGCCCACCCATGGGACCAGTTTATCAGGGACCCTGTGGGGATGGGGTGGAATCTTGGGGGTGAGCCCTCTTCCCCAGGCTGGGAGTGGGTGAGATGAGCCTGGGGCCTCTACATCTGAGTGCCCCCAAACCCAGCGGTCATGTCGTGAGCAAAGAAATCACACGACTTCTTCCAGCTGAGCTCGGTTCTATTGTTTCTGTGGGGAGAGTCAAAGGAAGGTGACTGAGGGTGGCCCCCTTGACTCTATTCCCCAGGCCAGGAAGCGATAGGCAGGGGCCAGGAATGGATTTAAAAGGCACAGTTCTCAGACCCAATGGGAACATGAACTGGTCAACTCTCCTCAACTCCCAAAGAAGAGGGATTTGGGTCTTTTTGGTTTTTGCCCACAGCCACAGAACTCAAAGTCTGAAACTAGATTCTCTTGAAAAGACAGTAACAGAAACCTTCAGAGGTGGAGTGCGAGAAAAGCCCACCCTTCCGCCAGCTTGTGATTTAGAAAGGTGCATTCACTCAGCAAACGTTGAGCACATACGGGCCAGGGACGGTTCTTCACAGCGGGAATAGAGGTCAGAAAAGGCAGACAGGAGCCCTTGGCCCCGAGGTTTCCATTCTAGTGGGCCTTTAACTCTCGGGCTCTCAGAGCTAACAGAAACCTCTGATACTCTCTAACTCTACCTCAGGAAACGCAAGCCCAAGAAGGAGAGTTTACAGCAGGTCCTGGACGAGGGATTAACATAAAAACACAATGACAAATCTCATTTAAACTTCACAAATGTAAGGAAAACAATACCACTCGTATTTTACGGATGTGAAAAGAGAGGCCCAAAGAGCTCAAGCAATTTGCGCTAAATCATATCCCTAGCAGATGGAGGGGTAGGATTCAAACCCAGAATTCTTAGCCAGTACCTGGCAGTTCTTCCACAATCTTAACAATTACCCTCCACCACCCCTTGGGCCCTCTGTCCCCAGGAGCCCGGCCAGCCAAGACTCACATCCTCAGGCGAGTGGCAACCACCAGAAGTGGTTGTCTCAGGGTTAGTGCCATTATTTATTTTCTTCTTTTTGGTGTCGCTTGCTGCTGTACCAACACTAGGGTTGGTCTGGGGATGATGGTCTGTCAACTGTGGAAAGGAAGAGCAGTGATACTCATGAGAACTACAAGCTCCTACAGTCACATCCTGCTTTACAGTTTATACTAAATACTCTTATAGACCATCTGATTTAATGCCACCAACTGTAGGAAATGTTGTCACAATCACTTAGTGACTGAGAGAGATTGATACCATGGCTGAAAAAAAAGGCAGTAATGGAACTTAAACTCAGTCTTCTGACTCTGAGCTCTGGGATTTTGCCCTAAATCAGCAGCTGCCAGGGACCAAAACCAGAGGCAGAGGTAGAAAAGCAAATATTAAGTAGGCAGGAACTGTGCACTATGTGGTTTAGGGTTATTCACCCTCACACGTCTGTTAGTGTTAAAAAGTACACCAGTACCTCTCAAACCTTTACATCAATGTCTCCTCATGGCAGAAGGCAGCCTTTCTGCTAAATCTGGGAATTTAACAGAAAGAGGACAACCCAAGCCTCATTTCAGAGAGAAGTCTTGTATACGCTTATAAATCTATGTGACTTTCATCCCTAAGTACATTAATGTTTTGTCTCTCAATAGAATCAAGGGAAACTGATGCTTCAGAAAGATGCCCCATATTTATCCTGTGGCACTCAAAGTACCCCAGGTTGAGATGAGATGAGGAAGACTCAAGCTAAGTTCAGTTTCCCAAGATCTGTTCCACAGAAGATAAGCAGATCTCACTCCAGAACCAGTGACTGAGGGGCACTCTGGTCCCAGAACAATGGAGAATTCAAATCTGAGGTGCAGAACTGAGAAAAAATGTTAAAATCTCTCTGGAGAGTAGAAGCCTGGGAGAAAACCAAACCAAACCCGTTCTCCCATTGCCACCCAGAGACACTGTCAACGTGTTGAGCTCATGGGGGAGGTGTAGGCTTTTCACACTGTCAAGGTCTGTGGTAAGGAAGTCAGGCAGCCTGAAACCTCTCTCTTCTAGGTCCCACAGTCCCCATTCCCCTTCCAGCTGGAAACCTGTGCTGCAACCAGAGGAAACAGAAGTGGGCAAGAACACTTAGGGGACTGGGTCCTAAGACCAAAGGCCGGTCTTGTGGTAGTAATGACAGTTTGTAGCGGGACTGTGACATCACTACATTCTACTCCTCGGTGGAGTGGTTGGGGGGGACACATGAGTGCAATGCCCAAGTTGCCGCTTTGAGACTGGGGAGGGGGTCACAAAATTGGGAGCCAGGTCCTTGGAGACGTGACCCCAAAGAGCCCCGGGAGGTCAGGCTTGGGGCGGCAGGAGGTGAGGGCCAATTAAGGAGCAAGGAGCTCCAGGAGTCACATCCCCAAAGTCACCCTGTGGCAACTGGTGAGGGCAGGTTCTGGGGCACCCAGGTCCTTGGAGCTGTGAGCTCAAGGAGCCCAGGGAGGTCGGGTTTGGGGTAGCAGGAGGTAAGGGCGGAGTATGGAGTTGGAAGCCCCAGGAGTCACCTGCTCAAAGTCACCCTGGTGTGCCGGGCAGAGCAGGGGCAGGACTTATGAGGGGGTTGGGCTGGCTGACAAGATTTTGGTGTGGGGAGCCCAGAGGCACTGGGGTGGGGGGCCCAGCCTGGTGTCCCTCAGGAGTGGCACAGACTCTGGCAGCAGTTCGGCTGTCAGAGGGGGCCTCGGGTTGGGTTGGGGTGTTGGTGCGTTTACCTGTTCCTTGGCCTCGGCCAATTTGCTCTGTCTGGTTTCTTTGGACATCATAGGATGGGTAGGGAGGTGGGGATGGGTAGGGAGGTGGGGATGGGTAGGGAGGTGGGGATGGGTAGGGAGGTGGGGTTGGGGCCACATCAGCATGATCCAGGTGAGGACAAGTATATACCTCCAGTCACCTCTACGTCGCTGTGTGACTGAGCCAGAGGAGGCGTAACCAGGGCTGCACTAGAATGCAGAATAGGGGTGTGGCCTTCATGCTTGAAGCCCATTGGTCAATGAGAAAGATGAAAGGAAAAGGAGGTGTGGCCAGACAGCAGCGTGTCATCAAGGACCTGTGTTGTCACAAGGAAAGCTGCCTATGCAACCGCTGTCCCCGCCCACTCCAGGAGAGGGGCGGGGCTGGCTTTCACTTTAAAAACTTTAAAACTTTATTACCTCAATTGAGGTACAAGTCCTATTAAAATGGAAATTTTATAGTGTGCTTGATGATTGATAAAGCAGACTTTATTATCCAACATTCCAATAAGATAATCACAATGTTTTCTCTTTTTTGGAAAAACTTTCTCTTATTCTCCTACATTAGCGTTTAGTTTTTTTAAAAAAAACAAACAAACAAGAAACATGTCTAATATCTTTAAAAATACAAAGCTTTGAGCCAGGCATGATGGCTCATGCCTGTAATCCCAGCACTTTGGGAGGCTGGGGCGGGTGGATCACCCGAATTCAGGAGTTCAAGACCAGCCTGGCCAACATGATGAAATCCTGTCTCTACTAAAAATACAAAAGTAGCTGGGCATGGTGGCAGGTGCCTGTAATCCTAGCTACTTGGGAGGCTGAGGCAGGAGAATCCCTTGAACCTGTGAGGCAGAGGTTGCAGTGAGCCAAAATCATGCCACTGCACTTCAGCCTGGGCTGCTACAGAATGTGACTCTGTCTCTAAATACACACACACACACACACACACACGCACAGACACACACACACACACACACACACACACACAAGGCTTTCCATTTAATAAGCACTCAAAGTTCTTTACAAGGTTAAAGCAAATACAGGACCCTTCTAAAGTAAGGCTAAATGCTAAGTGATGGGGGAGAGAAAAAGGACATAAATAACTCCTACTCTCATGAGTTAATCACTAAATCCGATTTTTCTAGAATCACCTGGCCTCTAAGCCCTGAAAATGAAACTGAATTTCTCACTCGATACTTGGCTATGACTTGCAATCATGAAAACCAAGAATTGTGTTATGTCACTGTGTATTGCTTGTTACCTGGGATCAAGGGTTGACTTTTTCATGATTTGCTCCATTACCTGTGTGCTTCTTCTCCCAGTCCAAACTACGCTTTTTTCTAGAGTTCTACAATTTACAGTTAGTATGTAAGGGTGGCTCTCAAACATGTAGTCTCCGGACCAGGAGCACCTGGGAACTTCTTATAAATGTAAATTCTCAGGCCCCACCCTAGACATGAATGAATCAGAAACTCTGCAGTAGGGCCCAGCAATCCGTGCTGCAATAATCCCTCCAGGTGCTCAGGAACCTCTGCCATACAGCAGGTAGAAAAATGTGTTTCCTTCTGTAGGTCCAAAGCCAGGGATACTATATGTTCTGTCTCAATATGAAACAATGACATGCAATTAAAAGACATAAATCTCCTTCCTACTTCCACCCTCCAGCCAGTGTGTTTTATTTTTATGAGTTCAATAAGAAAACGTGTGGCAATCAGAGATTTCATCTAAAAAATATATCTACAGGTATCAGTTCTCATCCAGCCTGATCTCATCCAATATCATTTCTATCCTCTTACATCTAAAGTTTTAGAAAAGGATTTTCACAACGTAAGACTCAGGCGCACTAGGAGTTCTATGATAAAAGACCAAGTAGATCTGAATGTCCAAACTTACTAGAGAAGAAAAGTGGACTCATTGGCTATATTTTCAAATTGCATTCAACAGGAAATTAAAGGTTTGAATTTTTTCCACCTTCATCCTTCCAAGTTAATAGAATTAAACCAGAATACTCCATTCTTCCAAAGCCTGTAGCCAGGCAAACTTTTACTGTATTACTTCTTGCTTTTCAATGGATATAAAGCAGAGTCCTGGTAGGCACATTTTGTATACCTGCAAAGATGCAAAACTAAACAGTTCCCTCGGTTCAATATTAAAACAAAAGTCCTGTAAACCTCAGATGGTGAGTGTAATACTTCAGCACTAGCACGAAAGCCTCAAATATAAAAAGATACCAAGAACCTTGCTAGCAAACCAAAGTAAGCTCTTGGCCGGGAGCAGTAGTTCACGCCCGTACTCCCAGCATATTGGCAAGCTAAGGTGGGGTAAGTCAGGAGTTAAAGACCAGCCTGGGCAGCATAGCGAATTCATATCTCTACAAAGAAAATTTAAAAATTAGCTGGGCTTGGCGGCACACACCTGTAGTCCTAGAGCTACTTGGGAGGCTGAGGTGGGAAAATCACTTGAGCCCAGAAGTTTGAGGCTGCAGTAGCTATGATCATGCCACTGCACTCCAGTTGGGGTGACAGAGCGAGAGCTAATTATTACATTCTGTCCTGCTCCTGTTTCCACTAAAATCACTAACTTAAAATGTGTTCATTCAGCAGGATAAAAATTAAGTGAAATTTGACTTTGGTGCTTTGCTAGCAAAAAATAAATAAATAAAGTGAAATGACAAATTACTTACTGGGAGAAGATCTTTGTAACCTCAATGACAGATTAAAGGTTTGTATCCTTAGCCTATAAAGAAATCTTTTAAATTACTCAGAAAAAAAAAATGAATGATTTGCAGCAGAAAATGGGCAATGGAGAAACCAGCACTTCCCACAAGAATAAAAATGGCCAATGAGCAAATGAAAAAGATTCAAAAGCACTAGAAATCAAAGAAAGGTAATGAAAACAATGAGATTTTCTGCTTAAAGACCAGCGAAGACGACAAATGGAAGGCGGAACCTGGAGCTCTGTCCCTGTTGGTGGGAGCGTAAACTCAACCAATTTTCCTATAGGATGATTTGAACATTTGTTTTAAAAATCCTAAAACTGTTTTATATTATTTTCTTCTAGAAATTCTACTTCTATGAATTCAGTGCAAAAATCCTCACTCGAGTCCATTAAAATATATATAGAAGGAAATCCACCTCTGGGGTGGCAATGATTCACTTAACATACATCCAGCTGTTGAAAGTGATGATGCCAGGATATATTTCTCCCATAGAAACATGCTTAAAATATAGTAAGTGACAAAAGACCATGTATTGTGATTCTACTTTTTAAAATGTTTACAGCATAAAAAGTGTGAAAAGCAACAAACCGGAATGTTTTGAGTGGCAAAATTAAAGATTTTTCTTTACATTTTGTCATCCAAATTATTACAAAAACAATGTGATTTCCTTTATAATCATGGAAAAGTGTTATTTTCATTTATTTATATTTACATTTCTTTTCTTTTTCTTCTTTTTTCTCCTGTATGTATCCCACATAGGCTACAGAGCTTAAATCCCTGCCTCTTGAGAGAAATCAGCCCGTTTTCAGGACATGCAATACACAAAGCTGCCCCATCTTCCCTTTATTTTTATTTTTATCTTATTTATTTATTTATTTATTTATTTATTTATTTATTTATTTATTTATGTTGAGATGGAGTCTCACTCTGTTGCCCAGGCTGGAGTGCGGTGGCGCATCTCAGCTCACTGCAACCTCCATATCCCGAGATCAAGCGATTCCCCTGCCTCAGCCTCCCGAGTACCTGGGACTATAGGCATGCACCACCATGCCCAGCTAATTTTTGTATTTTTAGTAGAGAGGAAGTTTTACCATCTTGGACAGGCTGGTCTCGAACTCCTGACCTCAAGTGATCCGTCTGCCTTGGCCTCCCAAAGTGCTGGGATTACAGGCATGAGCCACTGTGCCTGGCCTGTCATATTATTTCTAAACATTTGAGTGACATTTCAATTAAGTGAAATTTAATTCTTACTGACCTGATCTCTTATCCTCTGTTTAATGATACCTTCCAGTTGAAAGGTGTTTCCTCTGTAATCACGGGTGCCAAAGGAAATACAACATGTATTCATTAGGTGGATATCCACTAAACCACGGATTCATGCATTGTAGTCCTTAGACCCTCAGCATCAGAAACACGTGGGAACTTGTTAGACATGCAAATTCCTGGGCCAGCCCCACACCTCCTGAATCAGAAAGTGGGGAAGGACAGCTATCTGTGCTTTAATAAGCCTTGAGATGCTCCCTGAAGTTTGAAAACTACAGAACTAGAATACATATGGTAGTAAGTGCTCATACTTTATCCAAGGTACTAGGGACTCTTCCCCTCTTTTCCATTCTCTTTTCTGTTGAAATAAAATGAGAGCTCCTTTTGACTTAATGGGTATAAGAAAGAAGGCAATGAGATGACCAGGGTTTCAAGTTAGAGTTCAAAATTTAATCAGTGGACAGTGACAGGATGCAAGCCTTCTAAACAGATTGCTGCAAGGAAGCTGATTATAATCTATACAGTAGGTATCATTAGTGTATTGATGTTAAATTTTGGGGGTGGATTAATGGTATTGTGATTACATAGGAGAAGTCCTGGTTCCTAGAAGATATCTGCGAAAGTACTTAACAGTGAAATGCTCTGATACTGCCAACTTACTTTGAAATGATTCAGAGGGAAAAAGGGCACATATACAATCTTCCATACGCAGAAGACAGAAAACAAGTGTGACAAAACATTAACTAGTGAATCCAGTTGAATAGCATACAGATGTTCACTGTATGATTTTATCAACTTTTCTGTGTTTGCAAGTTTTCAAAATAAAAGTTGAGGGAAAGAAACATCACCCCAAATCTTTCTATGAAATGGGACCACAGAAAAAGCAGAGAAGTGAACACTTTGCAGAAAAGAGCACTGCACCCATCCGGACAGCATGGTCAAAGTGCAGGCTCTCCTCCAGGAGGCTCTTCTCTGGTCTCTTCTGTGCTGTCACTTCCCCCACATGCAGCCAAGGCTTTTTTCTAACAACTCTTTTTCTAAAGATGTAATTTTTGTCATTCATCTAAGAAAGAGAAGAAAAGAATTAGTATACATTTAGAAAATAAAATTACACTTACATTTGTGAAAAAGCAAAAAATACTTTGAAAAGTGGGGAAGCAAGAAATGTACTGTTCTACAATTCTGTTCTGTTCTTACCATCTTTTTATTCTGCCAATGACTTCCTATTCCTGCTGTGTATGGTGGGGTGAGCTGCAAATGATTTCTTTTCCTCATTGATTTAAAATCTCATGTTTATAATGTACCAAACTCCCCCAGAAGCATTTGGGTTTATTTCTGGGCTCTATTCTATTCAAGTAATCTATCTGTTCACAAGCCACTATCAATTTTGATTATTGGAGCATCCTAAAGTTAAGTAATTGTTGTTTTTGTTTTTGAGATGCAGTCTCTCACTCTGCCGCCCAGCTGGACTGCAGTGGCGTGATCTAGGCTCACTGCAAGCTCCACCTCCCGGGTTCATGGCATTCTCCTGCCTCAGCCTCCCGAGTAGCTGGGACTACAGGCACCTGCCACCACGCCTGGCTAATTTTTTGTATGTTTAGTAGAGATGGGGTTTCACCTTGTTAGCCAGGATGGTCTCGATCTCCTGACCTCGTGATCCACCTGCCTCGGCCTCCCAAAGTGCTGGGATTACAGGCGTGAGCCACCGCGCCTGGCCCTGAATTTGCTTGAGTTTTTAGCTCTCTCACCCATTTCAGGATTGTCACCACCCATATCTGACACGTCCTCCTCCTCCTCTAAATCTTCTAGGTCCTCCTGGCCATCAGCCTCTGTTTCTGAACCAGCCTCTTCATGCTCCTGTTCTTCACTCTCTGGGAGAAGACTGATATCTTCATCTTTCTTTCACTAACCGCATTCTGGAAGCACGGTAAAATTGCTTCATTTTGCAATTCCAGTTGTTGCAAAGTCTGCTCATCATCAAAACTTTCTATCACAAGTTTTTGTAAAGAGCTGCCATGGATTCTACCATTCTCTACTGTTTTATTAAAGTCATAAAGCACTTTTGTTAAAGAAGTGAACTTTGGTTCCAATCCATCTTGAAACCTATTGGGAGGAATTAAATGAGATTTAGAATTATAGATAATAATTTCACAGCCCTCTTAATTAAAAGAAAAATAAAAACCTCAACTCTTCTGTAAAATCAAATTTGAATAAAGTGTAAGTATAGATTCTGGCCCCAACAATATATAAGCTGATGAGCCACAATGATATATAAAACCTGTCAACCAAGTATTTGTGAATCAGCTGTATAGATTGTTGGCAGGAAAAGCATTACAAATCTATTTGCTTGGAGATATATAGTGAATTAGCCTTAAATTATCTACTCTGCTACATTATATACCACTCCATTCATTCATTCCCTTATTCACTCAATGATCAACATTTGCTTTGGCTACAGTGGTCAAGGAAAACCTCTCCTAGATGTGACATCTGAGATGAAACTTACAGACAAGTATAGTCTTATAAAGATTGGGAAACATGTATTCCAGGCGGAAGAAACAGCAAGAACAAATTCTCTAAGATGCAATTGAGCTTGGTAAGCCTGAGGAATAAAAAAAGTGAGCATGGCTATAGCGTGAAGGAGGCAGAAGGTGAAGTTGGAGAGACTGATGGGAGCCAAATTCTGCAGGGCTCAAGGGTAAGAGTTTGCCGTTTTAAGTGTAATAAGAAAATATGAGAAGATTTTAAGCAGAAGGATGAAATGATGATTTATACGAAGGAAGAAGAAAGGGAGGAAGGAGGAGGAGGAAAGTAGAGTGATTAGAAGGTTGATGCAGCATTCCAGGCAAAGGATGATGGTGATTTAAGCTGGAGTTAGAGCAGTGAATATGCTGAGTACAGTTTGGAGGTAGAACTGACAGGATTGCTAAGGAATTAGATACAGAATAGAGAAAAGTGAAGACATCAAAATAGCAGCCTAGTTTTATGTGCGAGCAACTGGAGAGACAGAACTGCCATTTAGTGCGATAGGCAAGGCTTGAGTGGTGGAGCAAGGGGAAAGGACTTCAGCGGATGGCAGAGTGTAGGTGGGTAGAAACAGCATTCTACTGTATTTTGGACACAGTGAATTTGTGATGCTGAGAGGACCAAAATTTAAAAAATTGTTAAAAACCGTACGGTGCGGATATCCCAGTTGTGCGCTACTGAATTCCAACTAAGCTCAGTCTGGAGTTGCTTGTGAGCAAGGAACTCAAGGGAGAGGTTGGAGTTTGAAACATAAATGAGTCATAATTTTATAGGTCATATTTGAAGTTCTTCAACAAAATACACATAAAACGTTTGTGTTGGGAAGAGACATGAAAGTTCTAATTCTCAAGAAGCTTAGTGGGGTAGACAGACAAGTGACAAGTTTGTGTTTTCAATAAAGTATGATGGCAGGTAAACACTGAGTGCTTTAGGAGCACAGGCGGAAGGAGAAACCAACACAGTTGTGTGTAGGGGGATGGGGGCCGTAATAAGCCTCAAGGGGAGCTTATAGGCGTGAATAACTGAGGTTAGGTTGATTTCAATAACATTCAACTGAGAGATCCATACTGTAAAAGTTTTAACAATTTTTAAAATTTTGATAGCCTAGGTCCTCTGAAATGTGGGGAAAAGTGATTTACATTTCCCCTTACCTTCCCCCAGCTCCACAATTTGCCAGGGGTCTGCAACCCGTGTCCACGTGCGACCGCAGTCGCACCCAAGCCCGGGATCTGTGCACTTACGTGAGGATGCTCTCGGGCCAGCCAGTGGCTTTGCCCACCTCCCTCAGACACCGCTCCAGGGTCCGTCAGCGCCAGGCCCATGGGCCATGGCTGTCTGCAACTCCCGACACAAGCTGCAAGGCAAGAGAGCCGCTGGGAAACCGCACCGCAAGGATGCTGGCATTGGAACAGGAATTAAAAGAAATGAAAAAATGTGTAAGCAAAAACTCAGCTGTATGTAAAAAAAAACCAATTCCCCCTGAGAATGAGAAAGAGCCTTAGTCCTTTAAAAAAACTACCTGTTTTCCTATGGCTAGTGAGCCTTATCGCTCCCTTCCCAGGCATTATCAAAACCCTAATTCCCTAACTGTGCAACTGCAAGGTCACTAAACAAACGAATGCAAGTCACAAAACATATTTTTCCTAAAAACATAAAAAAAAAAAAAAACATAATGCGTGCTTCAATTAAATAACCCTCTGTTTCTCGCTTCTGTAATATGCTTCCCCCTGCACAGATCTACCCGGGCTCCACAAAATGCTAAAAGATAACTCTTTATTCAGCTCAACGCTTTGATCTGCCTGGCGTGGTGGCTCACTCTTGTGATCCCAGGACTTTGGACGGCCAAGTAGGGTGGATCGCTTGTGCCTTGGAGTTCCAGACAGGCCTGGGCAACATGGTGAAACCTGGTCTTTTTGTTTTGTGTTGTTTTGAGACGGAGTTTCGCTCTTGTTGCCCAGGCTGGAATGCAGTGGCTGGGTCTCTGCTTGCCGCGACTTCCGCCTCCCGGGTTTCGGTCGTTGTCCTGCATCAGCCTCCAGAGTGGCTGGGATTGCAGGCATAAGCCACCAAGCCCGGCTAATTTTGTATTTTTTTTTTATTTTTATTTTGGTACAGATGGGGTTTCTCCCTGTTGGTCAGGCTGGTCTCAAACTCCCGACCTCAGGTGATCCACCTGCCTAGGCCTCCCGAGGTGCTAGGATTGCAGGCTTGAGCCACCGCTCCCGGCCCAATTTGTTAATCAGAAAGGAATAGATCGTCCTGGTGTGGTGGCTCACGCTTGTGATCCCAGTACTTTGGATGGCCCAGCGCGGGGTATCCCTTGAGCCTAGGAGTTCCAGACCTGCCTGGGCAACATGGTGAAACCCGGTCTCTCTCTCTTTTTTTTTTTTTATGAGGCGGAGTTTCGCTCTTGTTGCCCAGGGTGGAGTGCAGTGGCTGGGTCTCCGCTCGCAGCGACTTCTGCCTCCAGGGTTTTAGTAGTTCTCCTGCCTCAGTCTCCGGAGTGGCTGGGATTGCAGGCCTGACCAACATTGCTCTGCTAATTTTTTTTTATTTGTTTTTGGTAGAGACGGGGTTTCTCCATGCTGGGCAAGCTGATCTCAAACTCCAGACCTCAGGTTATCCGCCCACCTCGGCCTCTGGGGATGCTGGAATTGCAGGCGTGAGCCAGCGCACACACCCAATTTATTTTTATTTCATTTTTTATTTTTATATATATATACTTTTGAGACGGAGTCTCACTTTGTCACCCAGGCTGGAGTGCAGTGGTGCGCTGTCTCGGCTCACTGCAACCTCTGCCTCCCAGGTTCAAGTGATTCTCCTGCCTCAGCCGCCTGAGTAGCTGAGATTACAGGCGCCCGCTAGCACACCCATCTAATTTTTATTTATTTATTTATTTATTTATTTATTTTGTATTTTTAGTAGAGATGGGTTTTCATCATGTTGGCCAGGCTGGTCTCGAACTCCGGACCTCAGGTAAACCCACCTCGGCCTCCCAAAGTGCTGGGATGACAGGAAGGATCGGCCTGGCGTGGTGGCTCACGCTTTTGATCCCAGGAGTTTGGACGGGCCGAGCGTGGCGGATCCCTTGATCCTAGGAGTTCTAGACCAGCCTGGGCAACATGGTGAAAACCGGTCTCTCTCTCTCTCTCTCTTTTTTTTTTTTTTTGAGGCATAGTTTCCCTCTTGTTGCAGGGCTGGAGTGCAGTGGTGCGGTGTCGGCTCCCCGCGGCCTCTGCCTCTGGGTTTGGGTGGTTCTCCTGCCTCAGCCTCCGAGTGACTGGGATTGCAGGCGGGAGCCACCATGCCCGGCTCTTTTTTTTTTTTTTTTTCTGGTAGAGACAGGTCTCTCCATGTTGGTCAGGCTGGTCTCAAACTCCCGACCTCAGGTGATCCGCCCGCCACGGCCTCCCGGGGTGCTGGGACTGCAGGCGTGAGCCACCCTCCTGGCCCAATTTATTAATCAGAAAGAAATAGATCGGCCTGGCGTGGTGGCTCACGCTTTTGATCCCAGGACTTTGGACAACCGAGCGTGGGGAATTGCTTGAGCCTAAGAGTTCCAGACCTGCCTGGGCAACATGGTGAAAATCTGTCTCTTATTATTATTTTTTTTTTTTTTTTTTGAGGCGGAGTTTCCCTCTTGTTGCCCAGGCTGGAGTGCAGTGGCTGGGTCTCCGCTCGCGGCGAATTCTGCATCCCGGGTTTTGGTGGTTCTCCTGCCTCAGCCTCCTGAGTAGCTGGGATTACAGGCACCTGCCGCCACACCCGGCTAATTTTTTTTTTTTGTATTTTTAGTAGAGACGGGTTTTCATCATGTTGGCCAGGCTGGTCTCAAATTCCTGACCTCCGGTGATCCACCCACCTCCGCCTCCCCAAGTGCTGGGATGACAGGCGTGATCGGCCTGGCGTGGTGGCTCACGCTTTTGATTCCAGGACTTTGGACTGGCCAAGCGTGGGGGATTGCTTGAGCCTAGGAGTTCCAGACCGGCCTGGGCAACATGGTTAAACCCAGTCTTTTTTTAAATTCCTTTATTATTATTATTATTTTTTTTTTTTTTGAGACGGAGTCTCTCTGTCGCCCAGGCTGGAGTGCAGTGGCGCTATCTCGGCTCACTGCAGCCTCTGCCTCCCAGGGTCAAGGGATTCTCCTGCCTCAGCCTCCTGAGTAGCTGGGATTACAGGCGCCCACCACCACACCCGGCTAATTTTTTTTTATTTTTTAGTAGATCGTGGTAACTGCCTTAAAATGATGATTGTTCAGAAAGTCAGTTTAATTTAGATACTAAGGATATTGAGGTTATGTAACATTTGAGCAAGTTCTAAAAAAAAAGAGAAATAGTATATTTAATTGCTAATAAAGTATTGTCAACTCACAAATATATTCACATAGCATACATTTCAAGAGCAGAATAACCATGAATATAAAAGGAATTAGCAAAAACGAGACAAAAAAGACATGAAGAAATAAAAACAGATGGAACAAATAGCACAAAATACGATGAAAGTTATAAAAGAAACTATGCCAACAATCACAATAAATGTAAATAGACTGAATAATTAAGAGAAAATGACTATAAAACAGAATTAGGGCACGCGTGGTGGCTCATGCCTGTAATCCCAGCACTTTGGGAGGATGAGGCAGGCGGAGGGATCACAAGGTCAGGAGTTCGAGAGCAGCCTGACCAACATGGTGAAACCCCATCTCTGCTAATACAAAAATTAGCCGGCGTGGTGGTGAACATCTGTAATCCCAGTTACTCAGGAGGCTGAGGCAGGAGAATCGCTTGAATCCAGGAGGCAGAGGTTGCAGTGCCGAGATCACACCATTACACTCCAGCCTGGGCAACAGAGCAAGACTCCGTATCAAAAAAAAAAACACACAAAAAAAACACAAAAAACAGAAAATAAACAGTATGAAAAGACATCTAAAACATAAAGTCACAGAAAGACTGAGAGAGATTGAAAAAAGATACACATGTCATATGTACCCAACCCAAAGAAGGGTTGGAAGCTATATTATTATCAGATAAAATAGGCTTTGGGCAAAAAGCAATATGGGAGATTTTTTAAGGTCACAATATGATGATAAAAATTCTAATAAACCAAGGGAGAAGGTAATCTAAAATGTTAATGTATCTAATAACTAGCACTCAAAATACATGAAAGCAAAATATGACAAAATTGCAACCCTCAGAGGGCAATTTAAATACATATCTCAGTATCTGATAAAAGAGACAAAAAACAATCAGCATAGACATAGAAGATTTACATCTCTCTAGAAAATTAACAAGCTTGACCTAATGTAGAGAAAAAACATATCTCTCCAAAGTGACAGCATTCACCCCCCCCAAGTACATATGTACTGAGCCATAAGGAAAATCTCAACAAATTCCAAAGAAGCGGAATCATGCATCCATCTTTCTCTCTAACCATAATCTCATTAAACTAAAAACAATAATAAAAAGATAAAGTAAAAAGCCAGAAAGGCAGATGCTAAATGAGAAAGTGACAGAAAAGTTACAGATTTTGTTAAGCATACAAAGCTTCTATAGGGTAAAGCAGTCAAAGGGATATGCAAATTTACACAGAAATCCAACCGATATAAATCCTTGAAAGATACTACATACAGATATTTCATCAGTTCTCACATGCCAAACCCAGCAAAGCCAAACTTTGGAGCCTCCCCTGCGAGCAGACCTGCCACAGGAGGAGAGGCAGCACAAACCTCCCTTTGCAGTGAAAATGCCACATTGTGTGTGCTTCTTACCCCATCACCTCTTTGGAAGTGGCCCCACTCAGTGCTAGCTGAGAATCGCTTCCCTCATACCACTCTCAGTAGTTCACCCCAAGACACACTGGACAACTCTGTACCTGGTAAGTCATTGTGAATCCAATTAATAATGGCATTCAGAAAGTTAGGAATCTTTGAATTATTAGATTCATAGTGATATTCAAAAGAAAGAAAACGACATCATTTCTGTTCCACGCATGTTGCCCACATTCACTGCGTAAAAGGCAAAGGGAACTGTGAGTACCCACAAAGAACCTGATATTGACGGCACATACATTTCTTCATTAGGAAGAATAAATTTAGACTGTAACAATTTAAAAAACCAGAAAATACAACTGTACATTTTAGCTCTTATTAAAATCCAAGAGGTTTAACTTATTTGCTCCTTGTTTAGGTAATTAGTGTCTAAAACATTTCAAAGATAACATATATAGTGGCTACGATTTCTAGTACTTTTTAAAAATTCAAGCCCAGTCTCTTCTAATTAAATGTATAAATGATTTATCTCTGTCTTTCTTAAAAAGAACCAAGAGCCCCAATTAAAAAGTAAAACTTAAATTTCCTCTTAAAAAATTGTTACGTCAAAATTATCGAATAAACCATAGTTCAGAAAATAATTTCTGAATTAAGAAAATATGAATAATAAAACCAACAGTTTATGTGCTGAATTTCAAATTTTTATTTTTTATTATTTTTAAAATTTTGTTTTAAGTTCTAGGGTACATGTGCAGGAGTGTTACGTAGGGAAACGTGTGCCATGGTGGTTTGGTCCACCTATCAACTCATCACCTCAGTGTTAAGCCCAGCACGCATTAGCTATTTTTCCTGATGCTCCTCCCCCACCCGCCCTGACAGGCCCCAGTATGTGTTGTTTCCCTTCCTGTGTCCATGTGTTCTCATTGAACCTCACATTTTTAAATACAGCATATGCCAGGTGTCATTTCAGTACCCATGATTATACATAGTATAATTATACATAGTATATGTATATGTGTAAATATATGTATATGTGTACATATATGTATGTAATATGTGTATGTAAATATTATGTAAATATGTATGTATGTAAGTATATATGTAAATATGTATGTGAATGTATGTAAATATATACACATGTAAATATGTATGTAAAAATATGTACGTAAATATATGTATATATATAAATGTAAAATATGTAAATATTTGTAAATGTAAAATATGTAAATGTAAAATAAATGTAGAATGTCAAATGTAAATGTAAAATGTAAAATAAATGTAAAATGTAAAATAAATGTAAAATGTAAATGCAAAATATGTAAATATATGTATATGTGTAAATATATGTGTGTAAATATATATGTATATGTGTAATATATATGTATATGTGTAAATATATATGTATATATAACACAGCATACAGCATATGCCAGGTGTCATTTCAGTACCCATAATTATACATAGTATAATTATACATAGTATAATTAGACTACTATGTTAGCTAAAAAATGTTGATTAGATACAAATGTATAAATTTATCTTCTCTAAAAGTGGAAATTCTCTAGAGGCTATTTCCAGCTTCTGTGTGGATTGTAGAGCAGGCTGCTACCTGTACCCCAAAAATGAACACCTTAAAAAAAAGACAAGTTTCTCAGCCTCCCTATTGCACACACATATGAAAAATATGTTAAATTCAACGCCAACTATTCCTGAGATCAACACAGCAGTGATCCCAAAGAGAAAATTTCTCTTTGCTAATGGGCACAAACTTGAAGGGCAAAGCAGTGGAAGGGTAAGTCTGCAGACTCGGGTGGGGCTCAAGTCAGAATCACGTGGAAGATCATTGCCACATGTTTTTGTTTTTTTAAATAGCAAACACCACCAAGTGGAGCCCGCCGGGTTTAGTAGATATTAAACCTCTAAGGAGTGGCACATCCGAGACTGAAATTCCCATCTTTTGATTCCCAGCTCAAGGTCTCTGAAATGCCAGCACCAGCTGTGAAATTGTTCTTCTGCATTTTCATGGAGACCTTTTCTTCTATACTGCCATACTCTTTTTTTTGGAACAGTTATACCTGATCTTCCTATTTTTGTGTGTGTTCCACCGAAAGTTTTTCACTCTAAATACTTCCCTCTTTCCAACTGAGCATTTACATCTGTAACAAGGACAAAAACATCTAACATCTCTCTCACCCTTGGTTTGTGTTTTGTTTTGTTTGTTTTTGAGACAGGGTCTTGCTCTGTCACCCAGGCTGGAGTGCAGTGGCGTGATCACCGTTCACTGCAGCCTCGAGCTCCTGAGCTGAAGCAATTTTCCCACCTCAACCTCTGAGTAGCTGAGACTATAGGTGTGTGCCACCACGCCTGGCTAATATTTGTATTTTTTGTAGAGATGAGTTTTTGCCATGTTGCCCAGGCTGGTATTGAACTCCTGGCTTAAGTGATCCTCCTGCCTAGGCTTCCCAAAGTGCTGGAAGGAATTACAGGTATGAGCCACCGTGCCTGGCCTCACCATTGTTAAAATTATGGAAATCGTGTTTGCAAAGCAGCTTGGCCTGTTTGGAAAAGGGTGTCATAATTTCTCAGGTAACTCCAAAAAGAGAAAGCTACGAAAATTACTTTAATACATTCATTACAGTCTCAGTATAAGATTATAGCTTCCTCTCCCAAAGCGTAACCACAACCTGACGCAGGATGAGTTGGTTTGAAAATACCGCATACAATATCCTCTTGAGTAGAATCATAATTTAGAACTCTAAAACTGACCAGAAACAAAACTGTCCAAGTTTGTTTAACGTAATGTGTTTCAACTTATTTGACTAGAAAACCCTTCATTCGTGCAACACTTATAAACATCCCATGGCAAATCTAGTTTTCTATGAATAATGAACAAAACATTTATAATTTAAAACTAAAATTGTCTTCTAAGCAGAGATCTACGTATCAATAAAATGAAGAAATAAAATTTCCATACTGTTTTCTTCCCAATACAAGGATTAGAAGGAAAGGGAAAAGAGTAACAGCGAGAATCAATAGCCCATGTCTGGCCAGGCTCCATGGCTCAATCACACCTGTAATCCCAGCAATTTCAGAAGCTGAGGCGGGAGGATCACTGGCCTTTAGTGATCCTTGAATGAAACTCCATCTCTAAAAAATTAAAAATATTAGCTTAGAGAATCATTTGGGCCCAGGAGTTTGAGGCTGTATTGAACTATGACTATGCTACTGCATTCCAGCCTGGGCAACAGGCTGCTTAAACCTGGAGGGGCGGAGCTTGCAGTGAGCCGAGATCGTGCCACTGCACTCCAGCCTGGGCAAAGGAGCCAGACTCCGTGGCAAAAAAAAAAAAAAAAAAAAAGAGATTCTATTCACAATAGCAACAAAACCCTGAGAATATATCTAGCAAAGTATACACAAGGCCTTTCATGAAGAGTATTGCCATAGCCTGAATGTGTCTCCCAAAATTCATGTATTAAAACTTAATTCCCAAGATGATAGTACTAAGAAGTGGGGCCTTTAAGAAGTGATTAAGACATAAGGGTGAGCCCTCATGCATGAGATTAGTGCCTTCCTTATAAAAGGGCTTGTGGGTGGTGGTAAATCTGTCCCTTCTGCCTCATGAGAACATAGCATTTGCCTGCTCCAGAGGAAGCAGCATTCAACGTACCATCTTGGAAGCAGAGACCAGGCCCTCACTAGACACTGTGTCTGCTGGAGTCTTGATCTTGTTCTTCCCAACCTCCAGAACTGAGAAAATAAACTTCTGCTCTGTGTAAATTACCCAGTCTCAGGTGTTTTGTTATAGCACTATGAAGGGACTAAGACAAATATAAAAATTACCCAGGGACTTAAAGGAAGAACTGACTAAACTGAAATACATGCCATATATATTATGAATCGTAGGACTCAATGCTATAAACATACTACTTCTCAACAAATTAATCTATAAATTCAAGAAATTCCTACACAAATCCCAATAGAATTTTTTTGTGGAACTCGAGAGGCTCATCCTAAAATTCATACAGTCACTTGAGGGGCCAAGAATAGTGTAACAGGGCTGGCGGGGCTGGTGGCTCACACCTGTAGTCCCAGTACTTTGGGAAGTCAAGACTGGAGGATGGTTTGAACCCAGGAGTTCAAGACCAGCCTAGGCAACATAGCAAGATGTTGTCTCAAAATATTAAAAATAAATAAATAAATAAATAAATAAATAAATAAAAAGAAGGTTAAGTATGCACATTTTGTTGTGAATTTCAATTTTATAGTGTTTTTTTTTTTTTTTTGAGACAGGGTCTTGCTCTGTCACCCAGGCTGGAGTGCAGTGGTGCCATCTTGATTCACTGCAACCTCTGCGTGGGCTCAAGCAATCCTCCCGCCTCACTCTCTGGAGTAGCTGGGACCACAGTTATGTGCCACCACACCTGACTAATTTTTATATTTTTTTTTTGTAGAGATGGGGTTTTTCCATGTTGCCCAGGTTGTTCTCAAACTCATCCACCTGCCTTGGCCTCCGTAAGTGAGATCACAGACATGGGCCACTGTGCCCGGTCTAGTGCGCTTTTTTTTTTTTTTTTTTTTTTTAACCAAACAAACGATGAAGTCTCAGGAGTAAAAGTTGATACACAAGTAAATTTTATTGGTAATGTTTTTGTGTGGTCTTTAAGCAGAGGGAAAATTAGTCTGCATTATGGTGTATCCAGACTAAATAACTGATATTAAAATGAAATTATCCTTAGGATTTGCAATCTTAGAGAAAACTTTTTCATTTTTTTTGAGTTACAAATTATCTTCACTTACATTTGAGAACAGTGAGTCACAGAGGGATTAAGTATCTTACTCAAGATCTTGCAAGTGTTTGGTTTGAACCCAATCTTTTCACTCTGCAGAACTCAGAGTCACTCTTATTTGGAAACTTTTTAACTGATGTGGATCCTCTAATATGGGCTTCCTATTATTCATTCCGTATTAGTCAGAAGTTTTGCAAGCAGGCAGAATTCATTTTGCCAATTACGGGATTTTCCCTCAGTTGCAGTCAAGGTTCATAAAACTATAACTATTTATCTTTAATTATAAATTTTGTTTTTGAGACAAAGTCTTGCTCTGTTGCTCAGACTGGGATCCAGTGGCACAGTAACAGCCCATTGCAGCTTTGAACTCCTGGGCTCAAGGGATCCTCCGCCTCAGCCTCCCAAGTATCTGGGACTACAAGTGCATGCCATCATCCCTGGCTAATTTTGTTAAAAAAAAAATTGTAGAGATAGGGTCTTGCTTCGTTGCCCAGGCTGGTCTCAAACTCCTGGCCTCAAGCAAGTCTTCAGCCTTGGTCTCCCAAAGGGCTGAGATTACAGGTGTCAGCCATTGCACCTGGCCAAAACTGTAACTATATATACACACACACATAACTACATATATATGTGTGTGTGTATGTATGTGTGTGTGTATATATATTTTTATATATAAATAGATATATCTGAAAGGCATCAAAAGAAAAAAGCTGTAACTTTTAGTCTTGATCTTGATAGTGACTTGATTAGGCTATCTGTTTAACATCAAAGATGCAAATTAATGCTTTCTTTGGGTGAGCATATTAAAAATGCAGAAAATATTGGAGTAGTTTTTTATGTTAAATAAATTGTATTCTGTGTATTTAAGGTATACAACATGATTTTATGGGATGCATATAGATGGTTAAAAAAAATTACTACAGTGAAGCAAATTAACGTATCCTTCAACTCAGATAGTTACCCGTTTTCTTTTTGTTTGGTGGCAAGAGGAGCTTAAAATCTCATTTAGCGTGAATCCCAAATACAGCACAATTTTATTACCTATATTTCTCGCGTTGTACATTATATTTCTAGGCTTGTTCATCCTACATATCTGCTACTGTGTAACCTCTGAGCTATGTCCACCCATTTTCTCTCTTGCCCCCCAAGTAATTTCCTAAAGTGTCTCATATAAAAAGGCAGTAGCTTTCAGCTTAAACTTTTTCTCTGTATATATTTAAGTCAATTTCTTTGAGGTATGTTTTTCTCTCCAGAATAGTTAGATGTAGGCATACCACTTTAATGTTGACACTAGTTCACCTAGAACTTATCTTCTGCAAATCTGTCTCTATGTCCATCTCTGTCTCCATCTTTGTCTCTATCTTTATCTCTGTCTATCTATCTATCCATCCATCCATCCATCCATCTATCTATCTATCCATCTGTCTATCTAACTAAAGCAAATTCATGCCCTTCTCCTATTTATGGAATCGAGACCATAAACAGAGGTGAGGGAAAGAATTTGGCAGGAATTGCGATGTGTATTACCTGTGGCATAAGGAAACTTTACAGAACTAGGGTCAAAAGTATACTTTCTAGTTCTTTCCCATGGCTTTTCACTTTGATGTAGTCCTTATCAGGCAACTGAGGTTTTATATAAGTCCCCTGATTCTTAGAACATGAAGGTGTAGTATTCAAGTTTGGTCCCTTGAAACCACAATTTTTGTTAAAAAAAATTAAGAAAATTGTATAATTTCCTCAGCAAATACATATTGATCATCTGTTATACAGCCATGAGAAGTGGTTCTGTTGAACACGTTTATTTTATCAGATCCCAATTCTAAACCAGGCATAGAATGGAAACCATGAAGGTAGGATGAAATAACTTCTGAATGTTTGAAAATAGTGTACTTAAAAATAAATATCAGGTGTTTTTGTTTTGTTTTTTGTTTTTTGTTTTTGAGACAGGGTCTCACTCTGTCACCCAGGCTGGAGTGTGGTGGTGCCATCTCACCTCATTGCAGCCTTGACCTCCCAGGCTCGGGTGATCTCCCACCTCGGCCTCCCAAGTAGCTGGGACTACAGGCACATGCCACCATGCCCAGCTAATTTTTTGTATTTTTTGTAGAGACAGGGTTTCACCATGTTGCCCAAGCTGGTCTAGAACTCCTGGGCTTAAGCGATCTTCCCACCTCAGCCTCCCAAAGTGCCAGGATTACAGGCATGAGCCACCATGCCTGGCTGAAAATACCAGGTTTTTAAGTATCAGCACTGCCTCTTCAATCTTTTCTATTACTATGTTGTGCTCAGTGGTATTTTTTACTGAATTAGAGCAGTGCTGTTCAATGGAACCTTCTTTGAGGATGGAAATCTTTTATGTCTCTGCTGTGTGGGTATGGTATTAGCTGGGTATGGGGCACCTGCCTATAGTCCCAGCTACTCAAGAGGCTGAGGTGGGAGGATCACTTGAGCCCAGGAGGCCGAGTCTGCAGGTTCGTACCACTGCAATTCAGCCTGTGTGACAGAATGAGACTCAGTCTCAGAATAAAATGAAATAAGGAAATAAAAATGTAATTGTTGAAATAAGAAACTAGTGGATGGATTAGACACGAGAAGAAAGAATTAATTGTTTAGGCGATTCTCTCCAAAAAGTAAGTCAGCATGTCACACAGAGAGACATGAGGATGGATGATAGGGCAGAAGTTGGTGGGCTTGGAGGGGAGAGGAAGATCAGAATGAGGTCCAAAATGTGTCTTAGTGAAATCCCAGGAGGAGATATTAAAATTATATTAGAAAGTGAAAGAAATAGAAGTTTTATTTATTTATTTATTTATTTTGAGAAGGAGTCTCGCTCTGTAGCCCAGGCTCGAGTGCAGTGGCACGATCTGAGCTCACTGCAAGCTCCACCTCCTGGGTTCACGCCATTCTCCTGCCTCAGCTTCCCAAGTAGCTGGGACTACAGGCACCCACCACCACGCCTGGCTAATTTTTTGTATTTTTAGTAGAGATGTGGTTTCACCTTTTTAGTCAGGATGGTCTCAATCTCCTGACCTCATGATCCGCCAGCCTCAGGCTCCTAAAGTGCTGGAATTATACGCATAAGCCACTGCACCCGGCCCAAAAGCTTTGTGTTTTTACAAATATTACACATGTTTCTTGTTTAAGAAAAAAAGTCTTCACAATAACGTAGGAGAATAAGAGAAACATTTTTCCAAAAAAGAGAAGTCATTGTGATTATTTTATCTTATTGGAATGTTGGATAATATAGTCTGCTTCAGTAATCATCAAGCATGCTATGGATTTTCCATGTTCATAGGATCTGTATCTCGGTTAAGGTAATACTGGTAATTTTTGTACTCTATGAAAAATATAGGCCAAAATCATAGACCTTGCATAGAAGCTGGATCATGAAGACAGCTCTGGAGGAACACACAGGTACACACACACAGACACACATATATATAAAGTATACACATATATATATTTTTAAAAGCTTTTAAAGCAAAAGCCGGCCCTGCCCCTCTCCCAGAGTTGGCGGCCTCTCCCCTCTCTTAGGGTGGGTGGGGACAGTGGTTGCCTGGGCAGCTTTCCTTGTGAGCCAAAGGTCCCTCTGGACACATGATGCCTGGCCACGCCCCCTTTCCCTTTCATCTTTCTCATTAACCAATGGGCTTGGAGCATTAAGGCCACGCCCCTATTCTGCCTTCTACTGCATCCCTGGTTACGCCTCCTCTGGCTCAGTCGCACAGCTACCTGGTAGGTGACTGGAGGTGTTGATCAGTGCTTGGTGGGATTTTGCTGATGTGGCCCCAAGCCCGCCTCCCTCCCCACCCTGCGATGGCAGAAGAAACTCGACAAAGTAAATTGGCAGCAGCCAAGAGAAAGGTAAAAACACACCAGGTCACGGACCCCCAACCCAGCCATAGATCCTCTCCAACGACAAGACTGCTGCCAGAGTCCATACCACTCCCGAGGTTCACCGGACTGGGACCCCCACACCGGTGCCTCTGGGCTACCCCCACCAAAGTTTTGTCAGTCAGCCCCACCCCTTCAGCAAGCAGCCCAGTCTCTGCCCTCACCAATCACCCCAGGGTGACTTTGGGCAGGTGAATCCTGGGGCTCCCCGCTCCTTTACTGGGCCCTCATCTCCTGCCACCCCAAGCTTGACCTCCCAGGGCTTTTTGGGCTCACATCTCCAAGGACCTGGGTCCCACAGCCCCAGACCCCACCCTCACCAGTCATCCCTGGGTGACTTTAGGCTGGTGAATCCTGGGGCTCCCTGCTGCTGACTCTTCCCTTCCCTCCTGCTGCCTCAAGGTGGACCTCCCTAGGCTGTGTGCACTGGTGTCTCCAAGGACCTGGGTCCCAGCTCTGTTTTTCCCTCCCCTATCATGGAGCGGTGACTCGGACATCATGCTGATGTGGTCCCTCCCCCTCACCAGGAAGAGTGGAATGTAGTGATGTCACGGTCCATCCAGTAACTGTCATTACTGCAAGACTGGCCTTTGATCTTATGACCCAGTCCCCTAAGCATTGCCACCCCATTTCTGGTTCCTCTTGTCACAGCACAAATTTCCAGCTGGAAGGGGAATGGAGATTGGGACCTAGGAGCAAGAGGTTTCAGGCTGCCTCACTCCCTTAGCATAAACATTGACAGCGGGAAAAGCCTACACTTCCCCTGTGAGCTCAAAACATTGACAGTACCTCTGGATGGCAACTGGAGAATGGGTTTGACTTGGTTTGGTTTTCTCCCAGGCTTCTACTTTCCAGAGAGATTTTAACAAATTTTTTGTGAGTTCTCCACCTCACATTCTAATTCTCCATGGTTCTGGGACCAGACTGCCCTTCAGCCAGTGGTCTGTGAAGTGAGATTTGCTCATCTTCTGTGGAATAGATCTTGGGAAACTGAACTTGACAGCTTGAATCTTCCTCATATTATGTAAACCTGGGGTACTTTGAGTGCCACAGGATACATATGGGACATCTTTCTGAAGCATCAGTTTCCATTGATTCTCTTGAGATCAAGAGAAAAAACATTAATGTACTTAGGGATGACAGTCACATAGGTTTCTAACAGTATACCAGACTTCTCTCTGAAATGAGGCTTGGGTTGTCCTCTTTCTGATAAATTCCCAGATTTAACAGAAAGGCTGCCTTCTGCCATGAGGACACATTGATATAAGAGTTTGAGAGGTACTGGTGCACTTCTTCACACTAACAGACGTGTGAGGATGTATGACTAAACCACATGGCATACAGTTCCTGCCTACTTAATGTTTACTTTTCTACCTCTGCCTCTGGTTTTGGTCCCTGGCAGCTGATGATTCTTGGTAAAACCCCAGAGTTTGGAGTCAGAAGACTGAGTTTCAAAGTTCGTCTGTCGCCTTTTTCTTTTCTTCTTTTTTTTTCTAGCCATGATATCAATCTCTTTGAGTCACTAAATGATTGTGACAACACCTTGTACAGTTGTTGGTATCATTAAATCAGATGGTGTATAAGAGTATTTTATAAAAACTGTAAAGGAGGATGTGGCTGCAGGGGCTGATAGTTCTCATGAGTATTACTGCTCTTATTTCTGACAGTTAAAAGAATATTGGCAGAGAAACAGCCCTGGTGTTCCAGCAGGAGCCAAGAGGAACAGGAAAACAAATGGCAGCATCCATGAGACAGCCACTTCTGGTGGTTGCCACTCACCTGGAGATGTGAGTCTTGGCTGACTAGGTTCCTGGGGACAGGGGACCCAAGGGGCACTAGAGGGTAATTGTTAAGATTGTGGATGGACTGTTGGGTACCTGTGAAGAATTCTGGGTTTGAATCCTGCCTCTTTGTCTGCTAGGGATATGAATTAGGGCAAGTTGCTAGACCTCATCGGGCCTCTCTTTTCACATCTGTATAATAGAGGTGGTATTGTTTCACTTCCATTTGTGAAGTTTAAATGAGATTTGTTATTGTTGTTTTTATGTTAATCCCTAGTACATGGCCTGCTGTAAACACCCAGAACACCCAGGATATGGTCATTGCTGTTCGATTTTCCTCATCCCCAGTCTCAAGGGGAAGCCAGGACAATGAGAACAGTCACTTGGCACAGGAGTCACTGAAAGGGCCACAGGGTGCTGTGGTGGGGAGATAAGAACCATGAGAGAAGTTGGCACAAAGGAGTTATGGGACAAAGGGTCCAAGATAGGCAGAAAAGAAAATTGTGCCAGTTGATGGGGAAGAAAAGAAGTCAGAGGGCTTAGATACTGAGTGGGACAGAACATCTTCATGTGCACTCTCATCTCTTGTAGTCAGCAACAGGTATCCACGGGGAGAGCCCTACATCATCTGCTACCCTGAAGGATCTGGAGGTAAGAGGCTCTGGGCAGAGGTGCAGTGACCCTGCAGGCCAGCCCTCCAACCTCCTCCTCCAGGTGGGACGGGGTGCCCCTCTGCCAGCTGAGACAGTCCACACACACCCCAGCCCTAATGATTGCTCTCTCTACCTCTCCCCCCACTCCTCCTCCACCTCCTCCTCTCTGCATGCGCCTCAGAGCCCGTGCCAAGAACTAGCAGTAGTCCCAGACTCGAGGTCCGTAAAAGTCAGTCAACTGAAGAACACCATCAAATCTTTGGTAAGAGTCCACTGGGGTCCCCTGATTCCACGCTGCCAATCCTGGGCTCTAGTTTCCCCTTGGGGCCCTGAAGAAAGGGGACGGCGGCCCCTGGTGCCAAGGGCGAATAGGGAGCTGGGGCGCCCAGGCCTCACCTGGAGGGACCCCGGAGCATGCAGCATGGCTCTTTTTTTGCTGCCCTGTTTGCTGACTCTCCCCTCTCCAGACGCCCCTGCTCGAGTCCTTGCTACACACGCCCTGGGATTGTTGCCTCTTGGGGAAGTGCTAGCCTGACTGGTTGTCAGGGGCCCCGTATTTCTGCCATGACTCAGTCCCTAATTTGCTCTTTGATTCTGGACAAGCCACCTCTCCTTTTTGGGCTCATGTTTCCAGAGGAAGTAGTGAGTATCAAAGGTCTCTGTTAGCTCTCGAGTCTGAGATTTAAAGGCCTCCTAGAATGGAAACCTCAGGGCCAAAGGCTCCTGTCTGTCCTTTTCCGCCCTAAATCTTCTGTGAAGAACCGTACTTGGCCCGTACGTGCTCAGTAAATGTTTATTGAATGAATGCACTTTTCTAAATCACAAGCTGGCAGAAGGGGGGGCCTTTCTCAAACTCCATCTCTAGAGGTTTATGTTACTGTCCTGTCAAGAGATTCCAGATTCAGACCTTGAGTTCTGTGGCTGTGGACAAAAGCCAACAAAGACCCAAATCCTCTGTCCTTGGGAGCTTGAGGAGAGTTTACCAGTTCGAGTTCCCACTGGGTCTGAGAACTTTGCCTTTAAAATCCATTCCTGGCCCCTGCCTACCACTTCCTGCTCTGGGGAATAGAGTTGAGGGGGCCACCCTCCATCACCTTAATGTGACTCTCCCCACAGAAACAACAGAATAAACAAGTGGAACATCAGCTGGAAGAAGTAACATGATTTCTTTGTTTGCTCGCGACATGACTGCTCGGTTTGGGGGACACTCAGATGTAGAGGCCCCGAGTCTCGTCTCACCCACTCCCAGCCTGGGGAAGAAGGCTCACCCCCCAGAGTCCACCCCATCCCCCACAGGGTCCCTGATAACCCGGTCCCATGGGTGGGCCTGTCCCGGGGCAGGGGCAGTGGTGGCATTCTGGGGACATGTCTCTTGCAGTACCATCTCTGCCTCTGCCTGGTTAGATCTCTGTCTTCCTCTTCCTACAGGAAAAGAAAGCAAACAACGAGAAACAGAAAGCCGAAAGGGAGCTAGAGGTGAGTGGACGGTGTGCAGTTTTCTCCTGTCCTCCGGAGAATGTTTCTTTCCTTCTCTTTCAGCACTTGCTTGGCTTTTCTCCCAAAGGTTCAAATCCAGAGATTGAACATACAGAAAGGGAAACTAAATACGGACCTGTACCACACGAAACGTTCTCTCAGATACTTTGAAGGTGGGAATCTGGGTACCCTGTCATCCTTCAACCTGGCACTTTGACAGGTCTTCAGGGGGAGTCCTTTGGGCCCCATCTCAACTCTCTCATTACAGAAGAGTCCAAGGATCTGGCCGTCCGTCTGCAACATTCATTGCAGCGTAAAGGAGAGTTAGAGCGGGCTCTCTCTGCTGTCACCGCCACACAGAAGAAGAAGGCGGAGAGGGTGAGTCCAACCACCTGCCCCGTCCCCTGGGAGCCTGGCTTCGCAGACAGAGGAGTGAGCCTAAAGGTCCCTTCTGCAGGATGGAGTGTCCTGCCCAGAAGGCAGCATGGCCATTTCTCACTGCTTTTTTGTATGGTTGTTAGCGGCAGCTTGGGACTGAGTCAGCTGCTGTGGGTGAGTTGGGGGGCACTCTGGGGAGAGAGCACAGGACGTAGAGCTTGGAGGCCAAGTGCCTGCCATGCCTTTACCTGGCTGTGGTCTTGGCCAAGTCCTCAGTGGGTATTGGGTACTTGTACTGTGAAGGTACAGAAGAGTACCTTTAGTATGTTACCATTTCTGTAGAGAGAGGAAACGTGTGTGTGTGTGTACATATTATGATAATATACATAAAATATGTTTGCAAGTGTTCATAAAAACTCAGGAGAGAGCAACAGGGTGGCTGGGAGATACTTCCCTTCTGTACCTTCTGAGTTTGGGACTATGTGAATGTATTATCCTTTCAAAAAGTGAACAAAAGATTAATTTTCCCCTTCCTAGCTGTGCCCCCACCCCCAGCAAGAAAAATGGGCTTAGAGAATTGGATAGATCTGGGTGTTTAAATCCCAGCTCTGCCTAAGTGATCTTAGGCAAGCACTTAACCTCAAATACTCCATGTTTTTTCATCTACACAATAGAGGTCATCATAGTAACTGTCTCCCATGGTAGTTGCGAGGATTAAATGGGATTGCTAGCATGGTATCTGGTGAAGCACTCCATAAAAGTTCAAACAGTGGTAATAATAACAGTAATAACAATAGCAATATTATCTGATCTCTCTGGGCCTCTGTTAGCCAGCTATAAATTCGATCTCTTTCCCTGTCCCTTCCAACTTTACTGAGTTCTTTAAAAACCAAACCACGGGCTTGGAAATGCCTTGATCTTTACTGACCGAGTTGTATATTGGGCCTAGCCCTGGCCCTTTTAAGGGGCACTGTGTGGAATGGCCCGGCCTCACCAGATTGAAACTTCTCACTCTTCAGCAGTTCTCCAGCCGCAGTAAAGCACGTATGGAGTGGAAGTTAGAGCAGTCCATGCGGGAGCAGGCACTGCTGAAAGCGCAGCTGACACAGGTGAGGTGTTCAGAGGGAGGGATGTGGAAGGAAGATGACCCCAGGTAACCAGGAGCAGGTGAGGACCAGTGACAGCCCTTCCTAATTTCTGTGCCCATTCTTGCAGTTGAAGGAGTCACTTAAAGAAGTCCAGCTAGAGAGGGATGAATATGCTGAACATCTAAAAGGAGAGAGGGCCCGGTGGCAGCAGAGGATGAGAAAAATGTCGCAGGAGGTGAGATCTGACCCTTCAGCCCCCCCACATTAGATAGGTCACTGGATCTTTCTGGGCACCTGTAAAATGGGAATAGTAGAGCCAGAGGTGGTCCTGGGACTGGGCTTTGTGGAGGTGGGGGCAGAGAGGGAGATGGTAGCATGTCCAGCCTCCAGCCCCTCTCTCCAGGGCCCTTTCCCCCTGTGCTTTGGGCAGGTTTGCTCGTTGAAGAAGGAGAAGAAGCATGATAAATATCGGGTAGAGAAGCTGGAGAGGAGCTTGTCCAAACTCAAACACCAGATGGGTAAGATGGGGCTGGCGTGACCTGGCAGCAGGACTGGCATCAGAGGGCTGTGAGGGTGGCTTGGAGTGCCCCAGCGAGGTGGGTGGATGGAAGGGCTTTGAGGCAGAGGGAAAGAGGTCTGTGCCAGGAGACGGCAAGTCTTGTCATCTCAATGAGCCTCAGTGTCCCCATCAGCAAAGAGGGCCCGTTGTCAGCCACCCGCAGTGCTCTTTCTCTGAAAGTGCTTTGGAAGACTGGCTACCATCTGGGTGCGAGGAATCATTAGCAGTGAGGCTAAGTTTGAGGAGCCGGAGAGGAGCTGTGCGCCAAGAGGAGGGTTTTTTCTTTTCTTTTCTTTTCTTTTTTTTTTTTTGGAATCCAGAGGCTCTTATTGTCTGCTTCCTTTCTCAGCTGAACCTCTGCCCCCGGAGCCCCCAGCAGTGCCCTCTGAGGTGGAGCTGCAGCACCTGAGGAAGGAACTAGAGAGAGTGGCAGGAGAGCTCCAGGCCCAGGTGGAGTACAATCAGCGCATAAGTCTCCTGAATGAGGGGCAAAAGGAGAGGCTTCGGGAGCAGGAGGAGAGGCTTCAGGAGCAGCAGGAGAGGCTTCCAGAGCAGGAGGAGAGGCTTCAGCAGCTGGCCGAGCCACAGAACAGCTTCAAGGAGCTGGTGCGTTGCCCCAGCTGGGGAGCTTGCCCTCCTCCCTAGCCCTCCAGGCCTTTGTTTCCCCACCTATAAAATGGGGCAGTGTAGCCCTCAAGTGAAATGTTACTCCTAAAGGCACCTGTGAGCCAGAGCCCTGCTCTGGTGGCTGTGGGAGACAGGGGATGATTTTTCTAACCTGCCTCCACCCTTCCCGGTGCCATGGGAGGCAGTCACCAAGTTCTGGGGTCTCCAGCTGCAGTGGGTGGCTGCTGATTGCTTCTCTCTGTCCAGAACAATGAGAACAAGAGCGTACTACAGTTGGAGCAGCAAGTAAAGGAGCTGCAGGAGAAGCTAGGCAAGGTGAAGGAGACGGTAACCTCCACCCCATCCAAGAAGGTCTGGGAGGTGGGTGGGCACCAGCCTCTGGGGAGGGGAGGTGCCAGGCCAGCGGTAGCTCCAGCCCGGGGGCAGGTGACCCCAGCACCCTCCAGGGCAGTCCTGTGGCTGTTTCTTGCTTCCTGCCCTCTGATTTTAGAGGTGGGTAGCCCTGGGCTCCTCCCAGGTCTGGACATCATCATTCCAGCTAGAGACATGGAGCCCCCCCAATCACAGGGGAAGAGACAGAGTGGTATAACAGTCTTCTTATGCCAGATGCGGTGGCTTACGCCTATAGTGCCAACACTTTGGGAGGCTGAGGCAGGAGAATCACTTGAGGTTTGGAGTTTGAGATCAGCCTGGCCAACATGGTAAAACCTCATCTCTACTAAAATTACAAAAACAAAAAACAAAAAAAGAAAGAAAAATTAGTGGGGCATGGTGGTGGCGCATGCCTGTAATCCCACCTACTCAGGAGGCTGAGGCACGAGAATTGCTTGAGCCCAGGAGGTGGAGGTTGCAGTGAGCTGAGATTGCACCACTGCACTCCTGCCTGGGCCACAGAGTGACACTCTGTCTCAAAACAAAACAAAAAGACTCCTTAGATTAAAACTGGATTCCAGCCTCAGTTCCACTGGTCACCATTCAAGTACTTCGCATCTCTAAGTCTCTGTTTCTTTAACTTCAAAAGGAAGTTAGCATTTTCCTTACAGAGGTGCTGAGGATTAAATGAGATAATACATGGGAAGCATTAGGCCTGTAGCACATTTAGCAGATGGTGGTTGGCTCCCATACTTTTCTACCATTCTGTGGCCTACAGTTGAAATGGTGGGAAGAGGACATGAGATTTGAGGCTGGGGAAGGAGGCATGGGGTTCTAGGAAAGCAAGGCAGTCACTTAGGCCTGAAGTAAGGGGCCAGGGGCCTGGGCAGGCGACAGAGCCCCACAGTGCCCTCGCTACCCTATTAATGGGCCCAGAATCTGCAAACCAGCCACCACGTGCCCTCACACCCAGGGTCTTCCTGCAGGTGGAGCTGAAGAGCCAAGAGGCTCAGAGTCTGCAGCAGCAGCCAGACCATTACCTGGGTCACCTGCAGCAGTACGTGGCCACCTATCAGCAGCAGGTGGCCGCCTATCAGCAGCTGACCTGTGAGAAGGAGGCGCTGTACAGGCAGTGACTGCAGCAGACCCAGCTAATGAACCAGTTGCAGCAGCAGGAAGCTTGGGGCAAAGCGGTGGCCGAGATGGCCTGCCAAAAGTTGCAGGAGACCCAGGGGAGGGAGCTGCCGAGGATGGGGCTGTGAGGGGGACGACCTGGCAAACTCTGTGCCTTCTCACTCTTTCCTGGCCCCTTAGGAGCGTCTGGAAGCTGCGAGCCAGCAGAAACAGCAGCTAACGGCCCAGTTGAGCCTCATGGCTCTCCCTGGGGAAGGTACGGGAGACCGCTCAGAGGAAGAGGAGAGAGCCCCAGGAGGAAGGGGGGACTGCTAGCAGCATAGGATTGAGGAGTTGGAAGAGACCTTTAGAACAGCTGGTCATTATACTAACCGGGTGCCTGCACTAAGTTCAGCATCAATATGGTGACCTCCTGTGAGCGGGGGGCCACCAAGTTGCCTAAGGATGGCTGAACTGGCCGAGGTCAGAAAGGGAGCAGGTCAGAACTCCCGCACCGACCAGTAGTGGGAATGTGCCTGGGCAGTATAGCAAGATCTTGGTTCTTCAAAGTAAAAATAAATAACAGCAGCTCATTCCTCTCTGGGGAGGGCCTGGCTCAGGGTTACACAATGAGGGTGGAGGCAGAGGTGGGCCCACAATACTTCCCTTGTTGAGTTGTCTGAGGACCCCTCTGGCCACCACCCCCACCCCCAGGAGATGGAGGAGGACATCTGGACAGTGAGGGGGAGGAGGCACCTCGGCCCATTCCTAGCATCCCACAGGACCTGGAGAGCAGGGAGGCCATGGTAAGCCTGACTCCACCTGAACCCATTTTGCCTCCTTCCTCTGTGGTCCCTCCAAGACCCCTTTATGCTCTTCGTTTCCCTGCCTTCTGATTTCTCTGGACCCTCACCCCTTCTGGGAGCCAGTGGTCAGACACCATTTCACCTGTGACCAACATGTGCAGTCTCTGGGGCCCCAAGGGAAGGGGCTGCGCTCCACCTCTCTGCCCCATTTGTTCTGTGTATGCCCCTGCAAGAATGCTCACATCTTGCCCTCAGGTGGCATTTTTCAAGTCCGCTGGAGCTAGTGCCCAGGAGAAGCAGGCACAGTTACAAGAGCAGGTGAAAGAGCAGAGGGTGTGCTGCCAGCGCCTGGCTCACCCGGTGGCCTCGGCCCAGAAGGAGCCAGAGGCAGCCAGAGGCCCTGGAGCCCCAGGGCCTGGGGGCGAGTCTGTGAGTGGGGAGACCCACCGGGCCCTGCAGGAAGTCACGGAGAAGCTGGCCCATGCCGGAACTCACCTCCGCCTTCTCCATGACTTGAAAATGCCACCTGAGGGCAGGTCGCTGGCGAGATGTGACCCCATTATTTTGGCTCCAGAGCGGCTTTATGGACCACCTGGAGGAGAAGGCAGACCTGAGTGAGCTGGTGGAGAAAGAAGAACTTGGATTCTTCCAGTACTACAGAGAGAGATGCCATCAGTGAGTGGGAGGCCAGGGCATGGCAGGGGGAGCTGCAGGGCTGTTGGAGGGGCCCCAGCGTCTGAGCCCTGTCCTCCCGCAGGAAAGTTTATCACCCTATAACAAAGCCAGGGGGCAGTGCCAAAGATGCAGCACCGGGAGGAGGACACCATCAGGCTGGCCCTGGACAGGGAGGAGATGAAGGTAGAGTGTGCAACATCTCTGCGGGGGTGGGGGTGGCTGTGACGGTGAGCGCTGGCAGCAGCGTGACAGCTGAGCACCCCTCCCTCCAGGTGAAGCTGCTGGAGCTGCAGGAGATGGTGTTGCAGCTGGTGGCGACTACAAGGGACACAGCAAATTCTTGGTGACTGCCCAGAACCCTGCTCATGAGCCCAGTCCAGGAGCCCCAGCCCCCCAGGAGCTTGGGGCTGCCCACAAGCATGGTGGTGAGTAGAGCCCTCAGGCGGGGTGGGCAGGCAGGAGCAGGGGGGCTCTCACTGAGCTCAGATCCCCGCCTCCCTCTCTCCAAAGATCTTTGTGAGGTGAGCCTCACTGACAGCGTGGAGCCTGTGCAAGGAGAGGCCAGGGAGGGTTCTCCCCACGACAACCCTACTGCACAGCCGATCGTGCAGGACCACCAGGAGCACCCAGGCTTGGGCAGCAACTGCTGTGTGCCATTCTTTTGCTGGGCTTGGCTGCCAAGAAGAAGGAGATAAACATCACCATCGTCAAAGAGCTGCTGAAGAAATTTTTAAAAAAGAAACAAAGTTATGGGGTTAATCTCCTACACAATTCATTTACTTCATTTGAATGTTATAGCCACTTATGATTATTTGTGTTTCTAATTTATAGTTTAAGTTCATTTGTAAATAGTTAAAAGAGAGTGGGTCTCTGTGGCTTTCACTGATGTTCACTCTGGCATACTTTCGCAATTTTCTTTTTCAATTTCATAATTGTAGGTCATTAGCATGCATATTGAGTTTGCCCTTACGTGGTGGGAGTTCAAACACACAAAGACCCACTATTTGCACAAAACTATTCTTGCTGGTTTGGAATAGGCTGCCATGTGTTTTTAATGTTATTGCAGCATGTATATTCATTACAGAATTCAGATAAAATGTGCCTATGTTCTGCTGTTGTTTGATCTAATCTTAATCACAGTGAGCTCTTCATTAGCACAATATGTGGTTTGCCCCAAGTGTGCACTATTTAATACTTTGTAATATGCCACCAAGAGTACTGACATTTAGAGTTGTTTAAAGGCCGAGAACTGGAAACAGCCTTTTCCTCATTTTCTGTGTATTGGTGATGGGAGTAATAACATTTTGGGGGAGCTTTTTAAATTTCACAGAAGAGGAAAGTTGCCTGCTCTGGCAGGTATGTGCAAGATAGAGTGTGTTTCATTTGTTCTGTTGCCAAGAATTAGTGCTGTACTATTGTAGTTCCTTTAGGATTTGTATGTGCTCTGGGCTCATGAAGATATTGCATCATGAGCTTCAGCAGTTGTACTCTTTTTTGATGACCTAAAAAGGGCTTATTTCTGAGGAATGAAAGGTTCCCATCATTGACTACGGTTGTGGAAAACCTTTCCTAGCTTAGAGCATTTGTATCTATATTTTAAAGTCAGAGTTCATGTTACCTGTTTTAATCACATGACTGCATGTCCCAGTACACAAAAGGGCACTGGTTGGCATTCTTCTTAATGTATTTAGTAAAGATCATAAGAAATCCTTTAAGAGTTCAAATGTCCCTGGAACAGGCATACAGGCTCTAGTCAAGAATGAATTAGAGTGAAGGAAAGCTGTGTGACACCTGGCATTCCTCTGTTCATGGAGCTTCTTTGAGGCTTGAAGATTGATTTTACCATCTAGACCACTCTGCCTATTCTTCAACCACCTTGGTTACTTTGACATAGGAATTGACTTCTTTTCCTTGAATGGAAAACACTTTGAAATAATAATAAACATTGTTATAAACTAATATATGTGAGAGTGCTTAGTTGAAACAAAAAGGAGTTTTAGTAGACAGTATTATACTATCTTTGAAAATCAAGGAGAAGTTTATGCAACTTAAAATGTGTACAAACTGCAGTGCAATCTACTGTTGGTGAATGTCAGTGTATTATCAGGAAACATGTCTATACAATCACAGAGTTATATTTCCTCACAAACTTCTTTGTGAAGAGTGAAATGTGTTTCTGTACCTCTGGGTTTCACTTACGGGCATATTTTGTGCAGTATTTATGTGATTGTGCCTATGCATGATGAATGAATGAATTTCAGTTGTACATTGCCTAAATCATAACTTGATGATGCTTGGGAAAGACTCAACAGTTAAAACTTCATGAAGTTCTAATGTCTGTGTTCCAAAACACATCACATTATTAGGATGTAGGGAGATATGTATGTGTGCTCCCTGGGGTGGGGATTTCTAGTTACTAGACCATCTCCATTTTTAGCATTTGGCATCCTCATGATACTTTTATAAATACGACATTAACAGGAGAGCAGCAGTACGATTTTGCCGATGGAATAACAGATTTGCCGGCAATCACTGAAAGAGTGCAAACATCGGGTCCTTGTGACTTCAACGGACTCTTCCAAATTGTATGAATGTATCAATGTATTAGATAAACCCAGTTTCAGAATGATAAAGAAAAAATGTTAGACCAAATAATGCGGCTAGTTAACAGTGGTACGATTTCTCGCCCGTGGCTTTAAAATGCACTTAAAGTCCTGTCCTTGCCTTTTATTTTCTGAACTTGATGTTTTTGCATTCTTTGAGTTCAGTTTAAAGACAACTACGAGCATCTGTAACCAATCTGACAATAATGTGTTCATCAGGTGCCTGTGGATTAAATCACATACTGGCATATTTAAGCTGAATGTCAATCTGGAAAATAAATTGACTGTATTAACGGAAATACCACTCTTTGTGTAGATATTTGTCGTATATTGAAGAAAAAGCTAAAAAGAATGGAAATCGCATGACTATAACTTAAGTCTTTCTTCAAAGTGCATGCAGTCTTTTGCGATACCTCATTCAGCCAAGTATTGGTATTCTTCCTCATTCGGTATAAGGCAGCTTTCAATTTGCTTAGAGGGCAACATTGGAAGGTTAGAGTTCATCAGAAACAGAATTCTAAAATGTGAGTTCAATTCAATAAATTTGAATTTCTGTAGGAAGAATCAAATCACCGATTTAAAGATTGCAATATATAATAATCATTTTTAAAGTATTGGATTAAATCTGATAGGTTTTCCAGAAATGAACAAAAATCAGCTCTAAAACCAAAGCTGATTTTTAGAAAATTTGAAAATGTAAATCAGCCCTATCCATACTATAGTTTCTCTAAAACTTTATCTGAAAGAGTCATTTTAAAATAACTATTAAACAATGTAACTGCTATCTTAATGTTCTGAAATAAGTTAAAACATTTTAAAATATGAATACTGTAAAGGAAATAAACGGTGGGAAGGAAAAGTAGAGAAAGAAATGCCAATTCCAGTCCAAAGCTTTATTTGCCAAGTTTTCTTAGAATGAATTTTACCAATTTATGAATTCTTGTAAGCGGAATGTAAAACGGAAATACTGAAAGACTTTTGCCTAAAGTGGCATTATTGACTGCTGGTGTGATGCTACTGTAATGTAATAAATTATTAAGTTGTTGCAAAGTGCTGTTTTTGCCTTAAAATTTTATTCTGTGTGTCTTCAAAAATATAGTATTAAAGGTATTGATACTGTGCAAATGCTGAGCATGCTTGGCATGAGATAATGTTTCATTTTTACAAAATTGTAATATAACTATGCAAGGGTTTATTAAAAGAACACAAAATAAAAAAGTTATGGGATTAACAAAAGTTATGGGGTGAAAAAGTTATGGGATAAAAAATGTAAAAAAGTTGTGGCAAAAAAATCTTGTGACCAAAAAGTAGAAGAAAGTTTTATGAAAAGTTACCAAAAAAAGTTATGAAAAAGAAGTTATGGGATTTAAAAAAAAAGGCATGGGATAAAAATAAAAATTAAAATTAAAAGCAGGCCCCTGTCAGCAAAGCCTGGAGAAGTGGGGCTGGGGTCTCCACCACCACACTGTCCCTATCTCCCCTTCCCAGTCACCCCTTTACAATTAGGGTAGCAGGACAAGACCTCTGTCTAACGAGGAAAGACAAACAGACCCTTTGCCACCTTGACCAGAGCTGAGTCCTTAAATTTCTGGATGATATTGTTATTTAAGAGCCAGAGGCTGGTGGAGTTGGTTTGTTTGGAGGAGGCCTCATGGCCTCCTTACTCTCACCATAGCAACTTTTCCCTCAGTGGGGGCTCCAATCTTCTTATTCAGAGAGGTAGCTGAGGCAGGACAGTGGGGCTAACTGTGGACCAGGCGAAGGCATGGGCTGCTGGGGTGGCCCCCCTTCCCCGGTGTATATATTGTGTCTGTGTAAGGTTTTGTATATTCCAGAGGGTAGGGCCACCCCTGTATCATACCTAGCGGTGGTTGGAGGTGGCACATGGGGAGGAGGTTCTAATAATTATTTGTGGCTGGGAAACTTACTTATTGCTAGCATAGGACAGAGGAAGAAGGCAGGGATGGGGTCATGGCTTCCCAGTGGTGTGATCACAGTTCACTGCAACCTCCAACTCTCATGCTCAAGTGATCCTCCCACCTCAGCCTCCCAGGTAGCTGGGAGTATAAGCATGCACTACTATGCCTGGCTAATTTTTAAATTTTTTGTAGAGAAAAGGTCTTGCTATGTTGCCCATGCTGGTCTTGAACTCCTGGGCTCAAGCGATTCTCCCATCTTGGCCTCCCAAAGCACTGGGGTTACAGGCATGAGACATTGCTCCTGTCCATAAGATTTTCTCTTTATTACTGTTTTGTTGTTGGTGGTGGTGTTTTGTTTTGTTTTTATTTTTTGACAGAGTCTCGGTCTGTTGCCTAAGCTGGAGTGCAGTGGTGCAATCTCTGCTCACTGCAACCTCCGCCTCCTGGTTCAAGCAATTCTTATGCCTCAGCCTCCCGAGTACCTGGGGTTATAGGCATAAGCCACTGCGCCTGGCTAATTTTTGGATTTTTAGTAGAGACAGAGTTTTGCCATGTTGGCCAGATTGGTCTTCAACTCCTGGCCTTAAGCAATCCGCCCTCCTCAGCCTCCCAAAGTGCTGGGATTACAGGTGTGAGCCACTGCTCCTGGCTAAGATCCCATCTCTATTTAAATAAAAAAAGAAAATTCAGAATCTATGGAACACAGAACACCAAAGGCCAGTTATTTACCTCTCTGAGGTAATCTGTGTAAACAATTTGATATATATCCTTTCAAGTTCATACTTGCTATGCATACATATATATACACACATACATTGACATATTCCCCCTTCCCTGCCGTCATGCTATTAGTCTTCTTTTTTTTGTAGAAATTGGACCAACTCTATGTTCTTTGCTGGCCCGTATTTCTCCTATTCAGTGATGTGTTATGAATATCTGTTTAAGTCAATGTATGCAACTCTTTAATATCATTTTAAAAGGTTACGACATACGATCATATGAAGGCATTAGAATTTATTCCAACAGTTCCCTTTTGCACATTTAATAATTTCCATTGATTTGCCAGGAAGAACATTCTCGTGTCATGGCTAAATCCTTTTGTATGGACATCCTTAATTATTCCCTTAAGATAAACTTTTAAATAAAGTTGCTAGATTAGTCTCGTTTCTTAAGTTCTTTTTTGGTAGTTTATATGTAACACTGTAGTTTTATATGTACTTACAAATACCTATAGTGCCAGTAGAAAATGGGATAAAATTAAACTCTTTCACATATGCCAAATATATTTTGATTTAGCGCTTTATTAAGTGCATGATTACAGTCTCTGTATCTTTTGATTTACCTTTCTATCTTTACAATTTTCAGCCGAGATACTTAGAGGTCACATGATAAATTAAGGTTTTCTTTTTTTAATAATCTCCATCTTTCTAAATATGGTGAGTCACAGTCAGCTATTTTTGGATTGTTGAAAGCTGTGACTGTTCTAAATCGGAGCCCAGAAATCACGCCACTTACCAAATATGCTTTGTCTTCCAACATCAGAGTGTCTGGTAGAAGGTGACTGTTCTTGGAATTTAAAAAATCTGAACAGGACAAGACAAGAATCTGGACACTTTTTCTGTTTCTGATAATATGATTGAGTAGGTAGACACGCTGGATAATCCTTGCAAAGACATACTTGAACTTCCCAAAAAAAAAAAAAATAAAATCCAGAATCTCTAAGAATGAAGATGGAGTGAAAATCAGAAGGGCTGCTGAGAGAATAATGGGGAAGCAGCCCCAGTTATCAAGGGACATGTCCATGTGTTCAATAGAAAGTTTCAGATGTAAAAAAAAGTTGAGAAAAATAATATATATATTATATATAATAAATGATATAATTGCCCTACATATACACATCATCAACAATTTTTCATTCATGGTATGGACAGTTTTTTTTTTTGGTTGTTTTTTGTTTGTTTGTTTGTTTTTAAAGGTGGGATTTTGCTGTGGTTGCCCAGGCTGGAGTGCAGTGGCATGATCTTGGCTCACTGCAACTTCCACCTCCCAGGTTCAAGCGATTCTCCTGCCTCAGCTTCCCGAGTAGCTGGGATTACAGGCACCCGGCACCACATCCGGCTAATTGTTGTATTTTTAGTAGAGATGGTGTTTCACCACGTTGGCCAGGCTGGTCTTGAACTCCTGACCTCAGGTGATCCACCTGCCTCGGTCTCCCAAAGTGCTGAGACTACAGGCGTGAGCCACCACACCTGGCCACAGCCAGTTTTGTTTCATTTATATTCCCACTTCATTTATATACATTCCTTCTTCCTCTGAATTATTTTGAAGTAAAACCTATACATCCTATCATTTTTAATTACCTTATATGTATCTGTAGAAGACAAGGAATTCTTAAAAATAAATATATTCACAATGCCATTAAATATCAAAAAATTAATATTCTGAAAATAGCCACAAATCCAGAGTTGACATTTTGTTGACTTTCTCATAGGTGATTTTTTTTCTAGTTTATCTATTTCAATCAGATAACTGTTTGCTCATATTTACATTCCTTACTGAACAATGTCTAAACTTAAACTGACATAAAATGGAGATGATCTTCTAACCAGATGCTTAGTGTAAGAAAAAACTTCAAACTGCAAGAGGAGTCCCTCCAAATACAGAAAGGACCAGTATTTTAAGAGGTATGTTAACTAAAATGTGGCAATGTAAGGAGCAAAGCAGGAAGAACCTTTAAGTCCTAAACTTACAAGTCAATTTCATAGTCAGTTTCCCTGGTCCTTCCACAACAACCTCCCCCATCTGTTTTCTCTACAATGGAGGTAACAATAGTAGCTATTCCAGAGCAGGAAAAGGCTTAGAGCAGTGCTAGAAGAGGGTCGTGGCTATATAAAGTTTAGCTATTTGTATATTGTAACAAACTAACTTTTTTTGGTCAATAATAGATTTCTGTTGGAAAAGTAGCAGCCTCCTGTCTGGGGACACCTGCAGTTCCACTAAGTGAACATTGGTGTCTGCTAACCTTTGCCTCTATTTCTCTCAATATACTGTGAAGCTGTTCCTGGATTTAGCAATTTTATATACTTCTTTTTATTATTCTTTTTTTCCTTTCCCTTTTCCTGAGACACAGTCCTGCTCTGTCACCCAGTCTGGACTGCAGCAGCGCCATCATGGCTCACTGCCACCTCCACCCCGGGCTCAAGCAATCCTCCTGCATCAGCCTTCAGAGTAGCTGGGACTACCCAGGGGGGCCCACCAGGTCTGGCTAATCTTTGTGGTTTTTGTTTTGTTTTTCCGTTAAGGGACTGGGTTTCCGGCCAGGCACAGTGACTCACGCCTGCAATCGCACCACCCCTGGAGGCCGAGGCCGGCGGATCTCCCCAGGTGAGGAGCAGGAGACCAGCCCGACCAACATGGAGAAACCCCATCTCAACCTAAATAAATAAATAAATAAATAAATAAATAAAAGTAGCCAGGCTTGGTGGCTCACGCCCTTGATCCCAGCCACTCAGGAGGCTGAAGCAGGAGAATCACCCAAACCCGGGAGGCGGAGGCCCGGCGAGCCGAGACCGCGCCACTGCACTCTAGCCTGGGCAACAAGAGGGAAACTCCGTCTCAAAAAAAAAAAAACAGGTTTCACCATGTTGCCCAAGCGGGTCTGGATCTCCTAGGCTCAAGCGATTTGCCACACTCAGCCGTCCAAAATCCTAGGATCACAAGCGTGAGCCATGACGCCAGGCCGATCTATTCCTGTCTGATTAAAAATTGGGCCGGTTGCGGTGGTTCACGCCTGCGATCCCAGCACCCCGGGAGGCTGAGGCGGGCGGATAACCTGAGGTCAGATTGAGGCCAGCCTGAGTAACATGGAGAAACCCCATCTCTACCAAAAAAAAAAAAAAAATTAGCAGGGCATGGTGGCTCACGCTTGCAATCCCAGCCACTCGGGAGGCTGAGCCAGGAGAACCACCCAAACCCGGGAGGCTGAGGCTGCGGGGAGCTGAGACCCTGCCACTGCACTCCAGCCTGGGCAACAAGAGTGAAACTCCCTCTCAAAAAAAAAAAAAGAGAGAGAGAGAGAGACTGAGTTTCACCATGTTGCCCAGGCCGGCGTGTAACTCCTAGGCTCAAGGGATCCGCCGCGCTCGGCCATCGGAAGTCCTGGGATCACAAGCATGAGCCGCCACGCCAGGCCCATCTGTTCCTTTCTGATTAATAAATTGCGCCCGGCGCGGTGGCTCCCTCCTGCAACCCCACCACCCTGGGAGGCCGAGGCGGGCGGATCACCTGAGGTCGGGAGTTTGAGACCAGCCTGACCAACATGGAGAAACCCGTCTCTACCAAAAAAGAAAAAAAAATAAGCTGGGCATGGTGGCTCACGCCTGCAATCCCACCACCCCGGGAGGCCGAAGCAGACGGGTAATCTGAGGTCAGGAGTTTGAGACTACCCTGACGAAGGGAGAAACCCCGTCTATACCAAAAAAAAAAAAAAAAATACAAAAAGAGCCGGGCATGTTGGCTCATGCCTGCAATCTCAGCCACTTGGTAAGCTGAGGCAGGAGAACCACCCAAATCCCGGAAGCGGAGGCCGCGGGGAGCTGAGACCGCGCCACTGCACTCCAACCGGGCAACAAGAGTGAAACTGCCGCAAAAAAAAAAAAAGAAAAAAAAAAAAAAGAGAGCGGGTTTCACCGTGTTGCCCCGGCCTGTCTGGAATTCCTAGGCTCAAGGGATCCCCGGCCCTATTCCTTTCTGATTTATAGATTAGGCCTTGCGCGCTGGCTCACGCTTGCAATCCCAGCACCTCCGGACGCCGAGGCGGGCGGATAACCTGAGGTGGGAAGTTTGAGACCAGCCTTATGAACATGGAGAAACCCCATCTCCAACAATAAAAACAAAAACAAACAAAAAACAAAATGAGCTGGGCATGGTGGCTCACGCGTGCAATCCCAGCCACTCGGGAGGCTGTGGCAGGAGAACCACCCAAACCCTGGAGGCGGAGGCCCGTTGAGCCAAGACCTCACCACTGCACTCCAGCCTGGGCAACAAGAGCGAATCTCCGCCTCAAAACAAACAAAAAGTGACCAGGTTTCACCATGTTACCCAGGCAGGTCTGGAACTCCTAGGCTCAAGCGATCCGCCGCGCTTGCCGTCCAAATTCCTGGGATCACAAGTGTGAGCCACCATGCCAGGCCGATCTAGTCCTTTATGATTAATAAACTGGACCGGGCGCGCTGGCTCACGCCTGCAATCCCAGCATCCCCAGAGGCCGAGGAGGCGGGCAGATAACCTGAGGTCGGGAGTTTGAGACCAGCCTGATGAATATGGAGAAACCCTGCCTGTACCCCCCCCCGCCAAAAAAAAGAGAGACCGGGTTTCACCATGTTGCCCAAGCCGGTGTGGAACTCCTAGGCTCAAGTGATCCCCAGCGCTCGGCCGTCCGACGTCCTGGGATCACAAGCGTGAACCACCACGCCAGGCTGATCTATTCTTTTCTGATTAATCAATTGGGCCTTGCGCGCTGGCTCACGCCTGCAATCCCAGCATCCCCGGAAGCCAAGGCAGGCGGATAACCTGAGGTCCTGAGTTTGAGACCAGCCTGACCAACAGGGAGAAACCCTGTGTGTACCAAAAAAAAAAAAAATTAGCCGGGCATGGTGGCTCACACCTGCAATCTCAGCCACTAGGGAGGCTGAGGCAGGAGAACCACCCAAACCCAAGAGGTGGAGGTGGCAGGGAGCCGAGACTGCACCACTGCACTCCAGCCTGGGCAACAAGAGCAAAACTCTGCCTCCAAAAAAACAAAAAAAAGAGAGAGACCGAGTTCCACCATGTTGCCCAGGCCAGTCTGGATCTCCTAGGCTCAAGTGATCCCCAGTGCTCCATCATCCAAAGTCCCTGGATCACAAGCGTGAGCCACCACGCCAGGCCGATCTATTCCTCTCTGATTAATAAATTAGGCGGGGTGCAGTGGCTCACACCTGCAGTCCTGTAGAGGGATTTTTAAGGAATTAGATAGACTCATGGGGTTTAGGAGGACATTTATTAATTATTTAGGTGCACCGGCCCAGTCGGATTAACATTTAAAGGATTGAGCACTGAACCAAGAGTTACCTTTCAAGCATTATGTGGGGCGAAGGGGGAGATCTGTGCAGGGAGAAGCATATTATAGAAGCGAGAAACAAAGATTGTTATTTAATTGAAACATGCATTATATTATTTTTTACTATTTAAGGAAAAATATGTTTTGTGACTTGAGTTTATTTGTTTAGTGACCTTGTAGTTGCACAGTTAAGGAATTAGTCGGGCATGGTGGCTCACACCGCAATCCCAGCCACTCAGGAGGCTTTGGCAGGAGAACCACCCAAACCCCGGAGACGGAGGTCTGGCAAGCTGAGACCTCGCCACTGCACTCCAGCCTGGACAGCAAGAGCAAATTTCCCCCTAAAAAAAAATATATATGACTGGGTTTCACCATGTTGTCCAGGCCGGTCTGGAACTCCTAGGCTCAAGCAATCTGGCTCTGGATGTCTTTAACTTGTGATTGAAAGCGTATTAAGATGTTGGGTGTATCAACAGTCCGGAGGACAAGAAGGAAAATCCTGGCATGTGAAATATTCTGCAACAAGAAAAGCAATCGGAGAGGTGACTACATTCACTCAGCTGTTTTGCCCTCTTCTTCCCCACCCCCCACCCCCCCGTCTCTTTCCTGGAAGTTCCCTAGTAAGAAGTAAAAGAGATAATGGCTTTCGAGTGCATGTTTTTCCTGGAATTGGAAGGAATTTTAACAAAGGAGCCCTTCACAATGAAACCCCCCCACACCCCTGCTTTTCACCTGAAGTAGGACAAGATCGTCGCCCCCACCATCATTCTCCACGTGACCCCAGGTGGGGATGGGTAGTGGACACTACTGATAAGCTCTCAGCAATTTCCCTATTTGTGGACTCTGAAGCTCCTTAGCTTGACAACTGATGCATAAGTTTTCTTTTGTGGGATAAGAATAGGAGAATAGGTGACCTTTTCCCCCTGAATTCCCATCCTGGGGCCAGGGAAGAGAGCCCAGGATCCCTTCTCTTGGCCTTCACACTGTGGGAAAGAGTACCTAGAGTTAAAAGCCTGATAAATGCCCTCGAACAGCTTTGAAAATCACAAGGTCAGGAGATCGAGGCCATCCTGCCTAACACGGTCAAACCCGTCTCTACTATAAAAAAAAAAAAAAAAAAAAAATACAAAAAATTACCCGGGCATGGTGGTGGGCGCCTGTAGTCCCAGCTACCTACCGGGGAGGCTGAGGCAGGAGAATGGTGTGAACCCGGGAGGGGGACCTTGCAGTGAGCTGAGATCGAACCACTGCACTCCAGCCTGGGCGACAGAGCGAGACTCAGTCTTAAAAACAAACAAACAAAAAAAAAAAGAAAAGAAAAGAAAAGAAAAAAGAAAAATCACTCGGCGTGAGCGCTTGCCCCCTGAACAAATGTCCAAGTGTATCACTATGGGAATGCCTCTTGGGTCACAGACACAGAGGTAATTCTCTTTGTAAATAGATTCATGTCATTTGTCTCGTTTCTGAACAGTTTCAAAAGAATTATTTGGTGAAGTCAGTTTCCTAGGAGAATCCATCACATTTCCCCAGAGGTATTTCCACCCTTGCAAACCATTAGATAAAGAACAGGCCACGCACAGTGGCTCACACCTGTAATCCCAGCACTTTGGGAGGCCAGGCGGGTGGATCATGAGGTTAGCGGATCGAGACCATCCTAGCTAACAGTGTGAAACCCCGTCTCTACTAAAAATACAAACAATTAGCCAGGTGTGGTGGCAGGTGCCTGTAGTCCTAGTTACTCAGGAGGCTGAGGCAGGAGAATGGCATGAACCTCGGAGACGGAGCTTGCAGTGAGCCAAGATTGCGCTACTGCACTCCAGCCTGGGCGACAGAGTGAGACTTTGTCTAAAAAAATAAAAAAACAAAAACACGTAAAGAACAAATTAGTCCTCGTGGTAGGCCACCCCCACCCCATCTCCAGTTCACCACTTCAATCATACTACTTTCTCAGTGGACTTGAAGCCAAGCTTTCACATCAGAGCCCTCCAACCAAGAGCCTGACTGTATAACTCCTAAGAACAATCAAGTAAGAATGTTTTTCTTTCCATTCCTCACATCTGGTATCTGTTGCCTTGTGAATGGGGTGCCCATCAGCAGGAAGGGTTAGAACTAGGGTAAGTGTGTAGGGAGCAAGGCTTGAAAAGAAACAGATGAGGAAAGAGTAGCAAAATCAAGACTGTCCCAGGAAGTGAGTGTCAGTCAAAGGTTTTGAAATCCCTCAAATAGTTACTTCTGCTGTCTTGGTTTTGTCCACCTCCCTTCTTTTTTCACATACCTGCCACCCTAAAAAGTAATACCTATGCCTAACATAGAGCTAACCAGTTAAAGAACTGCTAGTAACTTTAGAAAAGAGTCCATTTCCCATCAGAATCAGAACAAAATCTTTTTAAAAAAATTATTTTTGGCCAGGCATGGTTGTTCACACCTGTAATCCCGGCACTTTGGGGGGCTGAGGTGGGTGGATCACTTGAGGTCAGGAGTTCAAGACCAGCCTAACCAACATGGTGAAACCATGTCTCTGCTAAAAATACAAAAATCAGCCGGGTGTAGTGGCATATGCCTGTAATCCCAGCTACTCAGGAGGCTGAGGCATGAGAATCACTTGAACCTGGAGGCAGAGGGTGCAGTGAGCCAATATCGTGCCACTGCACTCCAGCCTGGGTGACACAGCGAGACTCTGTCTCAAAAAAAACACAAAAACATATATATATATATATATATATATGTATATATATATACATATATATATATATATATACATATATATATATATATACATATATATATATATATAAAATATAAATATATATACATATAAATTTTTTCAGGCGGGGGCAATGGCTTATGCCTGCAATTTTAACACTTTGGGAGGCAGAGGTGGGAGGATCATTTTACCTAGGAGTTTGAGACCAGCCTGGGCAACATAGTGAGATCTTGTCTCTACAAAAACAGTTTTAAATTAGTCAGGCGTGGTGGTGCATACCTGTAGCCCCAGCTACTTAGGAGGCTGGGGCAGGAGAATCCTGCTGCTGCATTTTGTGCTACTTTTAAAAATATTTGGTAAAATTCAGGAGTAAAGCCGTCGGGTCTTGGGCTTTTCTTTCCCGGGAAACTTTTTTTTATTTTTTGAGAGGGCGTCTCGCTCTGTCGCCCAGGCTGGAGTGCAGTGGCCTGATCTCGACTCACTTGCAGGCTCCGCCCCTCAGGTTCACGCCATTCTCCTACCTCAGCCTCCTGAGTAGCTGGGACTAGAGGCACCCGCCACCATGCCCAGCTAATTTTTTTTTTTTGTATTTTTTTTAGTAGAGACGGGGTTTGACCGTGTTAGTCAGGATGGTCTCCATCTCCTGACCTCGTGATCCGCCCGCCTCGGCTTCCCAAAGTGCTGGGATTACACGCGTGAGCCACTGCACCCGGCTTTTCCTGGGAAAATTGTTTCCGTCTCACTACTTATTGGTCTTTTCAGGTTTTGGATTTCTTTGTGGTTCATTCTTGCTAGGTTGTATGTATCTAGGAAAGTATCCATTTATTCTAGATTTTCTAATTTATTGGTCTATAGTTGCTCATACTAGCCTCTAATGATCCTTAGAATTTCTACAGTATCAATGAAAATGTCCCCGTTTTCATCTTGATTTTATTTATTTAGGGTTTTTTGTTTTTTTTTAGTGTGGCTAAAGGTTACTGGTTTGGTTTATCTTTTTTAAAAAACGAACTTTTCGTTTTGTTCATATTTTGTATTTTTTCATTTCAATTTCATTAATTTTTGCTCTTATCTTTATTCTTTCCTTTCTTCTATACTTATTTTGGGTCTGGTTTATTCTTGCTTTTCTAGTTCTTTTAAGATGTATCGGCGCCACGGGCCCCGCAGAGCCAGGGCGGCTCCCGCCGGTAGCCTGTGTGTGGGCCCCGGCCAGCCGCGCCCCCAGTCCATATCGCCCTTCACTGCCCCGAGGCTGGCGCGGCTATGGGGCGCGGGGCCGGAGCTGCTCTGGGGCGTTGGAGCCGCGCGCCGCTGGAGGAGCTGCTGCCGGGGCGGGGGTCTGGGCGGCTCGGGGGGCCACGCGGGCCTCGGACGGCTCCCGGGGCTGTGGGCTTGGGCCCGGCAGCTGCAGGTGCGGGGCTCTTGCCGGCCGGGCGCTCCTCGGCTCCCGCGCACCGGGTTCCCGGGCGGTCCCACCGCCACTGCCTCGGCAGGGGAGGAGGCCTGGCGGCGCGGGCGGGCGGCGCCTTCCCGGGACGACCAGCGGCTACGACCCATGGCGCCCGGACTCTCGGAGGCCGGGAAGCTCCTGGGGCTGGAGTACCCTGAGCGCCAGAGGCTGGCAGCTGCGGTTGGATTTCTCCGATGTCCGGTGTTATCTCCATGTCTGCCCCTTTCTTTCTGGGGAAGATCATCGATGCCATCTATACCAACCCCACTGTGGACTACAGCGACAACCTGACCCGCCTCTGCCTTGGCCTCAGTGGCGTGTTTCTATGTGGTGCTGCCGCCAATGCCATTCGTGTCTACCTCATGCAAACTTCACGTCAGCGCGTTGTGAAGAGGCTGAGAACTTCGTTATTCTCCTCCATTCTGGGGCAGGAGGTTGCTTTCTTTGACAAGGCTGGCACAGGGGAATTGATTAACCGCCTCTCATCGGACACTGCACTCCTGGGGCGCTCAGTGACTGAAAACCTCTCAGATGGGCTCAGGGCCGGGGCCCGGGCTTCTGTAGGCATCAGGATGATGTTTTGTGTCTCACCTAATCGGGCCACCTTTGTTGTGAGTGTGGTGCGTCTAGTGTCAATCATTGATGTAATTTATGGACGATATCTACGGAAACTGACCAAAGTCACCCAGGATTCGCTGGCACAAGCCACTCAGGAGGAACGTATTGGAAATGTTAAGAACTGTTCGAGCTTTTGGGAAAGAAATGACTGAAATAGAAAAATAGGCCAGCAAAGTGGACCATGTGATGTAGTCAGCAAGGAAAGAGGCATTCGCTCGGGCTGGCTTCTTTGGAGAACTAGGCTGTCCGGAAACCTGATTGTGCTTTCTGTCCTGTACAAAGGGGGGCTGCTGATGGGCAGTGCCCACATGACCATGGGTGAACTCTCTTCCTTCCTATGTATGCTTTCGGGGTTGGAATAAGCATTGGAGGTCTGAGCTCTTTCTACTCGGAGCTGATGAAAGGACTGGGTGCCGGGGGGCGCCTCTGGGAGCTCCTGGAGAGAGAGCCCAATCTGCCTTTTAAGGAGGGGGAAGGGTTATCTTAAATGAGAAAAGCTTCCAGGGTGCTTTGGAGTTTAAGAACGTGCATTTTGCCGATCCCGCTTGCCCGGAGGCGCCCATATTTCAGGATTTCAGCCTTTCCATTCCGTCAGGATCTGTCACGGCACTGGTTGGCCCAGGTGGTTCTGGCAAATCAACAGTGCTTTCGCTCCTGCTGAGGTTGTTCGACCCTGCTTCTGGAACCATCAGTCTTGATGGCCATGACATCCGTCAGCTAAACCCAGTGTGGCTGAGATCCAAGATTGGGACAGTGAGACAGGAACCCATTTTGTTTTCTTGCTCTATCACTGAGAACATTGCTTATGGTGCTGATGGCCTTCCTCTGTGACCGCTGAGCAAGTCCAGAGAGTGGCTGAAGTGGCCAATGCAGTGGTCTTGATCCGGAATTTCCCCCAAGCGTTCAACACTGTGGTTGGAGAAAAGGGTGTTCTCCTCTCAGGTGGGCAGAAACAGCGGATTGCAATTGCCCGTGCTCTGCTGAAGAATCCCAAAATTCTTCTCCTAGATGAAGCAACCAGTGCGCTGGATGCTGAAAATGAGTACCTTGTTCAAGAAGCTCTAGATCCACTGACGGATGGAAGAACAGCGTTAGTTATTGCCCATCATCTCTCCACCATTAAGAATGCTAATATGGTTGCTGTTCTTGACCAAGGAAAAATTACTGAATATGGAAAACATGAAGAGCTGCTTTCAAAACCAAATGGGATATACAGAAAACTAATGAACAAGCAAAGTTTTATTTCAGCCTAAGGAAACAATTACTGGTAAACAACATGAGAGACTTTAATGCAAAACAGTACTGTAGAAAAAAAAAACCTCAGAGACTGCATGAAATATGTAAACCATATATCAAGTTATTTGAAAAATAGCTATTTTTTCCAAAGCGTGTAAAATATTGCTTTGAAATGTACCTGTTCTCAAGATCTTTTTATTCAGAGTTTTAACCATTGTAACTTTTTAAATGTCTATAGCACTGAAGTTATTTTCAGGTTTTGTATTTTCTTTCATTGTGGAATATTTTAATTAATATAGCATGGCACCTCATTTTCTTTTGCCTGCTGTTAAAGATGGAAGCTGTTGTCAAATGACAACTTTAAAAAGGGAAGTATAAATAAAAAGCCTGATTATTTTAGGCCAGTTTGCCAATCACTGTGTAATTCCTCTGGTAGTATTCTACCTACTTTAAGTCTAATTTTACTAGATAGAGTAATGGAAAATGAAAATCTAACCCTTTATTCCGATAATCTCATGAAGCAAACCTAACTATTTAACATCAGCTGGAAAGAAGGGAACATTTATATTGCCCGTCTCCTGTGTCTTCAAAGGTGTGAGAGTTGAGGAATATGTGTTCCTACGGGAACTATGTTTGAATATGTGCAGTTTTCAACATTTTGGCAAATGAAAGCCTGACAAGTTTTTAAAAGGGCAGAAGCTTTATTTTTTGAACAGAAAAATCTATTTTTTAAATTCACATGTTTGTATGAGTACTTCTGGGAAGCAAGGGATGAACTGCTAGGTATTATTAAGAACGAATGATTTTTGCATTTAAGTTGTTTGAAGGCATGTATTTTGAAAAATATCTGTTACAAATTTATAATTTCAAGACATACTAAATCTTATAATACTTTTGGAATTTCATTAATAAGGCTAAAATCTGAGGAATGTAACTAATTTTCAGCCTTAAGACACTTAAGTTTGGAAGTCCTTGCTATTCAACAGAATAACAAGAAACCTTCAGAATGTATCACTCTCCCAAAAAGAAGATATTAATAAGCCCTTTTCTTTTATTCATGGTTATAGTTTTTTTATAGTCTCAAAATTCCTAAAGCAATGCTGACAGCCATTGAATTTGCCATATTTTGTATTCAGTGCTGTTAATGTGCTGTTGCCTCAAGAAAAAGTGCTTTTTCTCCATTGATGAGGCTAGACCCTAAGAGGTAATTAAGTCAATGTAAATCAAATGGAAGTTTTGCCATGAACTAAGCATTTATTAGTTCCCTGATTAGACTGGAAGAAGAAACCGCTATTTCATGACAAGCATGGAATATTATATTTTCTTCTTCATAATTAATGAATAAAATTGATATGAGCGAATGAATGTAGTATTTTTTGAATTAGTAAACAGTACATCTGTGACAATCATTTTAACAAGCTCTACTTGTGTTCTTTATAAAGTGTGATTTTCAGAAAGCAAACAAAACACAATTAAAAGGTTGAATCTGAGGAAAATAATGCTTGTACCATAGAAGTATTTACAAAATTGCATTTCATTGTTATGTTTTATTTTCTGATACCTGATGTTCAATTATATCTGTAGGTAATATTTTATATCATAGATTAAAATTTATAGTGACCTTAAAAAAAGATGTATCATCAGGTTATTTATTTGAGGTTTTTCACTTTTTTGATCTTGGAAATTATAGGTATAAATTTCCCTCTTACTACTGCTTTTTGCTGTATCCCATAGGTTTTGGTATGTTGTGTTGCCGTTTTTATCTGCTTCAATAAACTTTTCAATTTCTTCTGAATTTCTTTGTTGAAATTGTAAGGATCATTAGAGGCTACTATGAGCAACCATAGGCCAGAAATTAGAAAACCTAGACTATCTGGATACATATAGATACAGAAAAATTCACATTATGAATTTGTTCTTAAATAAGCTTTGGTAATTTGTCTCTTTACAGAACTTTAAGCTGCCAAATTCTTGAGTATGGAATTGTTCATAATAGTTATTATCATTTAAATATAGAGGTTCTGTAATGATATTTCTTCTTTTATCAGTCCTTTTTTCTTAGTCTTACTAGTATGTAACAACTTTACTGATTTTTTCAAAGGAACTTTTCACTTTGTGAATTTATTTACTTTCAATTTCATTTATTTCTTTCATTACCTGTTATTTTATTTTTTCAAATTACGTTTTGTTTATTTTTTCATTGACTTTTAAACCTACGTATTTTTCTAATAGAAGAATTTCAAATAATAAATTACCCTCTCAATTTAACTCTACACCACAAATATGAAGCTTTTATTATCATAATTTTATTTTATTTTTTTAATTGGCACATAATAATTGTGCATATTTATGGGTACATAGTGATGTTTCAATACTCATAGTGTATATATTTAATTACCCTGATGAGGTGATGGTAATTAGCATATCCATCATTGCAAACATTTATCATTTCTTTGTTTTGGGAACATTCAATATCCTTTGCTAACTATTTGAAGCTATATGTTATTGTTAACTATTGTCATACCATAATGGTATAGAGCATTAGAACTTATTCCTCCTATCTAGCTTTAATTTTGAATCTTTTAACAAATCTCTCCCTATCCCTCCCTCCCTCTTATACTTTCCAGCCTCTAGCATCCTCTGTTTTAACTTCTATAAGATCAAAATATTTTAGCTTCCACATATGAGTGAGAAGCTGTAATGTTTAACTTTCTCTTCTTGGCTCATTTCACTCACATAATACACTCCATTTCTATGCATGTTGCTTTTATGGCCGAATAGTACTTCATTGTGTATCTATTCCTTTTCCCCTCCTGTCCCCTCCCTTCCCCTCCTCTCCCCTCTCCTCTCCTTCCTTTCCCTTCTTGAGATGGAGTCTTGCTCTGGAGTGCAATGGTGTGATCTTGGCTCACTGTAACCTCTGCCTCTCGGATTCAAGTGATCTTCCACCTCAGCCTCCCGAGTAGCTGGGGACGTGCCACCATGCCCAGCTAATTTTTATATTTGTAGTAGAGATGGGGTTTCACCATGTTGGCCAGGCTAGTCTCGAACTCCTGACCTCCAGTGATCCACCCATCTTGGCCTTCCAAAGTGCTGGGATTGCAGGCGTGAGCCACCGTGCCCGGCCTATATACCACATTTTCTTTAACCATCATCTGTTGCTGGACCCTTAGGTTGATTCCATATCTTGCCTATTGTGAATAGTGCTGCAATAAACATCTAGGTGCAGATGTTTATTTAATATACTGTTTTCCTTATTTTATATTTTTTCTAAATTATCTTTTGATTTCTTTTATGAACTATGAGTTAAATAGTGTTTCATGTTATTTACAACTATTTGGGGGTTTCCTAGGAATCTCTTATGTCATCGATTTCAAATTAAATTTTATTGTGATCAGAGAATATATTCTATAAAATCTAAAGCTTGAGTAAGTTAAATTCATTTAAACTTACTCTTTGATTCAGCATTTGGCCTATGTTGGTGGTGCTTTCAATACACAAGAAAACAATGTATATTCAGCATTTGAAATGTAGTTTTTATAAATGTCAATAAGATCAAGGTGATTTATAATGAAGTTGAAATGTTCTATAGCCATACGAATGGTTTGTCTTACTGTTCAATCAGTGATGAACAGAGGGATGTTAAAATCTTTAATTATTATTGTCATTTATCCATTTCTCCCTTCAATTCTGCTTTTTCCTTCATGAATTATGAGGCTTTATTATTAAGTTGGTGTCCCTTTCATAATTATGAAATGGGGGCATTTCATAATTATGGACATATATGTCATATTAGGACAATAATATAATAACCAATTCATCAGAGGACAATAATATAAGCAATATTATTGTCCTCTGATGAATTGGTTCTTTCATAATTATGAAATGCCCCCATTTTCTCTTATAATGCACCCTCTTTTCCAGTCTACATTGCATTTTGCTAATGTAGCCACACAAGCTTCCTAATGCTTGCTGTGTATATGGTTTATCTTTTCTTGTAGGTTTACTTTTCATCTATCTGTGTCTTTATGTTTAATGTATGTTTCTGGTAGACAACATTAGTTGGGTCTCATTCTTTTGTCTAATATGACAGTCTCTACCTTGTAATTGAATAATTTAGTTCATAAATATGTTAAATGAAATGTGTTGCCACTTTTAAAAACTGTACAATCTCTTGTTTCTCTTCTCATATTTTTGTTTAATTGTATTTTAAGTATTCATTTTAAATTGCATAGATGAGTTAGTTGCAACGCTTTTTTGTATTGAGTTATTTGTATTACAATAATCATCAATTTATACTTAACTAATCTAAATTTTACTTCGAGGTAATTTTTGACAACTTCATATATAATGTAAAAAACTGATGACATCTGTTCTATTTTTACATTCTCTCCAGTGATTGATAGTGTTGCCTACTTTGTCAAATCAAAACAAGGCAACATTTTCCTAAAAAGTGATCTGTGCTCCACCTATCCTATTCATATGCACAGAAGACTTTCAGGGCAGAAAACTATTCTGCATGATACTATACTGGTATATGAATTTGCCTAAACTCATAGAATGTATGACAGCAAGCGTGGACCCTAATATAACTATGGACCTTGGTGATAAGGATGTGCCAGTGCAGGTTCATCAGCGGTAAGTAATGTGCCACTCCAGAGGAGAATGACAGCAAGGGGTCAGGCTGTGCCTGTGTGGACACAATGATGTATGAGAAATCTTTGTATCTTTCTTTCAATTTTGCTGTGAGCTTACAACTGCCCTAAAAATAAAGTCTATTAAAAAAACCCAAAACAACAACAACAAAAACTGATGACGGTAACATTTCCTTTACTCCCCCTCTGTCTTTTGTGATTTTTTTTAGTATAAGTTTTTCTGTCCACATCATAAACCCCACAATAAAATGATATCTTTTTAAATTTAAATAGTCAGTTTCCCTTCAACAAAATCGGCAGATTAAAAAAAAGTATTTCCTGTTACTCATATACTTACCATTTCTATGCTTTTCATTTCCTCTAATCTGGAGTTTAGATTCGACGTTATTTCCCTTCAGGCCAGAAAACTTCTGCTAGCATGTTTTGTAGTACAGATTTGCTGGTGACAAATTGGCCCATTTAATTTTTCCGAAAATGTCTTAATTTTACCTTCAACTTTGAAAGATACTTTAATAATATATAGAAACGAACCTGATGCTCTGTCATCTCCAAATACTTTAGTAGACTGATTCTCAACCAGGGGGAGTTTTGCCCTCCAGGAAACATCTGATAATATCTCAAGATATTTTTAGTTGTTAGCCTGGGGAAAGGTGTGAGGAGGATGCTACTGTCATTTAGTTATTAAAGGCAAACCAAGTCGCTAAACATCCTGCAATTCACAGGAAATGCCCCCAACAAAGAATTATGTGGCCCAAATGTCAGAAGCGATAGTGCCAAAGTTGAAAAACCTTGCTTTCATATATATTTTCTACAAACACAATTGTGTCTATATATGTATATACATATATATAATTGTATATATTACAAATCTGTTACAGTAATATATGTGCCCCCCCAAATGCAATACATGCACAGTACAACGAACAAAACCAGAAAATTAATATTAATATATTGCTACATCTAATTATCAAGTCCGCATTAAAATTTCACCAATAGTCAGCCGGGCACGGTGGCTCACGCCTGTAATCCCAGCACTTTGGGAGGCCGAGGCGGATGGGTCACGAGGTCAGGCGATCAAGACCATCCTGGCTAACAGGGTGAAACCCCGTCTCTACTAAAAATACAAAAAAAAAAAGGAAAAAATTAGCCGGGCGTGGTGGTGGGTGCCTGTAGTCCCAGCTACTCGGGAGGCTGAGGCAGGAGAATGGCGTGAACCCAGGAGGCGAGGCTTGCAGTGAGCCCAGACTGCGCCACTGCACTCCAGGCTGGGCGACAGACCGAGACCCCGTCTCAAAAAAAAAAAAAAAAAATTCACCAATAGTCCCAATAATGTTTCATAGCAAAAGGATCAAGTTCAGAATCATGCATTGCCTTTCATTGTCATGTCTTTTTAATGTCCTTGTATCAAGAATAGATCTTTAGACCTAACTTAACCAAGATTTCTGGCCCATATTTTCTTCTTTTTTTCCTTTGCTTTGCTTCTCCTTCCTTTTCTCCTTTCCTTTCTCCTTCGCTTTCCCCTTCCTTTTTCTCTTCCCTCTCCCCTTCCCTTCCCCCTCCCCTTCCTTCTCTCCTCTTTCCCTTACTTTTTCCTTTTCCCTTCCTTCTTTTTTGAATGGCTCCCTTTAGGTTTTCTGAGGTTTCCTTGTGACTAGAGTCAGGCAATGCATTTTGGCAAGAATATCACAGAATTGATGCTGCGTTTTTTTCATTGCATCCTATCAGGTGGTACATGATTCCAGTTTGTCTCACTACTGACAATGTTTATTTTGACAGGTTGATAATGGTGGTATATAGTAGGCTTCTATCTTGTTATTCTCTGTTTCTAGATTCTGTTACTTTATTTTATGTTGTTTTTCCTAAAGGGTAATAGGAATTTTCTCTGTTTCTTTATTTTGTTTTTGTTTATTTCCCTATTTTTATTCCTTACTATACTTTTAGCACATAGTACCTAGTGCAAAATACTAATATATGTTGAACACCAACAGTTGTTGAACAAATGTCTGAAACTGACTCTGTCCTGCTACCACAAAAACATATATATATATATTTTTTTCCTATAGGGATACCATCAACTCTACATAGTTGTCTAAGCCAAGACCTCCTGCTAGGACTGATTAAAGCCTGTGCATCCTCATTATCCAGAGCCTGTGTTGCTCCTCTAGAGCTATAGTCAGGCTAACCATTCCTTCTGGTTAATATCTGAAAGGAAGAATCATGCAGCAAGAAGAGAACTGTGAGGGAATAAAAATGGCACAAACCCAGCCTGGATTTCTCTCTCCCCTTTTAATGATGAATGAATGAAAAAAATTCATCATTAGCTGTAGTTAGTTTCTATTACATAAAAAGGAAGCTGATGAAATATATAACTGAGTTATATACCCACATCCAATTGGTTCTGTTTCTCTGGAGAACTCTATTAAAGAAGTTATTGAGTATTGTTTACATGTACACTGACAAATATGTCTAAAGGTTATGTCTGAACACCTATAAATTTATATCAATGATTCTATATAGTTCATTCTTATTACACTTGATTCTAATTCTTATGAAGTTGATGTTTGGTAGAATGAATGATAAAAGGAGATTCTGTCCCCTATTGAAGTGTTTGTGTAGTTACACGCCAGAGTTTTGGAGATTGAGGAAAAGGTTGAGCTTAAATAATTTTATGGGCAAACTCAATGCTTGAATGTAAGATAGTACTTTGAAAGATTTGGAGGATTTCATAATGACTTTTACTTTTGCTAATTATTGATACAGTCACTTGTAAATAAGTTTACTTAGGTAAGCTCAAGGAAATCATGCTTTTTCTCAGGCTTATTTTAAATCTGAATATTTTTACTGTCTTTGCTTTTACAAGAAAATATTCATCATTGTATTTTTTGTCTTAATTTTCAAAGTCAAATGTTAATTGTTTTTGTGGGATTACTTTGGCAAATATGGGAGATCCCCAAACAAATTTTAAAAAGTTTTTTCGGCCGGGCGCTGTGGCTCACGCCTGCAATCCCAGCACTTTGGGAGGCTGAGGCGGGCGGATCACGAGGTCAGGAGGTCAAGACCATCCTGGTTAACACAGTGAAACCACGTCTCTACTAAAAATACAAAAAAATTAGCCGGACGTGGTGGCGGGCGCCTGTAGTCCCAGCTACTCTGGAGGCTGAGGCAGGAGAACGGCGTGAACCCGGGAGGCAGAGCTTGCAGTGAGCTGAGATCGTGCCACTGCACTCCAGCCTGGGCGACAGAGCGAGATTCTGTCTCAAAAAAAAAAAAAAAAAAAAAAAAAAAAAAGTTGTTTCTGTTCTCCTTTGTTTTCTACTTTCTCTTAAATAGAAATATATTTCTTGTACAAATAAATGCCATGAATTAAAAAAATAATAAATTATGATTTTCCTTCGTGAGGATCAGTTCTCCTAGACATTGGTTTAGCTAATGCCAGCTATTTGGTATAAAAATCTGTATCAGTGGAGAGGTAAAAAAGAGCTAAAGGAAGCATAAGAAAGACAACCGCATCTTTAAGAAGTTCCTCTTTTTCTTTTCTTTTTTTTTTTTTTTTTTTGAGACGGAGTCTTGCTTTGTTCCCCATTGTTCCCCAGGCTGGAGTGCAGCGGCGCGATTTCTGCTCAGTGCAAACTCCGCCTCCCGGGTTCACGCCATTCTCCTGCCTCAGCCTCCCGTGCAGCTGGGACTACAAGTGCCCGCTGCGGCGCCCAGCTAATTTTTTGTATCTTTAGTAGAGACGGGGTTTCACTGTGTTAACCAGGATGGTCTCGATCTCCTGACCTCGTGATCCACCCGCCTCGGCCTCCCAAAGTGCTGGGATTACAGGCGTGAGCCACAGCACCCGGCCAAGAAGGTTCTCTTAAAAGGAATCACTTCTTGTTTTCTTACAAGTTATAACCTCACTACCCTAGAGTCACATTTTTTAATAACTTATGAATTTTCTGAAACTTCAAATACCCTATGGCCCCATGGTAAAACATCAGATGACATTTGCCTCTCATTTAAACCATTTTTCTTTTCCTCTTTCTTCTTTATTTTTCTTATACTCTCTCCTCATTTCTTTTTCTCTCTTCCTATTTCTCTTTTTCTCTCTGCTTCTTCCTACCTCCCCTCGTGACTTTGTCTCCTCATCCCATCACCGTGCTACTTAGATGCCACATCAATTTGACTAGCCTCAAATTTACAATGAATACTTTTTAAATTCATGCTTCTGAAACTTTTAAAGGATGAAGAGGTATAAATGTCTCAAATAATAATTTGCTTGATGGCTGAAATGAATGGCATTTCTCAAAAAGGCCAAGGGACTGAATACAGAAATTTAAACAATAACTTTCCGTTAGTGATACGGTTTGGATGTTTTGTCCCCTCCAAATCTCATGTTGAAATGCGACCTCCAGTGTTGGAGGTGGGCCTAGTAATAGGTGTTTGTTTCCCAAGGGTGGATCCCCATGAATGGTTTTGTGCTGTCCTCCTGGTAATGAGTGAGTTCTTGCTCTATGAATTCACGAGAGATCTTGTTGTTTAAAAGAGCCTGGCATCTCCCTTGCTCCCTCTCTCCCCATGTAATATGCCAGCTCCCCCTTTGCCTTAAGCCATGATTGTCAGCTTCCCGGGCCTCAGCAGAAGCTGAGCAGATACTGGTGGCCTGTTTGTACAGCCTGCAGACCATCAGCCCAAATACTCCTCTTTTCTTTATAAATTACCCAGTCTCAGGTATTCCTTTATAGCATTGAGATGGACTAACATAGTCAGTTTTGACAACATGAACCTTTCATATTAAAATTTAATTTCTAAATTCACTCATTTACTGTGATTGGTTGATAGCTTTTCTGTAATAATGAATTTTACGTGTGACTTTCAATGTGCTTTAAAACTTGATTCACTTTTTAGCTCTATTTTTGGAAACTACCAGCTTCCACTGTTGAGGCAAAAGTGTCATCATTGAGGCTCTCCTGCTGAGGTAGCTGTTGTCTGATTTCCCTTCAGTTCTACTGCTGTCCCAGTGGAAAAAGGGAATCTTCACCACTTACATGACATGTTTGCCTGAACTCTAATCTTCCACACTTGCTGTAGAAAAGAGTAAAGTGGCAGTTCAGGGCAGTTTACCAATTTAGAAACGGTGTCCGCTCAGTATTTTCCTCTGTGTCACTTACTAAAACATATAAAGAAACCATGGACATTAAAAGAAAGAGAGAGGTTTAATGTGATATTTTAATTCTAACAAGGATTTATGGGCACGTGAATGCTCAAAATCACATACCCCCTTAGTGTTTTTCATCTCACACATATCACATCAGACACATATCACACACATCAGGCACATATCACACAGAACTTACCGTAATTAAATTATCAGTTTTTGAAAAATATTATCATTTGCTCTCTTTTTTTCTATATAAATAAATTTTTTTAAAATATGATTTTCAGTTCTGGGATACATGCACGGAACATGCAGGTTTGTTATATAGGTATACATGTGCCATATAGGTGGTTTCTTATTTGTGTTTTCATCTTATGGCTTTGGCTAGAACTAGATAATAAAAGTATGCATCAATTTAAGAGTTATTTTTAATCATGGTAAGGACATATCTATAACTACTTTGTTAAATTTCATCAGTCATGCATGTTAAATATCATTAAATAAATATCAAAAATGGGCTGCTGTACCAGAATACCATAGACTTGGTGGCTTATAAACAACAGAAAGGAATTTCTCACAGTTCTGGGGTCTGGGAAATCTAAGACCAAGGTACTAGCCAATCTGGTGTCTGGGAAAAACTTTTGTTCTAGTTCAAAGAAGGCTGCCCTTTCTCTATAACCTCAGTGGGGAAGGAGCAAGGGAGTTCAGGGGGCTGCTTTAGAAGGGTGCTAAACCCATTAATGAGGGCTGCTCTCTCATGACTTAATTAGTTCCCAAAAGCCCCACCTTCAAAAACCCTCACATTGGCGGTTAGCATTTCAACATATGAATTTGAGAGGGATGTAAACATTTAGTCTGTAGCAGTAAATGTACAATATAAAGTAAATAGCTTTATTGTTGTGTTGCATTATATTAATATATATTTTCTAGTATTAAATCTTTGTATGCCAAATCACTGGGGTGGGTGATTTCTTAGTAAGTGTAGAATTCAGTTCCTTTTTCTTTCAGTTAAGAATATTTTAACTATGTTTATAAGGGATACTGTTTAGTAATTTTATTCTTTTTGTATTCACTTCATCAAGAGTTAGTAATAGTTATATTTGCTTTGTAAAATGAACTGAAAGGAAGCCACTTTTTATAACTTTATCCATATTTCCTAGTTTGGGGTCCATTTTACAAGATGTTTTAAACAGATGCTTATTAAAAACACTGGTTATAGGGACTTTAATAAAAATTTTTAAAATAATGTTTTACATTTCTTGCAAAAATTGATGCCTGCAACCTATTTACTATTTTTAAAATTAAATTAAGATTCATTTAAGCAGTACATGTTTATTTTAGTGAAACACGTATTTAATTTTCTAAGATAGTATTTTTTGTCTTTAAAACAATTTCTGCATGTTTTGTTTTTTTTTCACTTTAAATTTTATGTTTTCTCAGTTTTTGTTTTATCACATTTGCTATATTTTTCTGTATCATGGGTTATTTGTTAAAGAATGAACTTGTGTATGTTTATAAATTGTTACTGTTTTTGTTTATAATTTATTGCCTTCTAACTTAATATGTAATTAGCATTCCTTTTAATTTTGCTTGTATGCTTTGCTGTACCATTTTGAAATTCTTGAGTTAAATGCTTAACTAGTTTTTATCAAGTTTAAATATTAAATTAAATATGTCCCATCAGTTTAGTCATTTTAATATTCTCACTCATCAGACATTTTTTGGGAACACCATATGCCTTTTCATGCAGTCAGTTTCAAGAAAATGAAAATTACTTTTTATATGTTTATACTCAAAGCTTGGCTAGAGATAAGTCTCCCCTTCCTTAAGTTGGGGAGAAAGTGATTTCTTCCAGGCTATAGTCAAAAGAGATACAATTATAGTAACTTTTTGTGTTTGTTTGGGTTGTTTCTGTTTGTTTGTTTGTTTGTTTGTTTGAGACGGAGGTTGGATCTTGTTGCCCAGGCTGGAGTGTAGTGGCATAATCTCAGCTCACTGCAACCTCCGCCTCCTGGGTTCAAGCAATTCTAAACATATTTTAGCACAAAACTGTTTAAGATTTCAATTTATATCTTTTTATTATGTTCCATATACTCTTTTGATACATTACCCATTATGTTGATTATTAACGTACACTCAAGTCAAGATCTTTTATTATGTGAGGTCATCAGTCAATGATAACAGATATTGATGAATTAGTCTCCTCATCAGAAATTGAGCAACATTTTCATTCAAGACGACACATGGGCCTTTAAAGCATATTCAATAATACTGAGTCTCAGTGTTCTCCTGCTATTTTCTGAATGTGCATTTAGACCTTTATACATCTATCTATCTACTGACCCATTTATTAAATTTTCAGCATTTACTTTGTACTCCAAGGACCAGAACCATGTTTGTCTTGTTCACTGCTGTACTCCTATTGCAAGGACCTAGAACATAGTAGGAGCTCATTAAACCCTGAGGATTCAAAATAAGTGAATAGAGGTTGTAGCAGGAAGAAGTCTAAGATAGCCCCTATGACCTTCATTTCCTCATGTTACCCTGTTGATACCTCACACGGCAAAGGAGTCTTGCACATGTCACTAAGGCTAATAATCCGTCAGCCTTAAGACGGGGGGAGTATCTGGGTAAACCTAACCTAATCACACCAAAACTTCACAATCAGGGAGTTTTCTACAACTGAGAGTAGAATGGGAAGTCAGAGAGTTTCAGAGTCCAAGAAGCATTTATAGCACCCTTATTGACTTTGAAGATGCTTTGCTTCTTCTTTTGAGTTCAGTTTGAGATTATCTTTCTAATAATTGATTAGATTTTATTCTTGTAAAAAAAGAGATAATTTAAAGGAATCTATTTTTAAATACTCTGAGGAGGGTGATACTAGGGGTGCTGGTTGTCCTGTTTTAACTTTGTCTTAATTTCTAATGTAATTAAATTTTGAGTAGGTAATGTGACCTGTGTGGTTTTTATTTTAAAAAATATATTGAGGTTTTATATAATCTATTTTTAAAATTTTCAATGGAAACTTGAAAAAATACTGTTTCACATATTCTCGTATATATATATTAAAAATCTTTTTTTATTTATTTTTTATTTTTATTTTTTTTTGAGACGGAGTCTCGCTCTGTCGCCCAGGCTGGAGTGCAGTGGCGCCATCTGGGCTCACTGCAAGCTCCGCCTCCTGGGTTCACGCCATTCTCCTGCCTCAGCTTCCCGAGTAGCTGGGACTGCAGGCACCCACCACCACGCCCAGCTAATTTTTTGTATTTTTAGTGGAGACAGAGTTTCACCGTGTTAGCCAGGATGGTCTCGATTTCCTGACCTCGTGATCCGCCCGCCTCAGCCTCCCAAAGTGCTGGGATTACAGGCGTGAGCCACTTAGCCCGGCCTAATTATTTGTTTTTTAAAAGACGGTACATAGGAAGAAGTAAATCAGGAAAAGTGGATAGTGATTGGTGGCAGTAGAAGTGAGTCAGTGTTACAGTTACTATTGCTGCTTAAGAAACTAACCCAAATGGCCTGGGCGCCGTGGCTCACGCCTGTAATCCCAGCAGTTTGGGAGGCTGAGACGGGCGGATCATGAGTTCAGGAGATCGAGACCATCCTGCCTAATACGGTGAAACTCTGTCTCTACTAAAAATACAAAAGTTAGCCTGGCCTGGTGGTGGTGGGCGCCTTAAGTCCCAGCTACTCGGGAGGCTGAGGCAGGAGAATGGCGTGAACCCGGGAGGCGGAGCTTGCTGTGAGCCGAGATCGCGCCACTGCAGTCCAGCCTGGGCGACAGAGGGAGACTCCGTCTCAAAAAAAAAAAAATTTAAAAAAAGAAAAAGAAAAAAGAAACTACCCTAAATTTAATAAGGTAAAACAACGACCACTTCATTATATCTCATGGATCCTATAGGTGAGAAATTCCAGCAGGATTCATCTGAGTGATTCTTCCTCTCTCACATCATTAACTAGGGTGACTCAGTGCTAGTCGGCTGGCAAACAAGTCAGTCTGGAAGGTGCAAGGTGCTTTTTTTCTGTCTTATAAATTGATGGAGTTGTCTGGAAGGCAAGGCTCAGATGGGAAGGACTCTTAGTTATAGTGCCTGCACAGGGTAAACTTTTTTTTTTTTCTTTTTTTTTTGAGACGGAGTCTCACTGTCCCCCAGGCTGGAGTGGTGTGACCCGATCTCGGCTAACTGCAAACTCCGCCTCCCGGGTTCACGCCATTCTCCTGCCTCAGCCTCCCGAGTAGCTGGGACTACAGGCGCCCACCACCAGGCCCGGCTAATTTTTTGTATTTTTAGTAGAGACTGGGTTTCACCGTGTTAGCCAGGATGGTCTCGATCTCCTGACCTCGTGATCCACCCGCCTTGGCCTCCCAAAGTGCTGGGATTACAGGCCTGAGCCACCGCGCCCGGCCTGCACAGGGTAAACTTCTTATATGGCTGCTGGCTTTCCGCAGATCAAACACTCCAAGGGAACCAGGTGGAAAATGCCTGGTCTCTTTTTATCTCACTTTAAAGGTCAGGTAGAATTATTTGTCATACTCTATTGATTGTAGCAGTCACAAGCACGTCCAGATTTAGGGAAGGGAGACATAGACCTATTTTTTGATGAGAAGAATATCAACCTGTTTTTGGACTATGTTTAAAACTGCCACACATGACAATTACACACCAGGTAGAAGGCATTTGGGGACAGACTTGAAGGAAATGAGGAGGAATCGTGCTCTGCTGAAACAAGAGCATTCCAAAGAGAGACCACAGCTTGGGCAAAAGCCCTGAGTCGGAATCATGTGGACTTATTCTTAGAACAGCATCGAGGAAGCCATTATAGCTGGAGTAGAATGAGAAGGGGGAAGAGTATTAGTAGATGGTGGCAGAGAAATAAACATGAGAAGACGGATGATGGAACGAGCACCTTGTACGTCATTTTAAGGACTTTGGCTGTTCCTCAAACTGACATGGGACCATTGAAAGATTTTTTTATTTTTTATTTTTTAAATTTAACTTTTAAGTTCAGTGGTACACGTGCAGGTTTGTTATGTAGGTAAAGTTGTGTCATGGGGGTTTGTTGTACGGATTATTCTGTTACCCACATGGTAAACCTGCTACCCACTAGTTGTTTTTCCTGATCCTCTCCCTCCTCCCAGCTTTCACCCTCCTTTTCAAAATAAGACATACGTGCAGCCAACAAACGTAGAAAAAAAGCTCAGCATCACTGATCATTAAAGAAATGCACATCAGAAGTACAATGAGATACTATCTCACACCATTCAGAATGGTTATTATTAAAAAGCTAAAAAATAACATGCTGGCAATATTGTGGAGAAAAGGCAACATTTCTACACTGTTGGTGGGAGTGTAAATTAGTTCAGCCATTGTGGAAGACAGTGTGGTGATTCCTCAAACACCTAAAAGAACTACCATTCGACCCGGCAATCCTATTACTGGGTATACACCCAAAGGAATATAAATTGTTCTGTCATAAAGACACATGCATGCATATGTTTATTGCAGCGCTATTCACAGTAGCAAAGGCATGGAATCAACATAAATGCCCATCAATGGTAGACTGGATAAAGAAAATGTGGTATATATACACCATGGCATATTATGCCACCATAAAAGATGAGATCACGCCCTTTGTAGGAACATGGATGGAGCTGGAAGCCATTATCCTTAGCCAACTAATGCAGGAACAGAAAACCAAATGTTCCCACTTAGAAGCGAGAGTCAAAGGGGAGAATACATGAACACGTAGAGGGGAACAACATTGAAAGATATAAGCAAAGAAGTGATATCATCTGAATTGCATTTCTGAGATTTCTCTGGCACTTGTGTAAAAAATAGCTGAAAGGAATCAACGGCAGAAGCTGGGAGACCAGTTAGGGAGCTTTTGCAATAACCATAAGAGGAAATATGTGTGGCTTAGACTAGGAATCGTCAGGTTGGGAGTGCTCATATTCAAATGTGGTCAGAATCCGGACATTTTGAGTGAGCCTACAGAAAGCTTTAATACTATCTCAAACTAAAGGATATAGAAGGTTTTCCCTTTCTCTTGCCCTGAAACCTTCTGTATCCTTTATTTTGAGATAGTATTAGAATTCTTACTATCTTACTGACAATTCTCACTATCTTGTTTTATAACTTGGAACATGATTATAATTATAGTATTGTTAAATATTTTATTTTTATTTTATAATTATACTTTAAAAATATTATTTTGGTAAATAATCATAAAATATGAAAAATAAATCTTTCCATTAACTGAATCAATTGTCCCCTTGCAGGATTTTGGCTTCACAACTTCCTAATCCTTGAAATATTAATTTTGATTATTTTTCTAATATGTACCCATATGTCTTTGAGTAAATTTTTATTGGAAGGACAAATCAGTGCTGGATATACAGATGCCATTGCTTCGTACTCAGGTAAAGACAACCTGATATTTATGATCCTCTTGATCATATTTTTATTCTCTTAAAATCTTTATGTCTTCTAATAATGTTAACAGAGAAGAAAAAAAGTCTTATCTAAGCCTGACTTTTTATTTTTAAGGAAGTTTTTTTCTTTATTTGTAAAATTCAGGAGTTTGGCTAGTTGTTATTTAAATATGGAGAACTCTTCCTTGTTTCTTCCCCCTCCCTGCCTAGAAGCTGGTTGGTGCTTTTATTATTCGTACTTCAGTGATAGCTTTGATTATTGTTTCAGATCTCCTTGCCCTTGTGTCTTTCCCCAGTACACAAACTATTCTCGAGGTGGAACCTGTGGTCTCTGGCATACCCATCCGCCTTCTTCTCTGTCATTAGTTCATCTCTTCTTTTGCCCTCCAGAGCTCTGATTCAATTGCTGCTTGAACTTTTCAGTGTGTCAGTTTCTTTCTCCACGGATTTCCCTGTGGATGGAAAATCTGCCCTTGCACTTTAGTTTTCATAGAAGCCTCATCTCAGCTATCTCCCATTTTGTGATATGAGCCTCTTTTGTTATTGTAGCCTTCATCTCCTATTTCCTAAATTCCATGTGTTTCTACATACTGTTCATAGACAAATAGTTTAAAGCAATGTTCTATAGTTTCTTGTGGTTTGAAAGTCATATATTTTTAAATACGTTTTCTCCCCCTGAGAATTCAGCATACAGTTTCATTTTTCTTGTACGCAGGATGATTTTTAAGATTTTTTTTCTGTTATTTTTTTCCATTCTGGTTACCTAGAAGGTAGTGATTATTACCCCAAACCAGGGTTTGATACTGTGTTAGTCCACTTTCATACTGCTATGAAGAAATACCTGAGACTGGGTAATTTATAAAGAAAAAAAGGTTTAATGGACTCAGTTCCACGTGGCTGGGGAAGCCTCACAATCATGGCAGAAGGCAAAGGAGGAGCAAAGACATGTCTTACATGGTGGCAGGCAAGAGAGAGAGCATGTGCAGGGGAACTCCCCTTTATAAAACCATCAGAACTTGTGAGACTTATTCGGTTTCACAAGAACAACACAGGGAGAAACCCATCCCCATGATTCAGTTACCTCCCACTGGGTCCCTTTCATGACATATGGGGATTATGGGAGCTACAATTCAAGATGAGATTTGGGTAGGGACATAGCCAAACCATATCATTCTTCCCCTGGTGCCTCCTGAATCTCATGTTCTCACATTTCAAAATCAATCATGCCTTCCCAACAGTCCCCCAAAGTTTTAACTCGTTTCAACATTAACTGAAAAGTCCACAGTCCAAGGTCTCATCTGAGACAAGTCCCTTCCACCTATGAGCCTGTAAAACTAAAAGCAAGTTAGTTACTTCCTACATACAATGGGGGTACAGGCATTGGGTACCCCCAGTGTATTTACACCTGTTCCAAATGGGAGACATTGGTCAAAACAAAGGGGCTACAGGTTCCATGCAAGTCTGAAATCCAATAGGGCAGTCATTAAACGTTAAAGTTCCAAAATGATCTCCTTTGACTCCGTGTCTCACATGCAGGTCACACTGACGCAAGTGGTGGTCTCCCATGGCCTTGGGCAGCTCTGCCTCTGTGGCTTTGCAGGGTACAGCCTCCCTCCTGGCTGCTTTCACTGGCTGGCATTGTCTGTGGCTTTTCCAGGTACACAGTGTAAACTGTTTGTGGATCTACCAATTGGGGGTTTGGAGGGCAGCGGCCCTCTTCTCATAGCTCCACTAGGCATTGCCCCAGTAGGGACTCTGTATGGGAGACAGAGCCCACATTTCAATTCTCTACTACCCTGGAAGAGGTTCTTCATGAGCCCCTGCTCCTGCCCCCGCACCCCACCAGAGCAAACTTCTGCCTGAACATCCAAGTGTTTCCATACATTCTCTGAAATCTAGGTGGAGGGTCCCAAACCTCAATTCTTGACTTCTGTGCGCCTGCAGGCTCAACATCTTGTGGAAGCTGCCAAGGCTTGGGGCTGCAACCTCTGAAGACATGGCCTGAGCTGTAGCCTGGTGTCTCCCACCCCAGCCATGGCTGGAGTGGCTGGAATGCCGGGCACCAAGTCTCTAGGCTGCACACAGCAGGGGGACCTGGACCTGCTCCAGGAAATCATTTTTCCATACTAGGCTTTTGAGCCTGTGATGGAAAGAGCTGCCGTGAAGGTGTTAAGGTCTTTAATGTTCTGGAGACATTTTCCCCATTGTCTTGGTGATTACATTTGGCTCCTTGTTACTTATGCAAATTTCTGCAGGAGGCTTTAATGAAAGTCGGTTTTTCTTTTCTTTTCTTTTCTTTTTTTTTTTTTTGGATTGGGAGTCTCACTCTCTTGCCCAGGCTGGAGTGCAGTGCCGCAATCTGGGCTCACTGCAAGCTCCGCCTCCCAGGTTCACGCCATTCCTCAGCCTCCCAAGTAGCTGGGACTACAGGTGCCCGCCACCACGCCTGGCTAATTTTTTTGTATTTTTTTAGTAGAGACAGGGTTTCACCGTGTTAGCCAGGATGGTCTGGATTTGCTGACCTCGTGATCCGCCCGCCTCAGCCTCTCAACGTGCTGGGACTACAGGCGTGAGCCCCTGCGCCCGGCCAAAAATCTTATACATTATAATGCTCAAATTTTATCCTTTAATAAGTCATAACGGAGAAACATGCTAATGATTTCACAATTAAATGTGACGTTCATTTAGTGTTTTGCTTTGTAATATTAAATATTTTATTGTTTTCCATGTGATACCTTTTCCTTTAAAATTCTACTTTATGTGAAATCGATGATGTTATAAATAGTCTTTGATTTTTACTTTATTAATCTTTGTACATTTTAATATCGTTAAACTTACAGGAACAGTTTGTACACTTCATGGAAATAGAGTAGAGTAATAGAGTTTGATTATTTGTTTTGTTTTCAGCTGAGGGTTTTTTTTTTTTTGGTAATTTCAGTCTTAGAGTCTTTCTTTTCAGCAGTTAGTGGTATAATTCATATTTGTTTCTCATAGCTGATTTTTTGTTTTAACTTTTGTGAACTTGCTTATAGTTTCTTTACAACTATTAGGCCGGTGCAAAAGTTATTGAAGTTTTCACTAATTATTATTATTATTATTATTATTTTGAGGCAGACTCTCCCTCTGTCGCCCAGGCTGGAGTGCAGTGGCGCGATCTCAGCTCACTGCAAGCTCCGCCTCCCGGGTTCACGCCATTTTCTTGCCTCAGCCTCCCGAGTAGCTGGGACTGCAGGCCCCGGTCACCACGCCTGGCTAATTTTTTGTATTTTTAGCGGAGACGGGGTTTCACCATATTAGCTAGGATGGTCTCGATCTCCTGACCTCGTGATCCGCCCACCTCAGCCTCCCAAAGTGCTGGGATTACAGGCGTGAGCCACTGCACCCGGCCTAATTATTTGTTTTTTAAAAGATGGTACATACGAGGAAGTAAATCAGGAAAGGAGGATAGTGATTGGTGGCAGTAGAAGTGAGTCAGTGTTACAGTTACTATTGCTGCTTAAGAAACTACCCCAAATGGCCCGGGCGCCGTGGCTCACGCCTGTAATCCCAGCAGTTTGGGAGGCTGAGACGGGCGGATCACGAGTTCAGGAGATCGAGACCATCCTGCCTAATACGGTGAAACCCCGTCTCTACTAAAAATACAAAAGTTAGCCTGGCGTGGTGGTGGGTGACTGTAGTCCCAGCTACTCGGGAGGCTGAGGCAGGAGAATGGTGTGAACCCGGGAGGCGGAGCTTGCAGTGAGCCGAGATTGCGCCACTGCACTCCAGCTTGGGCCACAGAGTGAGACTCCGTCTCAAAAAAAAAAAAGAAAAAAGAAAAAAAAAAAAGAAAAAAGAAACTACCCCAAATTTAATAAGGTAAAACAACGACCACTTCATTGTATCTCATGGATCCTATAGGTGAGAAATTCCAGCAGGATTCGTCTGAGTGATTCTTCCTCTCTCATATCATTAACTAGGGTGACTCAGTGCTATGCGGCTGGCAAACAAGTCAGTCTGGAAGGTGCAAGGTGCTTTTTTTCTGTCTTATGTATTGGTGGGGTTGTCTGGAAGGCAAGGCTCAGATGGGAGGGACTCGTAGTTATAGTGCCTGCATAGGGTGAACTTCTTTTTTTTTTTTTTTTAGACGGAGTCTCACTGTCCCCCAGGCTGGAGTGGTGTGGCCCGATCTCGGCTCACTGCAAGCTCCGCCTCCCGGGTTCACGCCATTCTCCTGCCTCAGCCTCCCAAGTAGCTGGGACTATAGGCGCCCACCACCAGGCCCGGCTAATTTTTTGTATTTTTAGTAGAGACGGGGTTTCACCGTGTTAGCCAGGATGGTCTCGATCTCCTGACCTCGTGATCCGCCCTCCTCGGCCTCCCAAAGTACTGGGATTACAGGCCTGAGCCACCGCGCCCGGCCTGTGCTCACCCATATTTCTGTTTGCTGTGTGGTGCAGTGCGACCACACGGTTCTTCAGACACAACCTCTGCTTTCTCATTTACCTCAACACTTTAACCCTTAGATTCTTTTTTACTATACTTCAGTGTATTTCCCAGGCATATATTGTCTATGAGGGATAAAATAAAATATCAATTAAAAACAAAAAAATTCAGAGAAATATTAACCATTCACTCTTCTAAGTTCTCAAAGGTTACATTCTTCACCAAATCATATAACCAGGTCCCAATAAAATACCATCATGCAGGGAATTTAACATCATGTAGTTTAAAATACCATCATGCGGGCAGCTTTCAACTAAGCATCCTGTAAGAAAAGATCATTTGTTCTTACATCTTTAAAAGTTTGGAAATTGCTATGGAAGATTATTTTTATTATATTGTCCATTGTCTGTTGCTTGAAGACATATATTTTGCTTGAGTTTAGAGTTACCAAAAAATAGTTGCTGATATATCCAGATACTATTTTATTAACTAACAATACCTATTTGAATTCTGGTTTTCCTTTTGGCCTTTAAGAACAAGGGGCTTAGGACTAAATTTTAGGCTGAAGGGTAGTGTTTCCTTCCCTAGGTTGTCCCATGTAATTGTCACCTCTTTCTCTTCATTATTCTGTCATTTTGCCCTTGTTTTATAGTGTCTGTGCCTTTCATTCTAAGCTGTCTCAGGGGCTTTTCTGGAAATACACAGTGTATAAGTACAAAATGATGAAATAAACATGCTTCTTTTTTTTTTTTTTTTTAAGACGGAGTCTCACTCTATTGCCCAGACTGGAGTGCAGTGGCACGATCTCGGCTCACTGCAAGCTCTGCCTCCTGGGTTCACTCCATTCTCCGGCCTCAGCCTCGCGAGTAGCTGGGACTACAGGCACCTGCCACCATGTCCGGCTAATTTTTTGTATTTTTAGTAGAGACGGGGTTTCACCATGTTAGGCAGGATGGTCTCGATCTCCTGACCTTGTGATCTGCCCGCCTTGGCCTCCCAAAGTGCTGGGATTACAGGCGTGAGCCACCGCATCAGGCCAACACACTTCTTTATTTTGTTTTCAAAGATGCTTGGGTGGGACTAGATGACCTCTAAGGTCCTTTCCAGCTCTAAATTTACGTTACTTTCACCAAAGACAGACAAAAAAAAAATCTGTTAGGTTATAGGTCTAGAGATGAGTGCCAAGTACTATATTCCTGCTCTAGGTGCATTTCTTGTTGAAGGCAGTGCTAGATTCAGTGACCTGTTACGGCCGTTTACAGTCTTATGGTGATAAAACAAGAGAACTGATTGCTAAAAAAAAAAAAAAAAAATTCAGTTGAAATATCTTTTTACTCTTAAGCATCAACAAAAAATAAATAGAAAACAGAAGAGTTGAGTTATTTAGTTTGAGCTATTTGTAATAAATTTGGACAACTAAGCTAAGCCCGAGTGTAGTTAATTCAATGAAATTAGTCATATTTGAATATTGTCACAACCTTACTACCACATTAGCATTAAGTGTGATTAAAATTTATTCTTTGTTTCTGTGTGAGTCTCCACAGAATCAGCTATCAACACCTTCATAATAAACTAGCCCTTCATTGCTTTCAGGAAACTTTTAGATTCAGAGCAGGTGGTTGGGCTTCTGCTTTAAAAGAGAACACATCATTTTTAAAGTCCCTTTCCTGTTTGTGTGTGTGAATTTAGAACACAGAAATTATCCATTGCATTGTTTATTTTTGCTAGGAGGTAGAAGTTCTTAAAAATATAGGAAATACTAGATATCATGTACTGATAATTTCCAAAGCTAATTATTTTTCTTAAGTCCAAGCTATAATTTAAGAGGTGTACTTGTGAAATATGAATATTGTTTTAGAGTAATAAAATGTTTCTCATGGAAAAATAGAATATGATTTTGTCGAAGTTCAAGGGAATATCCATTTTCATTCAGGTAGCTTCCAGATTTTTGTCTTTACATGTTCTGTGTAGTGATTTAAATACCGTACCTCCAAAATTTATGTCCATTAGGAACTTTAGAATGTGATTTTATTTGGAAGTAGGGTCTTTGCAGATATAATTAACCCAGTGATTGAGATGAGGTCATCCTGGGTGAAGGTGGGCCCTAAATCCAGTGTAAATGTCCTTATAACATACAGGAAAAGACACACACAAGGTCATGTGAAGATGGAGACAGAAATTGGAGTTATGCAGTCATAAATCAAAGAAGGTCAAGGATTGCCAGGAGCCACTGGAAGCCAGGAAGAAGCGAGGGAGAATTCTTCCCTAGGGTCTTCAGGGGGAGTGTGGCCCCGCCAACATCTTGATTTCAGAGGTCCAGGCTTCAGAACTATGAGAGAATATATTTCTGTCCTCTTAACCCACCAAGTGTGTGATAATTAGGTATGATGGCCCTAGGCAACTACTACACTCTAATTCAGAAGTTCTTCTGGATTTTATTGTATCATGTGTTGGTAGGAAGTACCTGGCTGTTTCAGTTGCATGATATGTGGGTAATCTTAGAATTATCATATCTTGCAAGTAATTTTAAAGTATGTTGTAATGTAGTCTGAAGCTTTTTAAATATGAAATTTAATTCATGCTGGTGTCAATTACATTTGAAAAAATACAAAAAAGCTATATAAGATTCTAGGATCTTTCAGAATTTTATAATGTTTATAATGGACAGTTGGTTAAATAAAAATTGTACCCTAAACAATTTTGTTGTTGGCTTAAAATAGCATTTAATTTATTAGTGCTCAGATAATAGTTATCCCCTAAATAGCATTTTTACTTTCATATGTTGATATCAAACAGTGAAGTGAGACAGCAAATCAGTACAACGTGGTGATTATCAAACATCATAAATCCATGAAGGATAGCCTTGATCTTACTGAGAAGAGTTTAATTTTAAAATGCATACCTGGAAAAGGCAACTTAGATTAACATTTCAAACTCACATAGCATTATTTGTGATTGATTATAGTTATAATTGATCATTTTACTTTTGGACCGTCACTTCGAATCAAATTGGGATAAATATAAATTAAAGATTGATTATTTGCTTTGAATTTTAGATTAAAAAATTCAAAAACCATAAAAACAGAGCTTTGACTATAATAAAGGTATTTATCCTTTCTTGGTAAGAATTGGGGAGGGGTTTAAGAAAAGGCTAAGCAATGTTCTATTTTTTACGTAGGCAAAAGTTCATTTGTGCTACTTTTTAATTAGGTAGTTTGTTGTTTTTTAAATGACAGCTTCCTAAACACTACTGATTTTACATGTGCAGTCATTAGCTTTTCATGTGGAAATAGTATCTTTCAAATTCACGCAGCTGCTTATTTTATGAAATGCAATGAGACTACTTACTTGCCACCTGTCTAAACTGGAATGCATAGATTCATGCCTTGCCAAATGAGGAGTTAGGGTGAAAAGTGATTAACGTCCATTCTTTAATGAGTTTCTAAGTCTTTCTGAACATGTTTTTATTCTATCTATTGCAGTGGTATAGTAACATTTTCGTGTTGGTTGCTGTACAAAGCATGATAATACCTTTATTAAAGCAATGTTAATGACATCCATAAGATATCATAAAATATTATATTCTCAATAGGAAATTTGTTATATATAAATAACAATAAAGATCGTAATAAGCTCTCCTTAATTCTGTTTATTTTGACTTCATTATTAAGTTTGGAAACATAGGTGTCAAATTTAGACATTATTTATATGTAATTATAAAGCCAAATAAATGTTAGAGATTAACTTAAAAAGAGTTTTGTGGCTTAACAATTGAAGTGAGATAGTGAGATCACAAGGGGCTTAATCATTCTGAATTGATTCTACAGATGTCTCCTTTCTCTAAATGCCCTGTAAGCTTCCTATCTTCCATGAAAGTTTATTCCCATAATCCTGGCACATAAAATTAGTCATATAACTCTTTTCCATTCTGAGATTTCAAGGATTAGGACTTTCAACATAGAGAAAACGTGCTGTGTAGAAGCTGAATGTACAAAAGGCAACACTTGGCAACGGAATCCAGTATTTCCCAAGTATTTGAGGAAACTTACAAAACCCAAATCTCTAGTACTTGCTTTCACATTTGCTATCAGAACCAGGAAGGGAGGCCTAGAAATGGTTTGAATGGAAAATTTGTTGTTGTAGAAGGGGTTCCCATTCACTGGTGAATAGACACAACGTATTTCCCAACCTTCTTTTAATCCAAGATAGCAACATTTTTACTGGAGCCAAAGATAAAACCAGTATTTAATCTCCTAGAAATTAGGAGATTTATGACTCTGGAAATGGAAAGAATTTTCATATCCAGCCACATAACCAAGTCCTGCAAGAACATAATAAACAAACCAATCAAACAACAAGAATAACAACCACAACATGGTCCCCATTCTGTCTTTAACCTCTGATAGAAAGAGCAGTAATGGTAAGACGAGAAAGCTCTCGTCAAGTGTTTTCCTCATCTACTGTTAATGATTTATTCTTACATCCTGTCCCAGTCCAATTATGAAAAAATTCTAAGAGAGATCCCTTTAACTGACTTGTAATGAATTCCAGGGTCACATTCCAGATATTGTTTTCCCCTGAAATCGTGTAAGTGCACATCAAAATACTATACTTTTGGTGTGAATCTGAGCCAAATTCTATTGTATTCTAAATAAAGTGAAACTCCTATCAGCCAATAGGGCACGGTATCAGTTTCAAATAAGACAAGTTGGTAAAGTCAGGAGAAATGACTTCCTCCTTCCTCCTGATGTGCTGTATATAGATGTATTAGCACTGCCTTTTAATATTTTATGTGTTCAACAGAGAGGGAACTAACATCTTGTTAATCCTCATTTGAAAACAATTTTGCGAATGTAAATGTAGCAGGGCTTTTGCCTTTTTTCCTTCTTCATGAAAAACAAGTAGTGCTTGGGGAGCAAGTGTTCCTGTTCAACTGCTGTCACTCATTCCCAGCTCTGTTTAGAAGAAATAAGCACAGATGGTTGGTCTACTACTTCCCCAACGAAAAATTTGCCTGTTGGCCGGGCGCAGTGGCTCAAGCCTGTAATCCCAGCACTTTGGGAGACGGAGGCGGGCAGATCACAAGGTCAGGAGATGGAGACCATCCTGGCTAACACGGTGAAACCCCGTCTCCACTAAAAATACAAAAAATTAGCTGGGCACGGTGGCGGACGCCTGTAGTCCCAGCTACTTCGAAGGCTGAGGCAGGAGAATGACGGGAACCCGGGAGGCGGAGCTTGCAGTGAGCAGAGATCGCGCCACTGCACTCCAGCCTGGGCGACAGAGCAAGACTCCGCCTCAAAAAAAAAAAATTGCTTACCTTTTTTGTGTTTTATTCCATCCTTCTCATTGTCATGTGAACAGTATTTCAAGGGAAGAAACTTCTGTAGGGATCTTTGAAATGTTTATCCACTGCTTGTGCATGAAAGAGAAAAAGAAGAAATTAATGATTTATTAAAATTCCATGAGGGGAACTCAAAAACGCTTTGTTACAAAAAAATTTAATTTAGAAACCGTGTATTTTGCATGCAAAATTAAAGTCTTCAGGGAAGTAAGTTTTTATATCAGACTTGCATCCTAAAGTACTCATTTAATGATGACAGAACCACTTCATCCATGTTAAAAATACCTGTGTGGGTCTTTTTTATTTATACTGTGGCTTAATGAAAATTTGTCTATTGTAAATATATTAAGAAAAAGAGCATAAAGACTTTTTAACATAATTTTCTAACGCTGAAAATACATACAAACAGTAAAATACCCAAATCTTAACTGTACAGCTCAATACTTCTTTTGTTTTTAAACAAACTTAGCCCTTCTGTGTATCCAGTACTCAAGTCAGGAAATTTTATATTATTACTTCTTCTAGACACTATTTCATAGGATCGCTCTTATGGTGATTTGGAACATAACTGATGAGTTTTACAATTTTTAGTGAATTAGATCGTAGAATATGTTCTGTATCTTGCTTCTTTCATTCAATATTTAGTTTATAAGATTTGTTAATCTTTTTGCATATAGTTGTAATTTGTTAGGTTCTCATTGCTATATACTATATCATTATACAAATATAAGTTCAATTTGTGGTTATTTTGAATGGTGCCTCTCTGAGCATTCATGTATTTGTCTTTTGGTAAATATTGCTGGGTATATGCTCAGGGTCATAGAATATGGTCAGATTTAGCATACATGGAAAATGGTGGTGTCCATCAGTTTACATTTCCATCCACAATGGGAGAGAGTTCTAGTTGCTCCGCATCTTTGCCAACACTTGGTATCATTTCTCTTTTTCATTTGAACTGTTCTGATGTGTATGTATCACTATTTCAATTGTGGTTATTTTGAACATTACAAAATTGGCAAAGAATAACTGATTTTATTAAATCATATTTCATTTGAAGTAACGTGGGTCTACTTTGCAGTATTTTTCCCTATTTACATGATTCATAAGAAGAGTGATCATGAGATAGTCAACAATATAACAGCTTGGAATGAGATTTTTGATCAGCTATAATTGTAATGTATTTTATCTAAATATTATTTAACTGTATTAGTAACTGTGATCATTAAGAACAGAAACAAAAGGTAAGCAAGTCCTTAGATTAACATGAAACAACATTCCTGCCTTTTGAAAGGAACTTTTCTGACCTGTAAGTAAATGATGTAAATCAATTAATAGCTTAACTGAAATTAAGAGATGAGTCTCAGCTTTCATTGCCTATATTATATCTGTGTTTCTGGAGAAACAAAAAAACAGTATGACAAACCTACAGTCTGCTAGTTTCTTCTCACCCTGCCAACAACTGTTATATTACTGTTTAGCTGGTTATGTGCAACCATTTGTTCAGGATTGTTTTGTTTTGCTTAGTTTTACTTTTTAAGGCAGAGTCTTGCTCTGTTGCCCAGGCTTGAGGTCTATGAGTTACACTCAGGGTCACGTGGTCAACGAGATGTAATCACAGCTCACTGCAGCCTTAACCTCCTGGGCTCACGTGATCCCCCTGCCTCTGCTTCCTCAGTAGCTGGGACTACAGGTGCATGCCACGACACCCGGCTTGTTGAGCAGAGTTTTGATGAAAATCATTCATCCCTTCTTAATCACAAACAGTGAAACCTTAGAAAATGTAATTAGAGAGAAAAATAACATTTTGCACCAAGCTAATTGTATCTTTACCTTTTATTAGTTGGTTTCAGGATTGGTACTTGTTGATGGTTCTGTTTTGGAGTGTGCGTTCCCTGGGTTTAACTCCTTGCAGCACACTTTATATACGTTGTGTGGCCTTACTTGAGTAACTTAAGTTGCTTAACTTCTCCAGATCCCAGATTCTCAACCTGTAGAATGGAAGTAATTATAATACAAACATTATGTGGTGGGTTAGTCCAGGTCCTCCAAGAGGTAGATGTTGAAAACGAGTTAAACACAAGAGGATTTTATTAAGGGAAATCCCTGTGAGAGAAAATGGAGAGGAAGCTGAGTAAGCCTGGAAGAGGTCTCAGCTATGAGGCAAGTCTGACCTAGAATGAAGGAAAGAGGAAAGGAAGGTTGAGTGGAAGCACTGGAGCGTAATGTACAGTCTAAGGAAGGGTGAGAAAAGGCTTCAGGGAATCCTGAGCCAAGACTGGTCCTCAGAGAAGCCCTGTGTCTCCTAAAGAGGGATCTGCATTAGCCACCCTGTGGGCCTCAGTCATTGACTGAGGGGCAGATGCAGAAACAGATTTTAGAGTGAAGCAGCAAGTGGCCGTAGGCAGTTAGGCTTCCCATACTTTGAGGTCTATGAGTTTATTTATTTATTTATTATTTATTTATTTAAATTATACTTTAAGCTCTGGGTTACATGTGCGGAACTTGCAGTTTTGTTTCATAGGTATACACATGCCATGGTGGTTTGCTGCACCCATCAACCCATCACCTACATTAGGTATTTCTCCTAATGTTATCCCTCCCCTACACCCCCACACCCCACAGGCCCCAGTGTGTGATGATCCCCTCCCTGTGTCCATGTGTTCTCATTGTTCAACTCCTGCTTATGAGTGAGAACATGCGGCGTTTGGTTCTCTGATCTTGTGATAGTTTGCTGAGAATGATGGCTTCCAGCTTCATGCATGTCCCTGCAAAGGACATGAACTCATGTCCTTTTTTATGGCTGCATAGTATTCCATGGTGTATATGTGCCACATTTTCTTAATCCAGTCTATCACTGATGGACATTTGGGTTGGTTCCAAGTCTTTGCTATTGTGAATAGTGCCACAATAAACATACGTGTGCATGTGTCTTTATCGTAGAATGATTTATAATCTTTTGAGTATATGCCCAGTAATGGGATTGCTGGGTCAAATGGTATTTCTAGTTCTAGATCCTTGAGGAATTCACACACTGTCTTCCACAATGGTTGAAGTAAATTACACTCCCACCAATAGTGTAAAAGCATTCCTGTTTTTCCACAACCTCTCCAGCATCTGTTGTTTCCTGACTTTTTAAGGACTGCCATTCTAACTGGAGTGAGATGGTATCTCATTGTGGTTTAGATTTGCATTTCTCTAATGCAGGTCTATGAGTTTCTTATTCATGGTCACTAAAAGATGTTTATCATGAATTGAAATCTCCAGATAAGAGTAAAGCAATGCCTAATTCATAGTTACGCACTTATCAATTTATTTATTCATATTATTCATTATCATTATGAATATTCAACACATTAATAAAAGAGTCACATGTGCAATCTACTTGGGGTATTGGGAGAGTAAAGAATAACATAGTGGTGCTACAGGTAATTTAAGAGATGGTTTCTCTCTCTCTCTCTCTCTCTATGTGTGTGTGTATATATATATATATATATATATATATATATGACACAGGTATAATTATTTTCCTTCTACTATTTGTTATTGATGTATACTGCCAAATCCCTAACGGATACTGGAATACTTAACTCTAAGCTCCCCCCACGCCTACAAAAGAAGTGGGTACAAGGTTAGTTTTTAAATCAAAAGATTTATTAATAGTATTTTTATCATGTCCAATTGATATTATCATTATCAAAAAGTTTAATCACTTATTATTACTTGAAGGACCTCGTTAGGAAATATTCGATCCACTTTTTTTGTTTTTTTTTTTTTTTGAGACAGAGTCTCATTCTGTCACCTAGGCTGGAGTGCAGTGAGGTGATCTCGGCTCACTGCAAGCTCTGCCTCCCAGGTTCACACCATTCTCCTGCCTCAGCCTCCCGAGTAGCTGGGACTACAGGCGCCCGCCACCACGCCCGGCTAATTTTTTGTATTTTTAGTAGAGACGGGGTTTCACCGTGTTAGCCAGGATGGTCTCGATCTCCTGACCTCGTGATCTGCCCGCCTCGGACTCCCAAAGTGCTGGGATTACAGGCATGAGCCACCGCGCCTGGCCTGTTCCACTTCTTAAAACTGGTCACTGGAAGTACATCGTCTTGGGAAGAACTGGATATTTCTTGAAACCCCTTTCATATAGCCATATTCTCAAACATAGAACCTTCTTTTATTTTTTTCAAAGATTTTTTTCCATTACTGTAGAAAATTCAGAGGGTGTTTATGGATAGTGCAGTACTCCGCTCAAATACAGGGAACGAAAGTTACATTAAAATGATAATATTTTTTGCTGAAAAGTATTATGATATTTAATGTAAGCAAACAAATTACTCAGGTGATAGTGTTTTGTTTTCATTTTTTAAATGTCTTGGCCGGGCGCGGTGGCTCAAGCGTGTAATCGCAGCACTTTGGGAGGCCAAGGCGGGCGGATCATGAGGTCAGGAGATCGAGACCATCCTGGCTAACACAGTGAAACCCCGTCTCTACTAAAAATACAAAAATTAGCCGGGCGTACTGGCGGGAGCCTGTAGTCCCAGCTACTCGGGAGGCTAAGGCAGGAGAATGGCGTGAACCCGGGAGGCGGAGCTTGCAGTGAGCCGAGATTGCGCCACTGCATTCCAGCCTGGGCGACAGAGCCAGACTCCGTCTCAAAAAAATAAATAAATAAACATAAATAAATAAATAAATAAATAAATAAATAAATAAATGTCTTACTTCAATAGCTTTTGGAGCACAAGTGGTTTAGGTAACATGGATAATTTGTATAGTGGTGAAGTCTGAGATTTTATTGCACCTGTCACCTGAGTAGTGTACATTGTACCAAACATGTAGCTTTTTTATTCCACACCCACCTGCCAACTTCCCCCTTATGAATTTCCAGAGCCCATTATATCACTCAGTGGAGAGTCTTCAACATTCAGGGTGGAATCTTCAGGGTGTGGCCCTCTATCCATTGCTTTCCAACGTTTGTACTCTCTGCTTTGTGAATAGAGGCCTGTTCTCCCTGTCTGCCTTGTTCACGTACCTTTGCCGTTTTCCTTGCTGGGATGACATCCTTTGCCCTGAAGTTCTCATTAACCATACCATAGATGTCCTCTTCTTACCTCAATACATCCAAGGCTACCTCAAGTTATAACTTCTCCTTTAGTTTTTCCCTAGTGTCTGAGTTCAAATGGGCTTCTCTATATCCAGAATATCTACCACCTGTCTTATCTTTCCTCACACGTGGCACGTGCAGTTCCTTCCATCTACTTTCATAATGTTGTATTTTAACGGTTCAGTTGTGTTTATATTACACTCTTCTGTCAGGCAAACAAGGGTATTTATATGGCTGAAATCTACGGTATTTTTTAAATGTAGTAAAATGTAATGAATAAGCATACAAATGAATGAGTTAATTAATCTGTTATATTCTTGGTTAAGTAATGAGCATTATGAGGACAAAAATTGAGTCTTACACCTTCTTATAATCCTAAAGACCTAGTACAGGACTTGGAATATAGCATTCACTTAAGACATCTTTGTGACTAATGAATTTAAATATTTTTATTAATTCTAAGTTGACGTATGATTGTAATTTGGGGAAGGTAGTGAAATTTCAAATGGCTTTCACCACCTGTGAAATGACCCTTTTTACCTACCACATGATTTACCAGATCTTTGTTTAGGTGAACCTAGGCGAAAGCAGATTGTTTCCTCTACTTAGGAAATACTTCGCACATTTTCGTTGCTTATAAATTTGATGATTTTAATTTGTACAGTTATAATTTATGATATTGACTTGTACAGTTATATATATTTTACATATAATATATATTATATATTATATATAGTTATACTATATATAATTTTATTTTCTAAAGTAAAGAATATCATTACACATTAACAAAATAGATATAACTGTTTTCTTTCTACTATTTGTTACTGGTGTATACTGCAAATCCCTAATGGATACTGAAATTCTTATCTCTAAGCCCCTCTATGACTATGAAAAGAAATGGGTTCAAGTTTATTTTAAAAATCAAAGAGTTTATTAATAATATTATTGTTATCATGTCCAATTGATACTATCATTATTAAAAAGTTTAATCACTTATTTCTTGAAGGACCTAATTAGGAAATATATATGTGTGTGTATATCTATATTCTATCTATATATATCCTATATCTATATTCCATATATATTCTATATCTATATTCTATATCTATATTCTACATATATTCTATATATAGTCTATCTATATTCTATCTATATCCTATATATAGTCTATCTATATCCTATATATAGTCTATATATATTCTATCTATATCCTATATATAGTCTATATATATTCTATCGATATCCTGTATATAGTCTATATATATTCTATCTATATCCTATATATAGTCTATATACTCTATATATCTTATATAGTCTATATATATTCTATATATATCCTATATAGTCTATGTATATTCTATATATATCCTATATAGTCTATGTATATTCTATATATATCCTATATAGTCTATGTATATTCTATATATATCCTATATAGTCTATGTATATTCTATATATATCCTATATAGTCTATGTATATTCTATATATATCCTATATAGTCTATGTATATTCTATATATATCCTATATAGTCTATGTATATTCTATATATATCCTATATAGTCTATGTATATTCTATATATATCCTATATAGTCTATATGTATATTCTATATAGTCTATATATATTCTATATGTGTATCCTATATATATTCTCTATACATATTCTATATATATATACACACACACACACACACATATATAGTAGCCTGATATTTAAAAAATAAGATTGGGACTGCGTAAAATAAGCTCACCCAGACAATAGGGGTACAGACATATGTATAATTCAGCAAGAACTGGTAACAAAGTGAGATATGTCAACTCTTTGTAGCATATTGTTAAGTAGTATTAAAAAACAAGTAATTTTTGGTTGGGTCCATTGAGAGAATAACATTATTTTTAGAATGATCTAATGGCACAATAAGCATTTTAGCATTTTACCTGCAAAAGCATTATAGCTGTGCCAGTTTCTGTTCCAAGAAAAAAATACATTGGTGTATTCTCTAAAGGAGGAAATTCTGACCTCAACTATGTTCAGATAGCTGTGGCAGATAATACTCTGATCAGGTACTAAGTCATATATCTTTCACATTTCCCTTTGCTAGTTATACTCAGCATGTGGTTGGAAATGGAATCAAAGCCCAGTCTGGAAATCCTGAAGTCAAAGTCAAAGGAACTGATCCTGTGATAAATCAGATTATTGATAAACTGAAGCATGTTATTCAGGTAAGTCCTGATCCTATATTTTTTGGTATAGCCAATAATAAATAATAAGTGGTCACTTTCTGTTATACTTGATAAATTTGTTAACCCTATCAGGTAATCCTGCCTAAAATATTGTAACACATTATTTGTATCAGGACTTTTGGGAATATTTAGTTTAATGATTTTTGTATGCAGTCAATATGCAGTGGTATTTTAATGTTGGACAATCTGTATATGTGAAAAGCAAGCCTCAGCCTCAGCATTTCAATAATGAGAATCTCAGGACATGCATTGTCTTCAGTGAATAAGTTTGAACGTGGGAATCACTGTGACCATTAAAGAAAACACATAGAAGACCATAGAAGATGCCAGAGTTTTCTTTCAGGTAATTCTCTGAATGTTGCTATGAAGGTTTTTGCAGCATTTCAATACAAATTAGGTCATAGATGAATAATATGTACTTCTAATATTTATTTCCTATATCACCTTTTATATGTTATCTTATAATCTACCTAATGGTTGTTTATGAAATACTTCTGTTTTATCTTCAATAATATTTTTCATCAAGTGAGTGTGTATTGCTGTTTTTAATACATGACAAATGAAGCATGAACATATTTATCAAAATAATATTTCATTGAAATAGTCTATTAATTAGAACCAAACATGATGTTGCATGTTGTAAATATTACTCTGCATTCTGCATCTATTGATGTTTGGGGAAAGAAAGGCTATTTTTTTTTTTAGTTAATAGTCATTTTATAAAAATTTATATTTGAATATACTTTCATTTTTCCTAAGCAGAACTTTGCATGGCTAGTTGATGCTTATTTCTAGTATCGTGCATCAGAAACAATACCTAAATAGTACAGAGTTTTTATTGCATACAACATATTCCAGAGTCAGTAGTAGGCTTCTCATAATTGTTCTGCAAAGACAAAGCTTAAGTTTATGCAGAGCCAATTCCTGGGTTTCCATTTTTCACGAGTCCCTATCTCTCAAGGAGAGGATATGTAAGAAGGACTTGGGGGTTGGTGTCCAATACCATAGACTTCTCCCTTCTGTGAGGCAACAATGCTTATTCTACCATTGATACCTATAGAAAACAGCTCTCACCCTGGCTGGCAAAACCAAAAATAAATTCTACTGGAAAAGTCTAAGAGAAAAGTGGTATCATGACTACTGATGAGTTAAACCTTCCAGCCTCTGCTGAGCTGGTCCAGTTGGTACCTCACAGTATCGTCCACTGTAGTATAATATGTACAGCTAGATTATTTGAAAATTCGACCGCATAATTGATAATAAAACCAAAAGAGCTTTAATATTAATGTTCTCTCATTGAGGAGTGAGTACAATCTCACTGTGAGGACACAGTGAAATCTTAGGGGTTTCTTAAGTGGGGTAAGCATTCCACAGAGGATGGAGGAAGAAAAACTAGAACTTAAATATATATTTATTCCATCTCATTCTTTTATATTTCTTTGGTTGTAGTAAGGTATATAAAATATGTAATGTATTAGTGCAATAGCATATACATATAATTTATAAATACATAAATATACATATTAACTGGACATTTGTTCAGATTGTTTTTCTAAGATATATACATGATGAAAGCAGAACAGAAACCCTGTTACAGATAATAAGGATAGAGCTGTTCCATGAGAAGTGCAGTTATAAGAAAACACATTCACAGAGGAACACATAGATACCCAAGATAGAAAGGATTATAAAAACCCTTAGGAGGAGGGCTCATATATTTATTACCCATTCAGCAACCCCCCTCCCCATTTCTTGTTTCGTAGGTTTCAAAGCCTTTTCAAGGTGGCAGAGGGAAGTCATCCTGCCTTTCTTTTTTAGCTTCTGTGTGAACTTGAGTCCCATTCTTTATTCTTTATAGGAGTGTGCAGATCTCCAATTATTCATGCTTAAGTTTCATTCTGGGGTTGCAAGAGAATATCAAATGCAGTGCTACCTTTGAGGTCTATCATTTTAAGATCTGCTAGATTTATATGATAGAAATGTAGATTTTTATAGAGGACAGCAGAAAGTCATATCTTGCACAGGTGTCACTGAAAATTTACCTTTAATATCTAAGAATATGCTCTTTCATGAACTGCTCTCCTGGAGATGAAGAGAAGTGTTTTACTTTGCCAATTTTTTTTTTTTTTTTTTTTTTTTTTTTTTTTTTTTTTGAGACAGAGTTTCCCTCTTGTTGCCCAGGCTGGAGTGCAATGGCGCGATCTCGGCTCGCTGCAACCTCCGCCTCCCGGATTCAAGAGATTCTCCTGCCTCAGCCTCCAGAGCAGCTGGGATTACAGGCACGTGCCACCACAGCCCGGCTAATTTTTTTTGTATTTTTAGTAGAGACAGGGTTTCTCCATGTTGCTCAGGCTGGTCTCGAACTCCCGACCTCAGGTGATCCACCTGCCTCGGCCTCCCAAAGTGCCGATTACAGGCGTGAGCCACGGCGCCCGGCCTACTTTGCCAAACTTTTGACTACTGATGGTGTACGCGTGCCCTGGCAGGGATGGCCATTGTGCTGTCAGTATCAAGGGATGGCTAACAGCACCCACCACAATGTCAGCTATGAAAGGATTCAGAAAATAGCCTTCTGTAAGTCAGAATTTATTAATTAAGGAGTAGGGCCATGGAAGATGTCAACATAGGAATAGGTTTCAGATTCTAAACTGTAGATTTAGATGATCACTTCTTAGTGTTTGTATAAAATTTACTTTATTTTTTATTATAACATGAAGTTCGCTTTCCACCTTTATACTATGAAAAATGCCGTGTCTCACAATAGGGACATACCTGTGTTAAAGTATATGGAAGTAAATCAGCCACAATAGCAAACATTGCCTGCATGGACTCACCCAAAAATGCCTTTCTCGGCCTGCCATTGATCTGAACCTCATTTCTACCTTGCATTGTCTGCAATTAGAGTCACTAAGGAAGTAGATAAAGATTTTTACTTGGAAAATGTCACTTTTTAATGTTTTAATAATTAATTCGTTCAAGATACTCAACAAATGCTCACTGAGTTTCTAGTACGGTCCTGGTTCTGTACAGGCACTGAGGTTAAAGTTGTGAATAAAGCAGACACAACCCTGCTCTCATGGGCTTTCCATTGTAAGAAAAAAGTAAATAAACAAACCAATGAAACCAGTATTGTAGCTGACACATGTTATGCACAAAACCAAACAAGGTGAGGTAAGGAAAGATATTTAAGAAGAGTGTGCTGGTGAAGGCCACTCAGGGGCAGATGTTTGGGTTGATGCTGAATAAGGAGAAGAAAGGAGTCATGGGAAAACCTGTGAGAACTGTGTCTGGGGCAGAAGGCAAAGTAGGTGTAAAGGCCCTGTGGCAGGAATAAGTTTATTTTATTCAGAGAACAGAAGGCCAGGTGGCTAAAACAGAGTGAGTTAAAGGGAGGAGATAAACATACATCATGTTTTGGGGAGTCCAGTAGGCTCTGGTAAAGAGTTTATATTTTCTCCTAAATAGACTAAGAAGTCATTTTAAAACTGTAAGCAGAAACTAGCTGCGCGCAGTGGCTCATGCCTGTAATCTCAGCACTTTGGGAGGCTGAGGTGGGTGGATCACCTTAAGTCAGGAGTTTGAGACCAGCCTGGCCAACATGGTGAAACCCCATCTCTTCTAAAAATACAAAAATTAGCTGAGCACGGTGGAGCGTGCCTGTAATGCCAGCTACTGAGGAGGCTGAGGAAGGAGAATCGCTTGAACCCAGGAGTCGGAGCCTGCAGTGAGCCAAGATCGCGCCACTGCACTCCAGCCTGGATGACAGAGCAAGACTCCTTCTCAAAATAAATAAATAAATAAAAATACATCACAAATTTAATAAATAAATAAATAACTGTAAGCAGAAGCTGATACAATTTAATACATGTTTTATGAGGACTTCACTATGAAAACTGGACCCTGCGTACAAGAATGGAAAAAAGAAAGTAACACAGACAGAAGGCCACATAATTGGAGCTAGAATAATAAGAGTGGATAAGCTGAGAAGTGCATAGATTTAGACAAATATTGGAAGCGGGGTTTTTGGGATTTGTTAATGGATTGGAAATTTGGGAGACGGAAGAAAGATGATAGCGAGGTTTGGTGGGATGATAGTGTCACTAAGTGAGAAAAGGAATTCTGAGAGAGGAGCAGGCCTGGCGGAGGGTCCCTGGGATTGATTAGAAATCAGTGGTTTTGTTAACTGTGAGATGCTTGTTAGATGCCCAAGAGGGATGTGCAGAACTCAGGGAGACCACACAACTGGAGGTGTATGTTTGTAAGCATCAGCACGTGGATAGTATTTAAGCCCTGAGATTGTATAAGGTTGTCACCTTTCCTTTAGAGTATAAATTCACACCAAAACTATTGGTGGAGATGATAGGACAAGGGAATCATACAAAAAAAATTGTACTGCAAAAAGCTATGAATGAATAAAACATTTTATTAAATGTATTTGGCACCTTGTATATACCTAGTTGATCTAGGACAGAGAAGATACTTAGTAACATTCATTTTTTCTTACTGTAAGAATAATGACCCAGGAGGCGGAGGCTGCAGTGAGCTGAGATCAGGCCACTGCACTCTAGCTCTAGCAGACAGAGTGAGACTCCGTCTCAAAAAAAAAAAAAAAAAAAAGAATAATGAATGCTCATCAGAGGGAATTGAATTTTATTATTCTAGGAAATCTGATGGAAAAAGTGAAAAATAAATATTGATACCATTTATAAAACAATGAAAAGACTTATAAGAGAAGCCATCTAGGCTTTTCTCTATACTTAATTATACATATAAATACATCAGTACTTTACTTCAAAAAATAAGATCATAGGGTACATTTGATTTTATGATCTGAACTGCTCACCTGACCACACAAAACAAATACTTTACCATGACATTAAATAGTCTGCTATCTGGTTGTTAGTGCTGGCATACTATTCTATCATATGGAAAAATTACAGTTTTCCTTCACCCAGTCACCGAAAGTTGGATATTTAGGATGCGACCAGTTTTTCATGATAATAAAGACTAATAGGAATAGCAGTAGACATAAGATGTTTTTGGCATCTTTTTTTTCTTGTAATACGTTCTACATATTGAAACTAATAATTGTATTTTGCTACATATTGCCACGTTTTTCTCAAGGAAAATTATAGCTAACAGAAAGTGTCAGCTTTCTCTGTGTGTTAAGGGTGTGGGTGGAAGCTCGGCAGTGACGCTGAGACATATTGGTATGGAACATCATTGGACTCTCTAGAGATCAAGGTAGCAGTCCTGTAGAAATGTTAGCCCGAGCTGTGTGTCACCTGGGAGTACTCCAAGGACGGCCAAAAGAAATATTTTAGTTAGAAGACAATTTATAAGAAAAGTTTAGAGGCTTCCTAGAGAGGTCATAGCATACACAATTTTATTTCATCCTTTAGGGCAAGCCGTATATATATGTTCTGCGCACATCTCCTCCTGCACCCTCCTCAAAAAAAAAAAAAAAAAAAAAAAAAAAAAGCTGAGATCTGATGTAAATAGATAGCTGTGAATTATAGCTTGGTCCTTAAGGAATATCTCAGAAACTTCAATGTTCCTTCACCCCCTCCGCAAACCCTTCTGAATTGAGAATGGGAACCTTGGCAACAGAGGGGAGTCATGCACCTCCCTTTTCCATCTGTGACTCTGGCATCTTCCTCCAGGTCAGCCATGGTGCAAACTCTCACAGTTACTTTCTGGCAGTTTCCTGCATTCCAAACCTGTTTCTGAAATGGGCAATATTTGTCCCCTTGAAAATCACCTGTGATAAATGTGGTATAGCCCACGGCCAGTGAAAATTTTCCTACAGGGAGACATATTCCTAAGTGTTAACATTAACTTTTTCAGATGTTTGAGTCAGACTCAATTGCCCTTTCATATTATAGATTGAAAACAACACTTGGTTGATGTTAGTATATCTGATTGAGGAAATATGAGAGCCTTTTTAATTTAGATTTGCTCGCCTAGAAAACTCACTTTGAAACTTCTTGGTCATGTTATGTTTGCTTATGGCAAAGTTATCAGCAAAAAAGTCACTGTTATGCAGCAATTTATCTTTAAACACTAAATGACATCTATCATTTTTCAAAGAAAATAGTGTCAGCAGTTAAAATCCTAACTGCTTGAGCACTGTTAGTTGACAATTATAATGCCCCATTGCTTAGAAATTAATTGACCTACTTTCAATAAGAAACATAAAAAGTAATATCACAGCAATTTTCTGGATCTATTTTATTCCAAAACCAATAAATGTTACAGTGTTGTTAAAAGTAATAGATTTAAAAACATTTTATTTTCTTAAACTTAACAATTCAAATAACATAAAATAATATTACGTTTCTATTAAGTATTCATTTTTATACAGACCAAAAGTTCTTTAGAAAATGTCTTCATGTATAATATAAATTTGATTTTTAGATGTGAGAAAAGCAACAATCATAATCGTTGCCTAAATCCACAAAATAAGTAGATATTCTATAATATGTATTTCAGTAATCACAATGTATTGGATTCAGGCAGAGATGAGAGACACTCTGATTTTAGCAGAAAAAGACTGTGTTAAATTACCTCTTTGCCTTTTCTCACTCTGTTCCTAGGATAGCAATATAATAAATAGTAACTTTAGAACTGGGATACACTGAGAAAATGTCCTAATTTAAATCTCAATAGATGATTACACAGGTAGTGTTTACACACACACACACACACACAATGACAGGAGTTTTTAAAGATATTAGTATCTCGGAATTTTTGAATTCTGAAAACTGTCCAAGCTTTTATCATTAAATCACTTGTTATGAAACCCATTTTAGAAACACGCTTTCCTATTTTTAATAGCCTATGATAGTCATACAGAATGAGTTAATCAAAATTGATTGGTCAATTGCTAATTGCAAATTCTTTGACCGTAGCATGTCAGCTGATTCTATGAACTTCTACAGACTCTTTCCCTTGGTCCGGGAGTTGCCACAACACTCTGACTCCTTTCCCCACAACTCCATTACATGATATTGTCACCTCCCCAGGCTTACGATACTAATATTCCAGAGAGATGAACAGTCCTTGATTTTGAATAGCAATGCAGTAGTGACCAAAACAGATTTAGTTTTGGTTCAGAAGAAAGTGCTGGATATGCCCTCAGTAACTTTCCATGGTCATCTAATTCAGCAATTAGTTTGAGTAAATTCAATGGAAGGCTGCTTTCTGGAATGGGTAGTGTAATGTACTGACTTCCCTATTAGACATTTCATTTAAAAAAATCAATTGTCCGCATAAAACAACCATTTCAATCAGTGTACATTCAACTGGAAAGGAAAGTTAGAGGACTTTTTTTGAAAGTAATGGGATTGGGGTTGGCCGTTGCTAATTTCTTTTTGATTAAAGCGTATGTAATTGTTTTGTGTTGGATAAAAATTTGACTTTTTATTTGCGCGGATGCTGCTGATCTTATATGTTATCATTTCCCATTCAGACTTGAGCTGTTTACCTGCCGGGTTTTCTGTTCATAAAATGTTGAAAGGACGTTAAAATGTAGAACTTTTACATTTTTTATTTAGGTGACTAGGACAAATTCTGGTAATTTGTAGGCTACAACTTAAATGTATTTCTGCTTAAAATATTTTGAAATATGGTTTATTTCACAAATGAGGTTCCAAACTATAACCAGCTCTCACTAAATTCTTATTTATTTATTTATTTATTTATTTATTTTGAGACGGAGTCTTTCTCTGTCACCCAGGCTGGAGGGCAGTGGCCGGATCTCGGCTCACCGCAAGCTCCGCCTCCCGGGTTCACGCCATCCTCCTGCCCCAGCCTCCTGAGTAGCTGGGACTACAGGCGCCCGCCACCACGCCCAGCTCATTTTTTGTATTTTTAGTAGAGATGGGGTTTCCCCGTGTTAGCCAGGATGGTCTGGATCTCCTGACCTCGTGATCCGCCCGCCTCGGCCTCCCAAAGTGCTGGGATTACAGGCGTGAGCCACCGCGCCCAGCCAAAAGATCATTTTTAAATTATGTATCTGGGAATATATTATCAAACCAGGCCTGAAACTTATTAAAAAGATGGTAAAATCTAATTTAACTTCATTTAATACTCCTTTTCTCTTAGTCTTATAAAAGCAAATGAGCTTGTTGGCTTTTCATTATGAAAATATAATTTTAATTTATAAGACATATGTAACAAAGCAAGATAGCTGCTAAATTCACTCTATCCTAATAACTTCTGGTACCCACCTGTGGTCCCAGCTGTTTGGGAGGCTGAGGTGGGAGGATCCTGTGAGCTGGGGAAGTTGAGGCCGCAGTGAGCTAAGATCGGGCCCCTGCACTCCACCCTGGGCAACAGAGTGAGACCCTGTCTGAAAATAAAAAAAAATAAAAAACGGGGTTGAGAGACAAAAAAGGACATCCTTTTTTTTATTATTGTATTTTGAGATGGAGTTTCGCTCGTTGCCCAGGCTGGAGTGCAATCGTGTGATCTTGGCTCACTGCAACCTCCGCCTCCCGGGTTCAAGTGATTGTCGTGCCTCAGGCTCCCGAGTAGCTGGCATTACATGTGCCTGCCATCACGCCCAGCTAATTTTTGTATTTTGATACAGACGGGGTTTCACCATGTTGGCCAGGGTGGTCCCCAACTACTGACCTCAGGTGATCCACCTGCCTTGGCCTCCCAAAGTGCTGGGATTACAGACATGAGCCACCGCGCCAGCCGAAACCTTCATTTTAGAAAAGGCTGGGTCAGGCATCATGCCTCATGCCTGTAATCCCAGCACTTTGAGAGGGCAACGCAGGCGGATCACCTGACGTCAGGAGTTCGAGACCAGACTGACCAACATGTTGAAACCCCGTCTCTACCAAAAATATAAAAATTAGCCGGGTGTGGTGGCACACACCTGTAATCCCAGCTACTCAGGAGGCTGAGGCAGGAGAATTGCCTGAATCTGGGAGGCGGAGGTTGCAGTGAGCCGAGATTGTGCTACCACACTGCAGCCAGGATGACAGAGTGAGACGCCATCTCAAAAAATAAATAAAGGCTGGGTGCCAGATGTGGTGCATAGGCCTAGTTTGTTGACTCCTGTACTTAACATATAAAACTCTAAAGAACAGTGGGAAGGAGCTTCCCTCTAGAGGCACAGGAGCGGCCAAGTTGGTCCCTGAGCAGTGACTTCATAATAACATGTTACACTGTGTTTTTTGTTTTTGTTTTGTTTTTTGTTTGTTTGAGACGGAGTTTTGCTCTTGTTGCCCAGGCTGGAGTACAATGGCGTGATCTCAGCTCAAAACAACCTCTACCTCCCAGATTCAAGTGATTCCCCTGCCTCAGCCTCCAAAGTGGCTGGGATTTCAGTCATGCAACACCACGCCCAGCTAATTTTGTACTTTTAGTAGGGATGGGGTTTCTCCATGTTGGTCAGGCTGGTCTCGAACTCCTGACCTCAAGTGATCTGCCCGCCTCGGCCTCCCAAAGTTCTGGGATTACAGGCGTGAGCCACCACACCCGGCCTATTTTTTTTTTTTTTTTTTTTTAGACACAGTCTGACTCCGTTGCCCAGGCTGGAGTGCAGTAGCGCGATCTTGGTTCACTGTAACTTCTGCCTCCCTGGTTCAAGCGATTCTCCTGCCTCAGCCTCCCAAGTAGCTGGGATTACAGGCATGCACCACCACATCCGACTAATTTTTGTATTTTTAGTAGAGATGGGGTTTCACCATGTTGGCCAGGCTGGTCTCAAACTCCTCACCTCAAGTAATCCGCCCGCCTCGGCCTCCCAAAGTGCTGGGATTACAAGGCGTGACCCACCGGGCCTGGCCCTGTGTGTTGTTTTATGTATGTTTCTATACGTGTTATATTTCACAATAAACTAAATATTAAAACAAAGAATAACTGATAGCTATGCACAAAGGTATTTAAATTTCACCTTCACAATTTTTTTTTTTTTTGAGACAGGATCTCACTCTGTTACCCAGGCTGGAGTGCAGTGGCACCACCTTGGTTCACTGCAGCCTTGACCTCCCAGGCCCAAGCGATCCTTCTACCTCAGCCTCCTGAGTAGCTGGGACTACAGGCACACTCCACCACACCCACCTAATTTTTGTATTTTTGGTAAAGATGAGGTTTCACCATGTTCACCATGAAGCCCCTGCCTCATTCCCAAGTTCTCTCCTTTTCCACTGCCAGTACTTGGAAGGTTATGTGCCATGTGTGTCATAGGTTAAGGCTAGAGGAGTTTATTCTGACTGACATTGAACTTTATGGGAGCAACCAACAAACTTTGGTTTGGTTGAGCCACTGAGAATTCCAGTTTAGTATCTTCTTGTTGCTACTGCTGTTTACCAACACAGTGGGATTTCTACAGGGCTCCAGCGGGCAGAGAAATTCCATGTGAACAAGAATGTCTCATGTTGGGCTTCTGTATAAATTGTGCTGATGAAAAATGTTAAGCTGATAAAAATTTTAGAAATTCATTGCTCCACACTGTATCGATGCTATTTTTGTCTCAGTTGAAGCCATCCTAAAATTATATATTTAGATCATACTATCTTCAATAGAATTGTTTTTACCGAGTTGCTTTTTGACGTTATAGATGAGCCTTTTGTAATTCACAACTGAGTTTATACACAAATGTTATTGAGTCTATTGCCCACCATGTTAGAGAGGTTTATGAGAGCTCAATGCAGAAATGCCTCTGAAGTGGGAAAATCTGTCATTTCTCTGAAGAAACTATTATAGTTTTAACAGAATGAGTGATGGAAAATAATAATATAGAAAATCATATGAAGGAGTAAGAAAGATGGGGCACTATTAAAGGGATTATTTGATGGCAATAAGGATGAAAATGTGTCATTGAAATTCTTAGGTTTCACATAGAAATTGCACCGGTTTATCCTAGCAGACATTTTGTTTAGAAGTTTTTAAGAAAATAAATTTCTGAATCATGGTTTACACTGTTTTAGGTCATTGGAACTAGTAAAAATGTTTCACTATGCAGACTATTAGTCAACATTTAAATCATGCTTTTCAATAAAGAATGTCAAATTGTGAGAGGAGAATTAATAAACCTAATTGTTACAGTCACTGAGCTGACATGTTGAAGTGCCTGGAAAATTTCTCACATGAATAATGGGTGAAGAGTCAAAGAATGTTTCACTTGGGGAAAAGAAGACCTGCCGGGTTTTGGAAAGGGTATGTGTATGCATTTAGTATTGTTTAGTGTGGTAGCTCTGTGGTCCTGACCTTCACATATTTATTGGGCTGCCATGTGTTAGGTGGAAACACAAAACTGTCATTTTTTTGTAGGACAAAAAAGGCTGAATACTGACAATTTCATATGGTTCCACCTAATAGAATAGGAAACAGAGTTATCTCTGAATTGTTTATCTAAGGTAGAATTTGGGGAAGTACTTACAATTTATAAAAATTAAATTTTAGACTAAAATATATAGATATATCTAGAGTTGTTCAAAAATGAAAATAGAGCTGAAATATCAAGTGCTATAATGGAGTTCATATGAGAATTCCATGCTTTATATTTGAGGTTGGATATGTGCTTTTTCTTTATCCCTTTCATTTATATGGATCTAATCTTCTATAATGCTTCAAACATTTTGACAGAGATCTTCTTTGGTGTTCTTTTTTCTCTTGATTTAAAAATCTGCTTTACAACCAAACAGTAAGATTAAACAAAACCAAACAATGCCCATGGCTTCATGGTCACTCTACCCATCTACAAAGGCCTTGTGCATGGCCTATTATGGTCATCTTGAAATTCTTTGTAAGTTTTTATCAAAGGGTTCTACATTTTCACTTTTTACTGGGCCCTGAAAATTATGCACCCAATCCTCAATCCTTGGTCTTCTTAAATTTGCATGCAGATTAGAATTATAAAGGTACATCAATTCTAGGCCATCAAAGGCTAGCTTATAACTCAAATTACATTTGGGAATTGTTCTTACGTAACAGCATTTATTGCTCCAAAGATCATTGTGTAATAACTACTAAATAATCTATATGAATGTACATTTGGAAAACCATGAAAACTTTCTGAAAGAGCTCTGCTGTTTTATGTAACAATCATAAAATATTTCCAAAGGCATAAATAAAAATAATTACAACAGAAAATCTGAGAGACAAAAAGAAAATCTATGATAATATACCAATGCAATTTATTGAAAATAGATACACATGGAACAAAGAATAAAGGAACAGCAGGAAAATGTGCCACTATTGTGGTTACAGCTTCGAGGCAACACATTAAAATGCCAACCAGACACAGGTGGCAACAGATGTATCTACCACCAAAAAATAAAGTTAAATTAAATCAAGTGAAAAATTTCAAATGAAGTAACTGTTCAATGAAAAGGAAAAAAGAATAAAAATCACATCTGCTTACATGGCAATGAAAGGTGAAAGAGTCTGCTAAAAGTTTATGTTGAAAATTAAGATGGAGGTAATCTATGCACACTCATCCAAAAATAGAAAACAAGGAATTAGTGGACCAATGCCAATGTTAATTTTGAAGACCTCAAAAAGAAGAAAATTAAGATATGGTTGATAGGTTCTCTACAATATAGCAAGAAAACTCTGCCCAAATTCTAAAGGATACAAAGTCTACTCAATTTAATAACAAATGGCACGTTTCTGTTTCTTAAAAGACATATGCAGAATCTGTGAGTGCATTTTCTACTTTAGGGACCATTTGAATTAAAATCCTTAAGTTCTTATGAATGTTTGAGAAATACATACAGTAAATGAATAAAGCCCATAGTTATTTAAGGATAACATTTAAAATTATTTCCTAAATATTTAATATTAAAATAATAGTACATGCCGTCCAGTCATAATCAAAAAAGCCAAAGTGATTATGGAGTATTGAGGCTGAAAAGAGTTAGATCTAAACCAACCTCTTCTGGACTTCACTGTCAAGGAGAAGAATTGAGAGGAAAATTTTCAAAAAACATGTATATTTGTGAGATTGGTGATGAGAAAAAACCTGTGAAATATTGCCATTTCTTTGGAGTAAAAATTTTAAATGATTGGTTAGCACGATGTCCCTTTCTCGTCACACTCACATCTTTCTGATTTGCTCCTCACATCTCGGGCATGCTGAGGCTATAATGCCTTTCCATCTACCTTAGGTTTACTATTTTAAAATTGGTTTTTGATGTTGTGAACATGAAGTGTGTATTAATACAGGAGAATGGGGTGTGTATTTCTGAAAGTCCAGAGTTGTAGTGGCAAAGAAGAGATTTCTGGAGTCCCCTGCGTGCCTGCTTACAGAGGTTTCCTTCCTGACATTGTCAAATTCCAGAATTCTTGCCCTGGCTCCATTTTAAAGCCCAGAGCACAGTTAAGTGTCTTTTCCTGACCCTCATTTATACTACCATGAGGCTCCTTTGTAACATGAAATGTGCAATGTGACCAATTGTTGGCTGCCCAAACAAGCATATGTTAGGACTTTTCACTCTGGCCCCCTATACTGACACATCATTCACATTTAGTAAAGGAAGGTGCACTCTGCTAAACTCACCACATTCTTTACTTTATGGAGTCATAAGAGATATTCCACTAAGTCCTTTTGCTTGATCCCACAGAGACCATCCTATGAAAACTGAATTAATATGAAAGCAGGTAGAGTGAATATTCATTTAAGTCATTTACAACAACATCAAATAGTGTCTCCAAGTGGAACAGATAAGTAGAGACCAATTTGGCAGGAGATAGGATGGGGAAAGAGAGTGGCTGATGCATGCTGAGAAGTAGGAGGAACAGTCCAGTTTTTAAAACATTGTTCTTCTTGTTAAGAGTCTGTTTATCAGATTAAACACAGTCAAGCGGTCAGCTGAGTCTAATAATTCAGCAACTGAGAACAGATGGAGAAAACCTGGATATGTGTCTGTGTGTACACTCACATGCAAAATCAGTTGCCCTGACTTTATCTTACTTACATCCATCTATTTATTGATTTTGATAGGAAGAGTATGTATTTTAGATACCTCAAGAATATCTCCTGAAATACTTCCATGTTCTTGCCTTTTGAAGAATCTTTTTAAAGAAGAAAAATAATTATTAGCAAAGAATCCACATTCCCAATGGCTCCATTTTCATCTCCTTAATCCAGTGTTAAAATTCATGGCTTGGGAAAAGTGGGATGTTTACAATGCCTATCTATACCATTTATCTATACCATTCGTTTTAATAGCCTGTTCACTTGAACAATTTCTAAGTATGTGGCAAAAGAAACTAAACTAAAATAATAATGCGTTATATTTGAAAACATCAGTATCCTGTACACAAAACTTCCATAAGTAATTCTTCCTAGATTGAGACTAGAACTAATCCATTTCCAAAATCATCTACATTTTTCTGAAGACAAAAAAAAATGTGGCTACAGATAATTGCCATAGGCTGCAAATATTCTAATTCATCTGATATTTCTCTCCTGTTGCATGTTGTATAGATAAATATAATGCATCAATATTAGGATAGCAGGTATTTTATTAAATGTTAATGCAGAATTCTAAATTTTCTAGATTTCACAGAAAAGCAAGCTACCGATAATAAGTAGTATTTAAAGAGAACTCTTATCTACTACAATCAATTGAGAAATCCAGGATATTAAGACCACAAAAATGATTGTTTAGATGATTTAATTATAGCACAACAGGCTTTTCTGCTGATAATGTTATAATGATGTTTTCATAACCCAATCTCAACAAACATAACTAGAGTACAAATGATGAGCACAAAAATCCATCTCATTTGTAGCTCAGACTAGTATTTCAAGTGTAATTTCTCTATTACTAATTTAGTCTGATTTTTATAATTCATCAGAATAAATCAATAACTGACTTAGAAATCACTTCTATGATTTTAAGTAATTTTCCACAGAAACATTAACAATACCACAAGCATTAAAATGTTGAGAAATATTTGTGTATGATGATGTCAGTGCATGTTCCTTTCCTCAGCTAATAAATTCTAGTATAAAGTTTTCAGATCTGTACACAAAAATGGATCATAAAAATATAATCATGGTAGAAACTATGTAGCAATTTTATGAATGTGGAGAAAGAGTTCAAATAGTACTTTTGTACTGTACTGTGTCCATGCAAAGCTTCATTCAAACAAACAAAAACAATACTGAATTTATTATGTTAAAATCTTTAAGGACACTCTGGTAGATGAGATCATTTTCCTGCATTTGTTCACACTCTCTCCTATCTCCATCTCTAAGGGACAGATATAATTCCCCACTCCTTGACTTTGATCCTTGCTGTGTGACTCTGCTTAAGCCAAAGGGGTATCTTAGAGGATTTAAGGCAACAGAAGCCTGGCATGTTTTTGCACAGGCAGGTTGCACTCCTGACTTTGGCCACAACAATAACATGCTTCAAGTACCCGGGAGGGCTGAGGAGGATCACAAATACATGGAACAGATCTGGACACCAGCTGCAGCTTCAAGCCAATGCTAGCCAAGCCCAGCCTACATCAGCTGAATTGCGTCTGACCAGCGGTGCATGAACAAGGAAGGCAACGCGTGGACCTGGGCCAGATGAGCAGCTTCTACATTGGCCTGTGTTCCCGCCTCCACTGCAACATCTTCTCCTACGACTACTCCGGCTACGGTGCCAGCTCGGGCAGGCCCTCCGAGACGAACCTCTACGCCGACATCGACGCCGCCCGGCAGGCCCTGCGCACCAGGTGAGGGCGACCCCGGGGGCAGCTCAGCCTGGGCACACCGGAGAGGGGACCAGGCCGGGGGCCGGGGGGAAGGGCGGGCTTCCCTGGGAGGAAGGTGGGCGGCCCTGCAGGAGAGGAGCCACAGTGGACGCATGCGGCCAGAGAGCCGGAAAGGTGAGCTCAGGCGTGCGGGTGCCGCCTCCACATGGCTGAGGTGTGGCCAGGTCCCCCCACACCCTGGCCTGTGGAGCCAGGCTCTCTGGGATCCCCTGGCCTGAGGACAGGAAGGGGCTGAGCTTGTCACAGGGGCGTGGACGCCACCCGGCGGGAGGGGGTGGGTGGTGTCTGGGGGGGGTCTGTGCACGTGTGGCTGGGAGCCCAATGGCCGAGGCAGCACTTGGGGCCAGGTGAGGCGAGGCTGCTGCATCGAGGTCCCGAGGCCTGGCCCATGAGGCCCTGTGGCTGTGGAGCTCGGCCATCCCGGGGCAGGGCCTGCTGGGTCAGGTGCAGACCCCCAGCACACACCTGAGGTCTGGGCCAGCCTCCATTCCAGATCCAGCCCTCCTAAACATCCAGCTCCCCAGCCCTGCGCTTTCCTGGGCCCTTCACTGGTGTTTGAGCACCGCCCACCGCCCGGGCCAGTGCTGCTCTGGATCAGAAGACCCGCGTGGGCCTCTGGAGGCCTTTCCTGCTTGCCACCCGCTGGGGCTGTCTCGTCCTGGCCCTGCCCCCCACTGGTCTGCCCCGCTCCTGCAGGGGCCAGGCGCAGCTCTGAGAAGTCAGAGGCCCTGGGGAGGTGGGGTCCTCGATGCCTTGGCGATATCCCAGGCAGTCCCTTCTGTGGGCCTGGGAGCTGGGTCCCCTGGCACCACCCTGGCTCTGGGGGCCTCCTGGCAGTGTGGGCGCAGAAACCAAGCACCACTTCATGCAGCTTCCTCGGCCCCCTCCTGTCTCTACTGCCCAGGGCACTGGCAGAGTCACACCCGCCATGGCCAGCTCTGAGCTCTGTCTGCTCGGCCATCTGTCCTGCTGCTGCTTTGTCCTGCAGGAACCTCGGCCCAGAGCCATGAGGGGGAGGCCAGATCGCGCTCAGGGCCTCCACTGAGGATGTGTCTTGTTTGATTGTCTGAGTGGTGACATCCAGGTGGCAGCTGGGGGTCCTGCCTGGAGCAGGTGACAGGGCTGGGCTGGCTCAGCACACTACTGGCCTTGGCTGCCAGGGAGCAGGCCAAGGAGGCTGAGGCAGAGCTGGGGCCACAGGCACCAGCCAGGCAGCATCCTTTGGGGCATGGGTGAACAGTGAGCTGTGGAGTGCTGCCAGGAGGCTGGGATTCCAGGCCAAGGAGGGGTACAGCCCTGCTGGTGGAGTCCGAATGCCAGGCAGATGGGACGCACACCTGCCCATGCTCCTGCCTCGCAGGAGGGCATCTGCCTGGGATCAGAGCCTGGAGCGTGTGGGAGGAGAGTTCTGGGGTTGCGGCATCGACAGGGTGGCAGGTGGGTCCCGCGTGGTTGGGACTGGGCACGAGGAGGCCTTGGTACTGGTGCTGGACCAGCTGGGCCAGGGGCCGCACACCAGTGACCTGGCGGTGGGGGTGGCCCTGGGTGGGAGCTGGTGGTGCTGAGGTGGCCGAGGACTTGTCCACTCCCAAGGGAAGGCGCTGGTGGGAGGAGGTGCTGCCCCCGCAGCCGCCACCCTCGATGTTGACCTGGGTTGGGCTGGCACCTCATTGAGCATGGGACTCCGAGAGTCCAAAATTGGGTGGAGACATGTGGGGACACAGCTGCCTGAATTCCTCATGGCCAAGGGGGTGGGCAAGGGCTGCAGGGAGGAAGAGTGTACCCTGTTCCGGCCAGTGCACCAGGAACGGCTTTCTAACCTGGGCAGGAAGGCATGAAGCATTCAGGATGTGGGGGGGCACACAGTTCCCAGTGTGCGCCCAGGGATGACCAGGAGAAGGAGAGGCGCCAGGGCTTCCCCTACCCTAGCCCGAGGGGGACTCCCTAGCCAGGATCCAGCAGATCCTGGCTAGGAAACGCCAGTGAACCATAGCGCCAGGGAACAGGACCAGGCCGCCGGCTCCGCCCACCGCTGCGGTCTTGGGGGACTGGGGGTGGCCCTTGGGACTGCTGTGGAGCCTGGGCCTGACCCACTGACTAGGCTGAGCCGGGAGACTGGAGAGTCGCATCTGGAGCTGGGCCCGGGGACGCCCGCTGGCGGGAGGGGTGCGCGCGAGTCGGAGGCCGCGGCTGACCCTGCTCCGGTGCCGCCAGGTACCGCATCAGCCCGGACAGCATCATCCTGTACCGGCAGAGCATCGGCACGGTGCCCACCGTGGACCTGGCCTCGCGCTACGAGTCCGCCGCGGTGGTGCTGCACTCGCCGCTCACCTTGGACCTGAGCGTCGCCTTCCCGACACCAAGACGACCTACTGCTTCGACGCCTTCCCCAAGTGAGCAGGCTGGGGCAGGGACAGGGGCGGGGACGGGGACTGGGTCGGGGACTGGGGCGGGGCGGGGCCCGGGCCCGGAGAGGTCTCACCCGCCCCACGCCCCTCCCGCAGAATCCAGAAGGTGTCCAAGATCACGTCGCCCGTGCTCATTATCCACGGCACGAAAGACGAGGTGATCGACTTCTCGCAGGGGCTGGCGCTCTAGGAGCGCTGCCCCAAGGCCGTGGAGCCGCTGTGGGTGGAGGGCGCCGGGCACAAAGACATCCAGCTCTACAGCCAGTACCTGGAGCGCCTGCGCCGCTTCATCTCCCAGGAGCTGCGCAGCCAGAGCGCCTAGCGGCCGCCGGGGCCCCAACCGGCCGGACTTCAGCAATAAGGCGGCCCCCGGACCTCACCCCGCACCGGCCTCCCGGGGGCTGCATGTGGACCCCCAGGTGGCCCGGGGGACCCCGCCCGGATCCAGGGGCCGTGGACGGTGTACAACAGAGCTACCCACTCCTTTCCTTTTGGAAGCAAGAAGAAATATGTGAAAACGGAAATTAAAGATTAAAATTTTTTTTTTAAAAAACACAATGTTTATTAATATACTCCAAAGTTGTGTTCTTTTTTTTTTTTTTTTTTTGAAATGGAGTCTCACTCTGTTGCCCAGGCTGGAGTGCAGTGGCGCGATCTCAGCTTACTGCAACCTCCACCTCCCAGGTTCAAGCGATTCTCCTGCCTCAGCCTCCCGAGTAGCTGGGACTACAGGCGCGTGCCACCATGCCCAGCTAATTTTTTGTATTTTTAGTAGTTACGGGGTTTCACCGTGTTAGCCAGGATGGTCTCCATCTCCCGACCTCGTGATCCGCCCTCCTCGGCCTCCCAAAGTGCTAGGATTACAGGCGTGAGCCACCGTGCCCGGCCGTTTTGCACAGATTTTTTAATGCAGAATCATGTTGGCAATGGGTAATGGCTACCAAGGTGCCATCGTTCCACATTCCTGTTATTCAGTCATCACATCTACTATGTGTGAGCCATAATATCTTCTAAAATGAATTATAACTATGTTCGAATTGTTATTTCACTAAGTAATCTCTGCTACTTTAGTCTCTATTTCATCTCAACGGAATGCCTTCTGAGTTCCTATAATTGTGACTAATTCTCTGAGACAACATCAGCAGTATCACTATAAACTATGAAACCTACAAAGGGAATTTCCTCTTTTTCCTTTTTATTATAGAGATGCTTTTTTGTTTGTTTTCTGCAAGCAAGCACAGTCTTAATCAATTTTGTATGCCCATACCTAGGAGAGCCCCTGATTCATAATAAGACCTCAATAAGATTTGTTGAATAAAGTGAAAATAGGATTTTCAGCTTTCCCTCACCACTTTCTTCAAAACAGACTAGTTCATAACTGAAATAGGCATTGTTTCTAGAAAACGGTCACTCCAGCTGATCCCTTCGTTTAACCATTTTTGTACTCCCTGAATCTATGATGATACCTGGCACATAGTGGGTAAGTAATCAATATTTGTTCACTGAACTAATGGAAGGATGAGTGAATGAAACAATACAGGCATTTTAAAATTATAATTCAAAATTAACATATTACTTGTTATTAGAGTGATTTTAAACAGTTATGTTAAGTATATGATAATTAGGAAGATTTACTTTCCTGCTTCATTTAAATTTTAAATATAGTGATCAAGGTAATCATGATTTTCATTCATTTATTCAATAAATGCATATTTAATATTTTTTATCTCACATGATAGATTGCTCCTGGTCAAAGACATTACGATGGTATTACACATAAAGATTTGTTTTAAATTTACAGTATCTTGAAATTTTTCTCTTGTTAATCCACAAAGTATATTTATCCATTGGGAAATATACTTTTTAAAATGTCAGTTAATGATATTTTTATTTTCTATTTTATCTTATTATTATTGATACAAGATCTCACTATGTCACCCACTGCTGGAATGCAGTGGCATAATCATGGCTCACCACAACCTCAACCTCCCAGGCCCAGGTGATCCTCCTACCTCAGCCTCCTCAGTTGCTAGGACTACAGGTGCCCGCCACCTTGCCCGGCTAACTTTTTACTTTTTTTTTTTTTTTTTTGGTAGAGATGAGTTTTCACCATGTTGCCCAGGCTGGTCTTGAACTCCTGGGCTCAAGCAATCTGCCAGCCTCGGCCTCCCAAAGTGTTAGGATTACAGGCATGAGCCACCACTATGGGGCAGATAATGATATTTTTTCAGGAATCGGTAAAACATTGTCCTTCAATGAATTAGTGCAGAAGCATGAAAAAATCTATTCTGAGCAAATCTGTGAAACAGACATTGAAATTAGTATTCTAATAAGGCTTTTGTGCTGTTTGATGATATAAAATAATTTTGCTATGACAATACAGTTACTTAAATGAGAAGTATGAATAACTTGCTTTGATATGTTTGTGGTATGTTTCACTTCTTTTTTAAGAAGGGAAATTATTAAATTTAAACTCTCTATATATGTAAAGAGTGCACATCAAATATTTTAAAGCCCTGAAGAATTAGGTCTTCATTTCAAGAATTATTAAGTGTCTTAAGAACATATTTATTTTCTAGAAATGTTGAGCCTCTTCTTGGGTAATGTGATTCTTTTAAGCATTTTGAAAGGATTTTCTTATTACATTAAAAATGAATGTATGCAATAGGAAGTTACTAGGATAGAGTGAATTTAGCAGCTATCTTGCTTTGTTACATATGTCTTATAAATTAAAATTATATTTTCATAATTAAAAGCCAACAAGCTCATTTGCTTTTATAAGACTAAGAGAAAAGGAGTATTAAATGAAGTTAAATTAGATTTTACCATCTTTTTAATAAGTTTCAGGCCTGGTTTGATAATATATTCCCAGATACATAATTTAAAAATGATCTTTTGGCTGGGCGAGGTGGCTCACGCCTGTAATCCCAGCACTTTGGGAGGCCGAGGCGGGCGGATCACGAGGTCAGGAGATCCAGACCATCCTGGCTAACACGGGGAAACCCCGTCTCTACTAAAAATACAAAAAATGAGCTGGGCGTGGTGGCGGGCGCCTGTAGTCCCAGCTACTCAGGAGGCTGGGGCAGGAGGATGGCGTGAACCCGGGAGGCGGAGCTTGCGGTGAGCCGAGATCCGGCCACTGCCCTCCAGCCTGGGTGACAGAGAAAGACTCCGTCTCAAAATAAATAAATAAATAAATAAATAAATAAGAATTTAGTGAGAGCTGGTTATAGTTTGGAACCTCATTTGTGAAATAAACCATATTTCAAAATATTTTAAGCAGAAATACATTTAAGTTGTAGCCTACAAATTACCAGAATTTGTCCTAGTCACCTAAATAAAAAATGTAAAAGTTCTACATTTTAACGTCCTTTCAACATTTTATGAACAGAAAACCCGGCAGGTAAACAGCTCAAGTCTGAATGGGAAATGATAACATATAAGATCAGCAGCATCCGCGCAAATAAAAAGTCAAATTTTTATCCAACACAAAACAATTACATACGCTTTAATCAAAAAGAAATTAGCAACGGCCAACCCCAATCCCATTACTTTCAAAAAAAGTCCTCTAACTTTCCTTTCCAGTTGAATGTACACTGATTGAAATGGTTGTTTTATGCGGACAATTGATTTTTTTAAATGAAATGTCTAATAGGGAAGTCAGTACATTACACTACCCATTCCAGAAAGCAGCCTTCCATTGAATTTACTCAAACTAATTGCTGAATTAGATGACCATGGAAAGTTACTGAGGGCATATCCAGCACTTTCTTCTGAACCAAAACTAAATCTGTTTTGGTCACTACTGCATTGCTATTCAAAATCAAGGACTGTTCGTCTCTCTGGAATATTAGTATCGTAAGCCTGGGGAGGTGACAATATCATGTAATGGAGTTGTGGGGAAAGGAGTCAGAGTGTTGTGGCAATTCCCGGACCAAGGGAAAGAGTCTGTAGAAGTTCATAGAATCAGCTGACATGCTACGGTCAAAGAATTTGCAATTAGCAATTGACCAATCAATTTTGATTAACTCATTCTGTATGACTATCATAGGCTATTAAAAATAGGAAAGCGTGTTTCTAAAATGGGTTTCATAACAAGTGATTTAATGATAAAAGCTTGGACAGTTTTCAGAATTCAAAAATTCCGAGATACTAATATCTTTAAAAACTCCTGTCATTGTGTGTGTGTGTGTGTGTGTGTGTGTGTGTGTAAACACTACCTGTGTAATCATCTATTGAGATTTAAATTAGGACATTTTCTCAGTGTATCCCAGTTCTAAAGTTACTATTTATTATATTGCTATCCTAGGAACAGAGTGAGAAAAGGCAAAGAGGTAATTTAACACAGTCTTTTTCTGCTAAAATCAGAGTGTCTCTCATCTCTGCCTGAATCCAATACATTGTGATTACTGAAATACATATTATAGAATATCTACTTATTTTGTGGATTTAGGCAACGATTATGATTGTTGCTTTTCTCACATCTAAAAATCAAATTTATATTATACATGAAGACATTTTCTAAAGAACTTTTGGTCTGTATAAAAATGAATACTTAATAGAAACGTAATATTATTTTATGTTATTTGAATTGTTAAGTTTAAGAAAATAAAATGTTTTTAAATCTATTACTTTTAACAACACTGTAACATTTATTGGTTTTGGAATAAAATAGATCCAGAAAATTGCTGTGATATTACTTTTTATGTTTCTTATTGAAAGTAGGTCAATTAATTTCTAAGCAATGGGGCATTATAATTGTCAACTAACAGTGCTCAAGCAGTTAGGATTTTAACTGCTGACACTATTTTCTTTGAAAAATGATAGATGTCATTTAGTGTTTAAAGATAAATTGCTGCATAACAGTGACTTTTTTGCTGATAACTTTGCCATAAGCAAACATAACATGACCAAGAAGTTTCAAAGTGAGTTTTCTAGGCGAGCAAATCTAAATTAAAAAGGCTCTCATATTTCCTCAATCAGATATACTAACATCAACCAAGTGTTGTTTTCAATCTATAATATGAAAGGGCAATTGAGTCTGACTCAAACATCTGAAAAAGTTAATGTTAACACTTAGGAATATGTCTCCCTGTAGGAAAATTTTCACTGGCCGTGGGCTATACCACATTTATCACAGGTGATTTTCAAGGGGACAAATATTGCCCATTTCAGAAACAGGTTTGGAATGCAGGAAACTGCCAGAAAGTAACTGTGAGAGTTTGCACCATGGCTGACCTGGAGGAAGATGTCAGAGTCACAGATGGAAAAGGGAGGTGCATGACTCCCCTCTGTTGCCAAGGTTCCCATTCTCAATTCAGAAGGGTTTGCGGAGGGGGTGAAGGAACATTGAAGTTTCTGAGATATTCCTTAAGGACCAAGCTATAATTCACAGCTATCTATTTACATCAGATCTCAGCTTTTTTTTTTTTTTTTTTTTTTTTTTTTTGAGGAGGGTGCAGGAGGAGATGTGCGCAGAACATATATATACGGCTTGCCCTAAAGGATGAAATAAAATTGTGTATGCTATGACCTCTCTAGGAAGCCTCTAAACTTTTCTTATAAATTGTCTTCTAACTAAAATATTTCTTTTGGCCGTCCTTGGAGTACTCCCAGGTGACACACAGCTCGGGCTAACATTTCTACAGGACTGCTACCTTGATCTCTAGAGAGTCCAATGATGTTCCATACCAATATGTCTCAGCGTCACTGCCGAGCTTCCACCCACACCCTTAACACACAGAGAAAGCTGACACTTTCTGTTAGCTATAATTTTCCTTGAGAAAAACGTGGCAATATGTAGCAAAATACAATTATTAGTTTCAATATGTAGAACGTATTACAAGAAAAAAAAGATGCCAAAAACATCTTATGTCTACTGCTATTCCTATTAGTCTTTATTATCATGAAAAACTGGTCGCATCCTAAATATCCAACTTTCGGTGACTGGGTGAAGGAAAACTGTAATTTTTCCATATGATAGAATAGTATGCCAGCACTAACAACCAGAGAGCAGACTATTTAATGTCATGGTAAAGTATTTGTTTTGTGTGGTCAGGTGAGCAGTTCAGATCATAAAATCAAATGTACCCTATGATCTTATTTTTTGAAGTAAAGTACTGATGTATTTATATGTATAATTAAGTATAGAGAAAAGCCTAGATGGCTTCTCTTATAAGTCTTTTCATTGTTTTATAAATGGTATCAATATTTATTTTTCACTTTTTCCATCAGATTTCCTAGAATAATAAAATTCAATTCCCTCTGATGAGCATTCATTATTCTTTTTTTTTTTTTTTTTTGAGACGGAGTCTCACTCTGTCTGCTAGAGCTAGAGTGCAGTGGCCTGATCTCAGCTCACTGCAGCCTCCGCCTCCTGGGTCATTATTCTTACAGTAAGAAAAAATGAATGTTACTAAGTATCTTCTCTGTCCTAGATCAACTAGGTATATACAAGGTGCCAAATACATTTAATAAAATGTTTTATTCATTCATAGCTTTTTGCAGTACAATTTTTTTTGTATGATTCCCTTGTCCTATCATCTCCACCAATAGTTTTGGTGTGAATTTATACTCTAAAGGAAAGGTGACAACCTTATACAATCTCAGGGCTTAAATACTATCCACGTGCTGATGCTTACAAACATACACCTCCAGTTGTGTGGTCTCCCTGAGTTCTGCACATCCCTCTTGGGCATCTAACAAGCATCTCACAGTTAACAAAACCACTGATTTCTAATCAATCCCAGGGACCCTCCGCCAGGCCTGCTCCTCTCTCAGAATTCCTTTTCTCACTTAGTGACACTATCATCCCACCAAACCTCGCTATCATCTTTCTTCCGTCTCCCAAATTTCCAATCCATTAACAAATCCCAAAAACCCCGCTTCCAATATTTGTCTAAATCTATGCACTTCTCAGCTTATCCACTCTTATTATTCTAGCTCCAATTATGTGGCCTTCTGTCTGTGTTACTTTCTTTTTTCCATTCTTGTACGCAGGGTCCAGTTTTCATAGTGAAGTCCTCATAAAACATGTATTAAATTGTATCAGCTTCTGCTTACAGTTATTTATTTATTTATTAAATTTGTGATGTATTTTTATTTATTTATTTATTTTGAGAAGGAGTCTTGCTCTGTCATCCAGGCTGGAGTGCAGTGGCGCGATCTTGGCTCACTGCAGGCTCCGACTCCTGGGTTCAAGCGATTCTCCTTCCTCAGCCTCCTCAGTAGCTGGCATTACAGGCACGCTCCACCGTGCTCAGCTAATTTTTGTATTTTTAGAAGAGATGGGGTTTCACCATGTTGGCCAGGCTGGTCTCAAACTCCTGACTTAAGGTGATCCACCCACCTCAGCCTCCCAAAGTGCTGAGATTACAGGCATGAGCCACTGCGCGCAGCTAGTTTCTGCTTACAGTTTTAAAATGACTTCTTAGTCTATTTAGGAGAAAATATAAACTCTTTACCAGAGCCTACTGGACTCCCCAAAACATGATGTATGTTTATCTCCTCCCTTTAACTCACTCTGTTTTAGCCACCTGGCCTTCTGTTCTCTGAATAAAATAAACTTATTCCTGCCACAGGGCCTTTACACCTACTTTGCCTTCTGCCCCAGACACAGTTCTCACAGGTTTTCCCATGACTCCTTTCTTCTCCTTATTCAGCATCAACCCAAACATCTGCCCCTGAGTGGCCTTCACCAGCACACTCTTCTTAAATATCTTTCCTTACCTCACCTTGTTTGGTTTTGTGCATAACATGTGTCAGCTACAATACTGGTTTCATTGGTTTGTTTATTTACTTTTTTCTTACAATGGAAAGCCCATGAGAGCAGGGTTGTGTCTGCTTTATTCACAACTTTAACCTCAGTGCCTGTACAGAACCAGGACCGTACTAGAAACTCAGTGAGCATTTGTTGAGTATCTTGAACGAATTAATTATTAAAACATTAAAAAGTGACATTTTCCAAGTAAAAATCTTTATCTACTTCCTTAGTGACTCTAATTGCAGACAATGCAAGGTAGAAATGAGGTTCAGATCAATGGCAGGCCGAGAAAGGCATTTTTGGGTGAGTCCATGCAGGCAATGTTTGCTATTGTGGCTGATTTACTTCCATATACTTTAACACAGGTATGTCCCTATTGTGAGACACGGCATTTTTCATAGTATAAAGGTGGAAAGCGAACTTCATGTTATAATAAAAAATAAAGTAAATTTTATACAAACACTAAGAAGTGATCATCTAAATCTACAGTTTAGAATCTGAAACCTATTCCTATGTTGACATCTTCCATGGCCCTACTCCTTAATTAATAAATTCTGACTTACAGAAGGCTATTTTCTGAATCCTTTCATAGCTGACATTGTGGTGGGTGCTGTTAGCCATCCCTTGATACTGACAGCACAATGGCCATCCCTGCCAGGGCACGCGTACACCATCAGTAGTCAAAAGTTTGGCAAAGTAGGCCGGGCGCCGTGGCTCACGCCTGTAATCGGCACTTTGGGAGGCCGAGGCAGGTGGATCATCTGAGGTCGGGAGTTCGAGACCAGCCTGAGCAACATGGAGAAACCCTGTCTCTACTAAAAATACAAAAAAAATTAGCCGGGCTGTGGTGGCACGTGCCTGTAATCCCAGCTGCTCTGGAGGCTGAGGCAGGAGAATCTCTTGAATCCGGGAGGCGGAGGTTGCAGCGAGCCGAGATTGCGCCATTGCACTCCAGCCTGGGCAACAAGAGGGAAACTCTGTCTCAAAAAAAAAAAAAAAAAAAAAAAAAATTGGCAAAGTAAAACACTTCTCTTCATCTCCAGGAGAGCAGTTCATGAAAGAGCATATTCTTAGATATTAAAGGTAAATTTTCAGTGACACCTGTGCAAGTTATGACTTTCTGCTGTCCTTTCTACATTTCTATCATATAAATCTAGCAGATCTTAAAATGATAGACCTCAAAGGTAGCACTGCATTTGATATTCTCTTGCAACCCCAGAATGAAACTTAAGCATGAATAATTGGAGATCTGCACACTCCTATAAAGAATAAAGAATGGGACTCAAGTTCACACAGAAGCTAAAAAAGAAAGGCAGGATGACTTCCCTCTGCCACCTTGAAAAGGCTTTGAAACCTACAAAACAAGAAATGGGGAGGGGGGTTGCTGAATGGGTAATAAATATATGAGCCCTCCTCCTAAGGGTTTTTATAATCCTTTCTATCTTGGGTATCTATGTGTTCCTCTGTGAATGTGTTTTCTTATAACTGCACTTCTCATGGAACAGCTCTATCCTTATTATCTGTAACAGGGTTTCTGTTCTGCTTTCATCATGTATATATCTTAGAAAAACAATCTGAACAAATGTCCAGTTAATATGTATATTTATGTATTTATAAATTATATGTATATGCTATTGCACTAATACATTACATATTTTATATACCTTACTACAACCAAAGAAATATAAAAGAATGAGACGGAATAAATATATATTTAAGTTCTAGTTTTTCTTCCTCCATCCTCTGTGGAATGCTTACCCCACTTAAGAAACCCCTAAGATTTCACTGTGTCCTCACAGTGAGATTGTACTCACTCCTCAATGAGAGAACATTAATATTAAAGCTCTTTTGGTTTTATTATCAATTATGCGGTCGAATTTTCAAATAATCTAGCTGTACATATTATACTACAGTGGACGATACTGTGAGGTACCAACTGGACCAGCTCAGCAGAGGCTGGAAGGTTTAACTCATCAGTAGTCATGATACCACTTTTCTCTTAGACTTTTCCAATAGAATTTATTTTTGGTTTTGCCAGCCAGGGTGAGAGCTGTTTTCTATAGGTATCAATGGTAGAATAAGCATTGTTGCCTCACAGAAGGGAGAAGTCTATGGTATTGGACACCAACCCCCAAGTCCTTCTTACATATCCTCTCCTTGAGAGATAGGGACTCGTGAAAAATGGAAACCCAGGAATTGGCTCTGCATAAACTTAAGCTTTGTCTTTGCAGAACAATTATGAGAAGCCTACTACTGACTCTGGAATATGTTGTATGCAATAAAAACTCTGTACTATTTAGGTATTGTTTCTGATGCACGATACTAGAAATAAGCATCAACTAGCCACGCAAAGTTCTGCTTAGGAAAAATGAAAGTATATTCAAATATAAATTTTTATAAAATGACTATTAACTAAAAAAAAAAATAGCCTTTCTTTCCCCAAACATCAATAGATGCAGAATGCAGAGTAATATTTACAACATGCAACATCATGTTTGGTTCTAATTAATAGACTATTTCAATGAAATATTATTTTGATAAATATGTTCATGCTTCATTTGTCATGTATTAAAAACAGCAATACACACTCACTTGATGAAAAATATTATTGAAGATAAAACAGAAGTATTTCATAAACAACCATTAGGTAGATTATAAGATAACATATAAAAGGTGATATAGGAAATAAATATTAGAAGTACATATTATTCATCTATGACCTAATTTGTATTGAAATGCTGCAAAAACCTTCATAGCAACATTCAGAGAATTACCTGAAAGAAAACTCTGGCATCTTCTATGGTCTTCTATGTGTTTTCTTTAATGGTCACAGTGATTCCCACGTTCAAACTTATTCACTGAAGACAATGCATGTCCTGAGATTCTCATTATTGAAATGCTGAGGCTGAGGCTTGCTTTTCACATATACAGATTGTCCAACATTAAAATACCACTGCATATTGACTGCATACAAAAATCATTAAACTAAATATTCCCAAAAGTCCTGATACAAATAATGTGTTACAATATTTTAGGCAGGATTACCTGATAGGGTTAACAAATTTATCAAGTATAACAGAAAGTGACCACTTATTATTTATTATTGGCTATACCAAAAAATATAGGATCAGGACTTACCTGAATAACATGCTTCAGTTTATCAATAATCTGATTTATCACAGGATCAGTTCCTTTGACTTTGACTTCAGGATTTCCAGACTGGGCTTTGATTCCATTTCCAACCACATGCTGAGTATAACTAGCAAAGGGAAATGTGAAAGATATATGACTTAGTACCTGATCAGAGTATTATCTGCCACAGCTATCTGAACATAGTTGAGGTCAGAATTTCCTCCTTTAGAGAATACACCAATGTATTTTTTTCTTGGAACAGAAACTGGCACAGCTATAATGCTTTTGCAGGTAAAATGCTAAAATGCTTATTGTGCCATTAGATCATTCTAAAAATAATGTTATTCTCTCAATGGACCCAACCAAAAATTACTTGTTTTTTAATACTACTTAACAATATGCTACAAAGAGTTGACATATCTCACTTTGTTACCAGTTCTTGCTGAATTATACATATGTCTGTACCCCTATTGTCTGGGTGAGCTTATTTTACGCAGTCCCAATCTTATTTTTTAAATATCAGGCTACTATACATGTGTGTGTGTGTGTGTGTATATATATATAGAATATGTATAGAGAATATATATAGGATACACATATAGAATATATATAGACTATATAGAATATACATAGACTATATAGGATATATATAGAATATACATAGACTATATAGGATATATATAGAATATACATAGACTATATAGGATATATATAGAATATACATAGACTATATAGGATATATATAGAATATACATAGACTATATAGGATATATATAGAATATACATAGACTACATAGGATATATATAGAATATACATAGACTACATAGGATATATATAGAATATACATAGACTACATAGGATATATATAGAATATACATAGACTACATAGGATATATATAGAATATACATAGACTACATAGGATATATATAGAATATACATAGACTATATAGGATATATATAGAATATACATAGACTATATAGGATATATATAGAATATACATAGACTATATAGGATATATATAGAATATACATAGACTATATAGGATATATATAGAATATACATAGACTATATAGGATATATATAGAATATACATAGACTATATAGGATATATATAGAATATACATAGACTATATAGGATATATATAGAATATATATAGACTATATAAGATATATAGAGTATATAGACTATATATAGGATATAGATAGAAAATATATAGACTATATACAGGATATCGATAGAATATATATAGACTATATATAGGATATAGATAGAATATATATAGACTATATATAGGATATAGATAGAATATATATAGACTATATATAGGATATAGATAGTCTATATATAGGATATAGATAGAATATAGATAGACTATATATAGAATATATGTAGAATACAGATATAGAATATAGATACAGAATATATATGGAATATAGATATAGGATATATATAGATAGAATATAGATATACACACACATATATATTTCCTAATTAGGTCCTTCAAGAAATAAGTGATTAAACTTTTTAATAATGATAGTATCAATTGGACATGATCACAATAATATTATTAATACACTCTTTGATTTTTAAAATAAACTTGAACCCATTTCTTTTCATAGTCATAGAGGGGCTTAGAGATAAGAATTTCAGTATCCATTAGGGATTTGCAGTATACACCAGTAACAAATAGTAGAAAGAAAACAGTTATATCTATTTTGTTAATGTGTAATGATATTCTTTACTTTAGAAAATAAAATTATATATAGTATAACTATATATAATATATAATATATATTATATGTAAAATATATATAACTGTACAAGTCAATATCATAAATTATAACTGTACAAATTAAAATCATCAAATTTATAAGCAACGAAAATGTGCGAAGTATTTCCTAAGTAGAGGAAACAATCTGCTTTCGCCTAGGTTCACCTAAACAAAGATCTGGTAAATCATGTGGTAGGTAAAAAGGGTCATTTCACAGGTGGTGAAAGCCATTTGAAATTTCACTACCTTCCCCAAATTACAATCATACGTCAACTTAGAATTAATAAAAATATTTAAATTCATTAGTCACAAAGATGTCTTAAGTGAATGCTATATTCCAAGTCCTGTACTAGGTCTTTAGGATTATAAGAAGGTGTAAGACTCAATTTTTGTCCTCATAATGCTCATTACTTAACCAAGAATATAACAGATTAATTAACTCATTCATTTGTATGCTTATTCATTACATTTTACTACATTTAAAAAATACCGTAGATTTCAGCCATATAAATACCCTTGTTTGCCTGACAGAAGAGTGTAATATAAACACAACTGAACCGTTAAAATACAACATTATGAAAGTAGATGGAAGGAACTGCACGTGCCACGTGTGAGGAAAGATAAGACAGGTGGTAGATATTCTGGATATAGAGAAGCCCATTTGAACTCAGACACTAGGGAAAAACTAAAGGAGAAGTTATAACTTGAGGTAGCCTTGGATGTATTGAGGTAAGAAGAGGACATCTATGGTATGGTTAATGAGAACTTCAGGGCAAAGGATGTCATCCCAGCAAGGAAAACGGCAAAGGTACGTGAACAAGGCAGACAGGGAGAACAGGCCTCTATTCACAAAGCAGAGAGTACAAACGTTGGAAAGCAATGGATAAAGGGCCACACCCTGAAGATTCCACCCTGAATGTTGAAGACTCTCCACTGAGTGATATAATGGGCTCTGGAGATTCATAAGGGGGAAGTTGGCAGGTGGGTGTGGAATAAAAAAGCTACATGTTTGGTACAATGTACACTACTCAGGTGACAGGTGCAATAAAATCTCAGACTTCACCACTATACAAATTATCCATGTTACCTAAACCACTTGTGCTCCAAAAGCTATTGAAGTAAGACATTTATTTATTTATTTATTTTTATTTATTTATTTTTTTGAGACGGAGTCTGGCTCTGTCGCCCAGGCTGGAGTGCAGTGGCGCAATCTCGGCTCACTGCAAGCTCCGCCTCCCGGGTTCACGCCATTCTCCTGCCTTAGCCTCCCGAGTAGCTGGGACTACAGGCTCCCGCCAGTACGCCCGGCTAATTTTTGTATTTTTAGTAGAGACGGGGTTTCACTGTGTTAGCCAGGATGGTCTCGATCTCCTGACCTCATGATCCGCCCGCCTTGGCCTCCCAAAGTGCTGGGATTACACGCTTGAGCCACCGCGCCCGGCCAAGGCATTTAAAAAATGAAAACAAAACACTATCACCTGAGTCATTTGTTTGCTTACATTAAATATCATAATACTTTTCAGCAAAAAATATTATCATTTTAATGTAACTTTCGTTCCCTGTATTTGAGCGGAGTACTGCACTATCCATAAACACCCTCTGAATTTTCTACAGTAATGGAAAAAAATCTTTGAAAAAAATAAAAGAAGGTTCTATGTTTGAGAATATGGCTATATGAAAGGGGTTTCAAGAAATATCCAGTTCTTCCCAAGACGATGTACTTCCAGTGACCAGTTTTAAGAAGTGGAACAGGCCAGGCGCGGTGGCTCACGCCCGTAATCCCAGCACTTTGGGAGTCCGAGGCGGGCAGATCACGAGGTCAGGAGATCGAGACCATCCTGGCTAACACGGTGAAACCCCGTCTCTACTAAAAATACAAAAAATTAGCCGGGCGTGGTGGCGGGCGCCTGTAGTCCCAGCTACTCGGGAGGCTGAGGCAGGAGAATGGCGTGAACCTGGGAGGCAGAGCTTGCAGTGAGCCGAGATCACCTCACTGCACTCCAGCCTGGGTGACAGAATGAGACTCTGTCTCAAAAAAAAAAAAAACCAAAAAAAGGGGATCGAATATTTCCTAACGAGGTCCTTCAAGTAATAATAAGTGATTAAACTTTTTGATAATGATAATATCAATTGGACATGATAAAAATACTATTAATAAATCTTTTGATTTAAAAACTAACCTTGTACCCACTTCTTTTGTAGGCGTGGGGGGAGCTTAGAGTTAAGTATTCCAGTATCCGTTAGGGATTTGGCAGTATACATCAACAACAAATAGTAGAAGGAAAATAATTATACCTGTGTCTCATATATATATATATATATATATATATATACACACATAGAGAGAGAGAGAGAGAGAGAGAAACCATCTCTTAAATTACCTGTAGCACCACTATGTTATTCTTTACTCTCCCAATACCCCAAGTAGATTGCACATGTGACTCTTTTATTAATGTGTTGAATATTCATAATGATAATGAATAATATGAATAAATAAATTGATAAGTGCGTAACTATGAATTAGGCATTGCTTTACTCTTATCTGGAGATTTCAATTCATGATAAACATCTTTTAGTGACCATGAATAAGAAACTCATAGACCTGCATTAGAGAAATGCAAATCTAAACCACAATGAGATACCATCTCACTCCAGTTAGAATGGCAGTCCTTAAAAAGTCAGGAAACAACAGATGCTGGAGAGGTTGTGGAAAAATAGGAATGCTTTTACACTATTGGTGGGAGTGTAATTTACTTCAACCATTGTGGAAGACAGTGTGTGAATTCCTCAAGGATCTAGAACTAGAAATACCATTTGACCCAGCAATCCCATTACTGGGCATATACTCAAAAGATTATAAATCATTCTACAATAAAGACACATGCACACGTATGTTTATTGTGGCACTATTCACAATAGCAAAGACTTGGAACCAACCCAAATGTCCATCAGTGATAGACTGGATTAAGAAAATGTGGCACATATACACCATGGAATACTATGCAGCCATAAAAAAGGACATGAGTTCATGTCCTTTGCAGGGACATGCATGAAGCTGGAAGCCATCATTCTCAGCAAACTATCACAAGATCAGAGAACCAAACGCCGCATGTTCTCACTCATAAGCAGGAGTTGAACAATGAGAACACATGGACACAGGGAGGGGATCATCACACACTGGGGCCTGTGGGGTGTGGGGGTGTAGGGGAGGGATAACATTAGGAGAAATACCTAATGTAGGTGACGGGTTGATGGGTGCAGCAAACCACCATGGCATGTGTATACCTATGAAACAAAACTGCAAGTTCCGCACATGTAACCCAGAGCTTAAAGTATAATTTAAATAAATAAATAATAAATAAATAAATAAACTCATAGACCTCAAAGTATGGGAAGCCTAACTGCCTACGGCCACTTGCTGCTTCACTCTAAAATCTGTTTCTGCATCTGCCCCTCAGTCAATGACTGAGGGCCACAGGGTGGCTAATGCAGATCCCTCTTTAGGAGACACAGGGCTTCTCTGAGGACCAGTCTTGGCTCAGGATTCCCTGAAGCCTTTTCTCACCCTTCCTTAGACTGTACATTACGCTCCAATGCTTCCACTCAACCTTCCTTTCCTCTTTCCTTCATTCTAGGTCAGACTTGCCTCATAGCTGAGACCTCTTCCAGGCTTACTCAGCTTCCTCTCCATTTTCTCTCACAGGGATTTCCCTTAATAAAATCCTCTTGTGTTTAACTCGTTTTCAACATCTACCTCTTGGAGGACCTGGACTAACCCACCACATAATGTTTGTATTATAATTACTTCCATTCTACAGGTTGAGAATCTGGGATCTGGAGAAGTTAAGCAACTTAAGTTACTCAAGTAAGGCCACACAACGTATATAAAGTGTGCTGCAAGGAGTTAAACCCAGGGAACGCACACTCCAAAACAGAACCATCAACAAGTACCAATCCTGAAACCAACTAATAAAAGGTAAAGATACAATTAGCTTGGTGCAAAATGTTATTTTTCTCTCTAATTACATTTTCTAAGGTTTCACTGTTTGTGATTAAGAAGGGATGAATGATTTTCATCAAAACTCTGCTCAACAAGCCGGGTGTCGTGGCATGCACCTGTAGTCCCAGCTACTGAGGAAGCAGAGGCAGGGGGATCACGTGAGCCCAGGAGGTTAAGGCTGCAGTGAGCTGTGATTACATCTCGTTGACCACGTGACCCTGAGTGTAACTCATAGACCTCAAGCCTGGGCAACAGAGCAAGACTCTGCCTTAAAAAGTAAAACTAAGCAAAACAAAACAATCCTGAACAAATGGTTGCACATAACCAGCTAAACAGTAATATAACAGTTGTTGGCAGGGTGAGAAGAAACTAGCAGACTGTAGGTTTGTCATACTGTTTTTTTGTTTCTCCAGAAACACAGATATAATATAGGCAATGAAAGCTGAGACTCATCTCTTAATTTCAGTTAAGCTATTAATTGATTTACATCATTTACTTACAGGTCAGAAAAGTTTCTTTCAAAAGGCAGGAATGTTGTTTCATGTTAATCTAAGGACTTGCTTACCTTTTGTTTCTGTTCTTAATGATCACAGTTACTAATACAGTTAAATAATATTTAGATAAAATACATTACAATTATAGCTGATCAAAAATCTCATTCCAAGCTGTTATATTGTTGACTATCTCATGATCACTCTTCTTATGAATCATGTAAATAGGGAAAAATACTGCAAAGTAGACCCACGTTACTTCAAATGAAATATGATTTAATAAAATCAGTTATTCTTTGCCAATTTTGTAATGTTCAAAATAACCACAATTGAAATAGTGATACATACACATCAGAACAGTTCAAATGAAAGAGAGAAATGATACCAAGTGTTGGCAAAGATGCGGAGCAACTAGAACTCTCTCCCATTGTGGATGGAAATGTAAACTGATGGACACCACCATTTTCCATGTATGCTAAATCTGACCATATTCTATGACCCTGAGCATATACCCAGCAATATTTACCAAAAGACAAATACATGAATGCTCAGAGAGGCACCATTCAAAATAACCACAAATTGAACTTATATTTGTATAATGATATAGTATATAGCAATGAGAACCTAACAAATTACAACTATATGCAAAAAGATTAACAAATCTTATAAACTAAATATTGAATGAAAGAAGCAAGATACAGAACATATTCTACGATCTAATTCACTAAAAATTGTAAAACTCATCAGTTATGTTCCAAATCACCATAAGAGCTATCCTATGAAATAGTGTCTAGAAGAAGTAATAATATAAAATTTCCTGATTTGAGTACTGGATACACAGAAGGGCTAAGTTTGTTTAAAAACAAAAGAAGTATTGAGCTGTACAGTTAAGATTTGGGTATTTTACTGTTTGTATGTATTTTCAGCGTTAGAAAATTATGTTAAAAAGTCTTTATGCTCTTTTTCTTAATATATTTACAATAGACAAATTTTCATTAAGCCACAGTATAAATAAAAAAGACCCACACAGGTATTTTTAACATGGATGAAGTGGTTCTGTCATCATTAAATGAGTACTTTGGGATGCAAGTCTGATATAAAAACTTACTTCCCTGAAGACTTTAATTTTGCATGCAAAATACACGGTTTCTAAATTAAATTTTTTTGTAACAAAGCGTTTTTGAGTTCCCCTCATGAAATTTTAATAAATCATTAATTTCTTCTTTTTCTCTTTCATGCACAAGCAGTGGATAAACATTTCAAAGATCCCTACAGAAGTTTCTTCCCTTGAAATACTGTTCACATGACAATGAGAAGGATGGAATAAAACACAAAAAAGGTAAGCAATTTTTTTTTTTTTTTGAGGCGGAGTCTTGCTCTGTCGCCCAGGCTGGAGTGCAGTGGCGCGATCTCTGCTCACTGCAAGCTCCGCCTCCCGGGTTCCCGTCATTCTCCTGCCTCAGCCTTCGAAGTAGCTGGGACTACAGGCGTCCGCCACCGTGCCCAGCTAATTTTTTGTATTTTTAGTGGAGACGGGGTTTCACCGTGTTAGCCAGGATGGTCTCCATCTCCTGACCTTGTGATCTGCCCGCCTCCGTCTCCCAAAGTGCTGGGATTACAGGCTTGAGCCACTGCGCCCGGCCAACAGGCAAATTTTTCGTTGGGGAAGTAGTAGACCAACCATCTGTGCTTATTTCTTCTAAACAGAGCTGGGAATGAGTGACAGCAGTTGAACAGGAACACTTGCTCCCCAAGCACTACTTGTTTTTCATGAAGAAGGAAAAAAGGCAAAAGCCCTGCTACATTTACATTCGCAAAATTGTTTTCAAATGAGGATTAACAAGATGTTAGTTCCCTCTCTGTTGAACACATAAAATATTAAAAGGCAGTGCTAATACATCTATATACAGCACATCAGGAGGAAGGAGGAAGTCATTTCTCCTGACTTTACCAACTTGTCTTATTTGAAACTGATACCGTGCCCTATTGGCTGATAGGAGTTTCACTTTATTTAGAATACAATAGAATTTGGCTCAGATTCACACCAAAAGTATAGTATTTTGATGTGCACTTACACGATTTCAGGGGAAAACAATATCTGGAATGTGACCCTGGAATTCATTACAAGTCAGTTAAAGGGATCTCTCTTAGAATTTTTTCATAATTGGACTGGGACAGGATGTAAGAATAAATCATTAACAGTAGATGAGGAAAACACTTGACGAGAGCTTTCTCGTCTTACCATTACTGCTCTTTCTATCAGAGGTTAAAGACAGAATGGGGACCATGTTGTGGTTGTTATTCTTGTTGTTTGATTGGTTTGTTTATTATGTTCTTGCAGGACTTGGTTATGTGGCTGGATATGAAAATTCTTTCCATTTCCAGAGTCATACATCTCCTAATTTCTAGGAGATTAAATACTGGTTTTATCTTTGGCTCCAGTAAAAATGTTGCTATCTTGGATTAAAAGAAGGTTGGGAAATACGTTGTGTCTATTCACCAGTGAATGGGAACCCCTTCTACAACAACAAATTTTCCATTCAAACCATTTCTAGGCCTCCCTTCCTGGTTCTGATAGCAAATGTGAAAGCAAGTACTAGAGATTTGGGTTTTGTAAGTTTCCTCAAATACTTGGGAAATACTGGATTCCGTTGCCAAGTGTTGCCTTTTGTACATTCAGCTTCTACACAGCACGTTTTCTCTATGTTGAAAGTCCTAATCCTTGAAATCTCAGAATGGAAAAGAGTTATATGACTAATTTTATGTGCCAGGATTATGGGAATAAACTTTCATGGAAGATAGGAAGCTTACAGGGCATTTAGAGAAAGGAGACATCTGTAGAATCAATTCAGAATGATTAAGCCCCTTGTGATCTCACTATCTCACTTCAATTGTTAAGCCACAAAACTCTTTTTAAGTTAATCTCTAACATTTATTTGGCTTTATAATTACATATAAATAATGTCTAAATTTGACACCTATGTTTCCAAACTTAATAATGAAGTCAAAATAAACAGAATTAAGGAGAGCTTATTACGATCTTTATTGTTATTTATATATAACAAATTTCCTATTGAGAATATAATATTTTATGATATCTTATGGATGTCATTAACATTGCTTTAATAAAGGTATTATCATGCATTGTACAGCAACCAACACGAAAATGTTACTATACCACTGCAATAGATAGAATAAAAACATGTTCAGAAAGACTTAGAAACTCATTAAAGAATGGACGTTAATCACTTTTCACCCTAACTCCTCATTTGGCAAGGCATGAATCTATGCATTCCAGTTTAGACAGGTGGCAAGTAAGTAGTCTCATTGCATTTCATAAAATAAGCAGCTGCGTGAATTTGAAAGATACTATTTCCACATGAAAAGCTAATGACTGCACATGTAAAATCAGTAGTGTTTAGGAAGCTGTCATTTAAAAAACAACAAACTACCTAATTAAAAAGTAGCACAAATGAACTTTTGCCTACGTAAAAAATAGAACATTGCTTAGCCTTTTCTTAAACCCCTCCCCAATTCTTACCAAGAAAGGATAAATACCTTTATTATAGTCAAAGCTCTGTTTTTATGGTTTTTGAATTTTTTAATCTAAAATTCAAAGCAAATAATCAATCTTTAATTTATATTTATCCCAATTTGATTCGAAGTGACGGTCCAAAAGTAAAATGATCAATTATAACTATAATCAATCACAAATAATGCTATGTGAGTTTGAAATGTTAATCTAAGTTGCCTTTTCCAGGTATGCATTTTAAAATTAAACTCTTCTCAGTAAGATCAAGGCTATCCTTCATGGATTTATGATGTTTGATAATCACCACGTTGTACTGATTTGCTGTCTCACTTCACTGTTTGATATCAACATATGAAAGTAAAAATGCTATTTAGGGGATAACTATTATCTGAGCACTAATAAATTAAATGCTATTTTAAGCCAACAACAAAATTGTTTAGGGTACAATTTTTATTTAACCAACTGTCCATTATAAACATTATAAAATTCTGAAAGATCCTAGAATCTTATATAGCTTTTTTGTATTTTTTCAAATGTAATTGACACCAGCATGAATTAAATTTCATATTTAAAAAGCTTCTGACTACATTACAACATACTTTAAAATTACTTGCAAGATATGATAATTCTAAGATTACCCACATATCATGCAACTGAAACAGCCAGGTACTTCCTACCAACACATGATACAATAAAATCCAGAAGAACTTCTGAATTAGAGTGTAGTAGTTGCCTAGGGCCATCATACCTAATTATCACACACTTGGTGGGTTAAGAGGACAGAAATATATTCTCTCATAGTTCTGAAGCCTGGACCTCTGAAATCAAGATGTTGGCGGGGCCACACTCCCCCTGAAGACCCTAGGGAAGAATTCTCCCTCGCTTCTTCCTGGCTTCCAGTGGCTCCTGGCAATCCTTGACCTTCTTTGATTTATGACTGCATAACTCCAATTTCTGTCTCCATCTTCACATGACCTTGTGTGTGTCTTTTCCTGTATGTTATAAGGACATTTACACTGGATTTAGGGCCCACCTTCACCCAGGATGACCTCATCTCAATCACTGGGTTAATTATATCTGCAAAGACCCTACTTCCAAATAAAATCACATTCTAAAGTTCCTAATGGACATAAATTTTGGAGGTACGGTATTTAAATCACTACACAGAACATGTAAAGACAAAAATCTGGAAGCTACCTGAATGAAAATGGATATTCCCTTGAACTTTGACAAAATCATATTCTATTTTTCCATGAGAAACATTTTATTACTCTAAAACAATATTCATATTTCACAAGTACACCTCTTAAATTATAGCTTGGACTTAAGAAAAATAATTAGCTTTGGAAATTATCAGTACATGATATCTAGTATTTCCTATATTTTTAAGAACTTCTACCTCCTAGCAAAAATAAACAATGCAATGGATAATTTCTGTGTTCTAAATTCACACACACAAACAGGAAAGGGACTTTAAAAATGATGTGTTCTCTTTTAAAGCAGAAGCCCAACCACCTGCTCTGAATCTAAAAGTTTCCTGAAAGCAATGAAGGGCTAGTTTATTATGAAGGTGTTGATAGCTGATTCTGTGGAGACTCACACAGAAACAAAGAATAAATTTTAATCACACTTAATGCTAATGTGGTAGTAAGGTTGTGACAATATTCAAATATGACTAATTTCATTGAATTAACTACACTCGGGCTTAGCTTAGTTGTCCAAATTTATTACAAATAGCTCAAACTAAATAATTCAACTCTTCTGTTTTCTATTTATTTTTTGTTGATGCTTAAGAGTAAAAAGATATTTCAACTGAAATTTTTTTTTTTTTTTAGCAATCAGTTCTCTTGTTTTATCACCATAAGACTGTAAACGGCCGTAACAGGTCACTGAATCTAGCACTGCCTTCAACAAGAAATGCACCTAGAGCAGGAATATAGTACTTGGCACTCATCTCTAGACCTATAACCTAACAGATTTTTTTTTGTCTGTCTTTGGTGAAAGTAACGTAAATTTAGAGCTGGAAAGGACCTTAGAGGTCATCTAGTCCCACCCAAGCATCTTTGAAAACAAAATAAAGAAGTGTGTTGGCCTGATGTGGTGGCTCACGCCTGTAATCCCAGCACTTTGGGAGGCCAAGGCGGGCAGATCACAAGGTCAGGAGATCGAGACCATCCTGCCTAACATGGTGAAACCCCGTCTCTACTAACAATACAAAAAATTAGCCAGACATGGTGGCAGGTGCCTGTAGTCCCAGCTACTCGCGAGGCTGAGGCCGGAGAATGGAGTGAACCCAGGAGGCAGAGCTTGCAGTGAGCCGAGATCGTGCCACTGCACTCCAGTCTGGGCAATAGAGTGAGACTCCGCCTTAAAAAAAAAAAAAAAAAAGAAGCATGTTTATTTCATCATTTTGTACTTATACACTGTGTATTTCCAGAAAAGCCCCTGAGACAGCTTAGAATGAAAGGCACAGACACTATAAAACAAGGGCAAAATGACAGAATAATGAAGAGAAAGAGGTGACAATTACATGGGACAACCTAGGGAAGGAAACACTACCCTTCAGCCTAAAATTTAGTCCTAAGCCCCTTGTTCTTAAAGGCCAAAAGGAAAACCAGAATTCAAATAGGTATTGTTAGTTAATAAAATAGTATCTGGATATATCAGCAACTATTTTTTGGTAACTCTAAACTCAAGCAAAATATATGTCTTCAAGCAACAGACAATGGACAATATAATAAAAATAATCTTCCATAGCAATTTCCAAACTTTTAAAGATGTAAGAACAAATGATCTTTTCTTACAGGATGCTTAGTTGAAAGCTGCCCGCATGATGGTATTTTAAACTACATGATGTTAAATTCCCTGCATGATGGTATTTTATTGGGACCTGGTTATATGATTTGGTGAAGAATGTAACCTTTGAGAACTTAGAAGAGTGAATGGTTAATATTTCTCTGAATTTTTTTGTTTTTAATTGATATTTTATTTTATCCCTCATAGACAATATATGCCTGGGAAATACACTGAAGTATAGTAAAAAAGAATCTAAGGGTTAAAGTGTTGAGGTAAATGAGAAAGCAGAGGTTGTGTCTGAAGAACCGTGTGGTCGCACTGCACCACACAGCAAACAGAAATATGGGTGAGCACAGGCCGGGCGCGGTGGCTCAGGCCTGTAATCCCAGCACTTTGGGAGGCCGAGGAGGGCGGATCACGAGGTCAGGAGATCGAGACCATCCTGGCTAACACGGTGAAACCCCGTCTCTACTAAAAATACAAAAAATTAGCCGGGCCTGGTCGTGGGCGCCTATAGTCCCAGCTACTTGGGAGGCTGAGGCAGGAGAATGGCGTGAACCCGGGAGGCGGAGCTTGCAGTGAGCCGAGATCGGGCCACACCACTCCAGCCTGGGGGACAGTGAGACTCCGTCTAAAAAAAAAAAAAAAAGAAGTTCACCCTATGCAGGCACTATAACTACGAGTCCCTCCCATCTGAGCCTTGCCTTCCAGACAACCCCACCAATACATAAGACAGAAAAAAAGCACCTTGCACCTTCCAGACTGACTTGTTTGCCAGCCGCATAGCACTGAGTCACCCTAGTTAATGATATGAGAGAGGAAGAATCACTCAGACGAATCCTGCTGGAATTTCTCACCTATAGGATCCATGAGATACAATGAAGTGGTCGTTGTTTTACCTTATTAAATTTGGGGTAGTTTCTTTTTTCTTTTTTTTTTTCTTTTTTCTTTTTTTTTTTTGAGACGGAGTCTCACTCTGTGGCCCAAGCTGGAGTGCAGTGGCGCAATCTCGGCTCACTGCAAGCTCCGCCTCCCGGGTTCACACCATTCTCCTGCCTCAGCCTCCCGAGTAGCTGGGACTACAGTCACCCACCACCACGCCAGGCTAACTTTTGTATTTTTAGTAGAGACGGGGTTTCACCGTGTTAGGCAGGATGGTCTCGATCTCCTGAACTCGTGATCCGCCCGTCTCAGCCTCCCAAACTGCTGGGATTACAGGCGTGAGCCACGGCGCCCGGGCCATTTGGGGTAGTTTCTTAAGCAGCAATAGTAACTGTAACACTGACTCACTTCTACTGCCACCAATCACTATCCTCCTTTCCTGATTTACTTCCTCGTATGTACCATCTTTTAAAAAACAAATAATTAGGCCGGGTGCAGTGGCTCACGCCTGTAATCCCAGCACTTTGGGAGGCTGAGGTGGGCGGATCACGAGGTCAGGAGATCGAGACCATCCTAGCTAATATGGTGAAACCCCATCTCCGCTAAAAATACAAAAAATTAGCCAGGCGTGGTGACCGGGGCCTGCAGTCCCAGCTACTCGGGAGGCTGAGGCAAGAAAATGGCGTGAACCCGGGAGGCGGAGCTTGCAGTGAGCTGAGATCGCGCCACTGCACTCCAGCCTGGGCGACAGAGGGAGAGTCTGCCTCAAAATAATAATAATAATAATAATTAGTGAAAACTTCAATAACTTTTGCACCGGCCTAATAGTTGTAAAGAAACTATAAGCAAGTTCACAAAAGTTAAAACAAAAAATCAGCTATGAGAAACAAATATGAATTATACCACTAACTGCTGAAAAGAAAGACTCTAAGACTGAAATTACCAAAAAAAAAAAAACCCTCAGCTGAAAACAAAACAAATAATCAAACTCTATTACTCTACTCTATTTCCATGAAGTGTACAAACTGTTCCTGTAAGTATAACGATATTAAAATGTACAAAGATTAATAAAGTAAAAATCAAAGACTATTTATAACATCATCGATTTCACATAAAGTAGAATTTTAAAGGAAAAGGTATCACATGGAAAACAATAAAATATTTAATATTACAAAGCAAAACACTAAATGAACGTCACATTTAATTGTGAAATCATTAGCATGTTTCTCCGTTATGACTTATTAAAGGATAAAATTTGAGCATTATAATGTATAAGATTTTTTGGCCGGGCGCGGTGGCTCACGCCTGTAGTCCCAGCACTTTGAGAGGCTGAGGCGGGCGGATCACGAGGTCAGCAAATCCAGACCATCCTGGCTAACACGGTGAAACCCTGTCTCTACTAAAAAAATACAAAAAAATTAGCCAGGCGTGGTGGCGGGCACCTGTAGTCCCAGCTACTTGGGAGGCTGAGGAATGGCGTGAACCTGGGAGGCGGAGCTTGCAGTGAGCCCAGATTGCGGCACTGCACTCCAGCCTGGGCAAGAGAGTGAGACTCCCAATCCAAAAAAAAAAAAAAGAAAAGAAAAGAAAAGAAAAACCGACTTTCATTAAAGCCTCCTGCAGAAATTTGCATAAGTAACAAGGAGCCAAATGTAATCACCAAGACAATGGGGAAAATGTCTCCAGAACATTAAAGACCTTAACACCTTCACGGCAGCTCTTTCCATCACAGGCTCAAAAGCCTAGTATGGAAAAATGATTTCCTGGAGCAGGTCCAGGTCCCCCTGCTGTGTGCAGCCTAGAGACTTGGTGCCCTGCATTCCAGCCACTCCAGCCATGGCTGGGGTGGGAGACACCAGGCTACAGCTCAGGCCATGTCTTCAGAGGTTGCAGCCCCAAGCCTTGGCAGCTTCCACAAGATGTTGAGCCTGCAGGCGCACAGAAGTCAAGAATTGAGGTTTGGGACCCTCCACCTAGATTTCAGAGAATGTATGGAAACACTTGGATGTTCAGGCAGAAATTTGCTCTGGTGGGGTGCGGGGGCAGGAGCAGGGGCTCATGAAGAACCTCTTCCAGGGTAGTAGAGAATTGAAATGTGGGCTCTGTCTCCCATACAGAGTCCCTACTGGGGCAATGCCTAGTGGAGCTATGAGAAGAGGGCCGCTGCCCTCCAAACCCCCAATTGGTAATCCACAAACAGTTTACACTGTGTACCTGGAAAAGCCACAGACAATGCCAGCCAGTGAAAGCAGCCAGGAGGGAGGCTGTACCCTGCAAAGCCACAGAGGCAGAGCTGCCCAAGGCCATGGGAGACCACCACTTGCATCAGTGTGACCTGCATGTGAGACACAGAGTCAAAGGAGATCATTTTGGAACTTTAATGTTTAATGACTGCCCTATTGGAT